>NC_000009.12:129475823-129789641 GCF_000001405.40 Homo sapiens
CCCTGGTAGGAGCTTACTTCTAGCTTCTATGCCCAGGATTCAAAGCTAACCACGGGGCTGGGCAAGGTGGCTCATGCCTGTAGTCCGAGCACTTTGGGAGGCCAAGCCAGATTGCTTGAGTTCAAGACCAGCCTGAGCAACATACTTGAGACCCTGTCTTTTTTTTTTGAGACAGAGTTTCACTCTTGTTGCCCAGGGTGGAGTGCAGAGGTGCGATCTCGGCTGCAACCTCAGCCTCCAGGGTTCAAGCGATTATCCTGCCTCAGCCTCTCAAGTAGCTGGGATTACAGGCGCCCGCCACCATGCCCAGCTAATTTTTGTATTTTTAGTAGAGACGGGGTTTCACCATGTTGGTCAGGCTGGCTCGAACTCCTGACGTCAGGTGATCCACCCGCCTCAGCCTCTCAAAGTGCTGGGATTACAGGCATGAACCACCACGCCCGGCTGAGACCGTCTTCACAAAAAATTTTTTTCAGTTAACTAGGTAATTTATTTATTTATTTATTTATTTTATTTTTTGTTTTGGAGACAGGGTCCCGCTCTGTCACCCAGGCTGGAGTGCAGTGGGGCAATCTCGACCCACTGCAACCTCTGCCTCCCAAGTTCAAGCAATTCTTGTGTCTCAGCCTCTCTAGCAGCTGAGATTACAGGCATGTGCCACCATGCCCAGCTAATTTTTGTATTTTCAGTAGAGACGGGGTTGGCCAGGCTGGTCTTGAACTCCTGACCTCAAGTGATCCACCCGCCTCAGCCTCCCAAAGTGTTGGGATTACAGGTGTGAGCCACTGTGCCCGGCCATAGCCAGGTAATTTAATAGCAAGGTGGCACACACCTATAGTCCCACCTACTCAGGAGGCTGAGTGGAGGATTGCTTGAGCCCAGGATTTGAGCCTGCAGAGAGCCATGATTGCACCACTGCACTGCAGCCTGGGTAACAGAGTGAGACCCTGCTCTCAAAAAATAAAAATTAAAAAATTAAAAAATAAATAATAAAAACCAAAGATAGCCATGGTGACAATGTCTTGTGGTTTATAAAATGCTGATTCATGTCCACTGTCACCTTTGATCTTAACCTCTTCCCATGAGTCAGCAGGGGAGGCCCTGTTCTCATCCCCGTTTTATAGGAGAGAAAATTGCGGGTCACGTTGCCTGGTGCACAGTGACCGTTCCGCACACGGTGGGTCTTCTTGTTCCTTTGAATAGTGCTTTCTTAGTATTATGCTACTACTAACAATTTTTAAAAAAAAATTGGAGGAATGAGATGTGGGAACGCAGAAGAAGTCCACGTGGAGGACTCAGGAGAGCAGCAGCTGCTGGACTTGGCGTTGACCTTGAGGTATCTCTTCCCTTCTCCGATGCCTGTTTTCCTGGTATAGAATGAGGAAGTTGAACAAGATGGTCCTCTCTCCCCATCCCCATTCTGGGATCTTCTGCTTTGTGTCCCTGGGGTTGGGAGGGGCCAGGGTCCCCGGCCATCGGCCAGCGAGGTCAGAAGCAGCTCCTAGCTGGTGGGCAGTGTGCCTCTCCTGGGCCCTCTGCCGGCATCTCCCAGCTCCCTTCCTGAGCCTGCCTCTGAGATGAGACCTGGCATAAAGATGGGGACAGCATCAAGGACCCGGACAGCATCAAGGACCCTCAGTCTTTGCTGAGGATGAGCTGCAGAGACAGGTGATAAGCGACCTCAGGCCCTCCACAGGCTGCGGTTTCCAGAGGCACTGGGGGATGTGAGGTGGAAGCAGAGGCCTGCCTTCCTGTGCCCTGGGGCTTGGCATGTCAGCCCTCTGAGCCTCAGTGTCCTCATCTCTAAAACAAGAGTGATAGCACAAATAAACACCCTTCTCATAGGACTGCCATGTCAATTACACACATTTATACACATAAGCACTTAGAATATAGCCTTTCTTTCCTTTTTCCTCTCCCTCTCCTTTCCTTCCTTTCTTTGTTGTTTTTGTTTTTGTTGTTGTTGTTTTTGAGACAGCTTCTGGCTCTGTCACCCAGGCTGGAGTGCAGTGGCATGATCTCAGCTCACTGAAACCTCCGCGTCTCACGTTCAAGCGATTCTCATGCCTCATCCTCTCGAATAGCTGAGATTATAGGCACGTGCCACCACACTCGGCTAATTTTTATATTTTTAGTAGAGATGGGGTTTCACCATGTTGACCAGGCTGGTCTCAAACTCCTGACCTCAAGTGATCCACCCACCTCGGCCTCCCAAAGTGCTGGAATGACAGGCGTGAGCCACCATGCCTGGACTAGAGTACATCCTTTCTCAGTAAGCATGCAGTTAATGCTACAGAGAGTACAGTTATTGATTACCAGTTATTAGAAATATTATTATTAATAACATTATGAAAGGTTACCAGACATTTACAAATGACTGAAAAAGAAAGAAGCGTATTTGAATTTCAAGAAACAATAGTGCGCCGGGCACGGTGGCTCAGGTCTGCAATTCCAACACTTAGGGAGGCTGAGTCAGGAGGATCGCTTGTGTTCAAGACCTGCCTGGGTAACATGGCAAGACCCCATGAGGGGTCATGAGAGTGAGGCCAGGTGTGGTGGTTCACACCTGTAATCCCGGCACTTTGGGAGGCCAAGGTGGAAGGAAGATTTGAGCCCAAGAGTTTGAGACCAGCCTGGGCAACATGGCAAAACCCTGTCTCTACAAAAAATACAAAAATTAGCCAGTCATGATGGAGTGCACCTGTAGTCTCACCACGGCTACTCAGGAGGCTGAGGTGGGAGGATTGCTTGAGCCTGGGTGGTTGAGGCTGCAGTGAGCTGTGACCACACAACTGCACTCCAGCCTGGGCGACAGAGCAAGACCCTGTCGGAAGAAAGAAAAGAAAAGGAAAGAGAGACAGGGAGGGAGTGGGGGAGGAAGGGAGAGAGGGAAGGAGGGAAGGAGAGGGTGATGAGAGAGAGAAGGAAGGAAAGAAGGAAGGAAGAAAGGAAGGGAGGGGAGAGAGAGAAACAGTAGTTTTGTTGGAAGACCAAGGGCTAGGAGCCTGCTTCTGTCTCCCTGGGGGTCTGTGGTTCCCAGTCTGGCCATCATAACCTGCCCCTTCCCTTCCTTAATTTATCCCCTCAGTCCCACATGGGCTGGTCAGTAATGTTAGATATGGAAATTCCCAGAGTTTCAAAAGACCTCAAAGTGTCTTCAGCCACTTCTTCTCCTGAGGCATGGCTCTGTACTCCTAGACACACCACTCTCTATCCCTGCCTGTCCTTGACTACCTCCCCAGGTGGGGCACTCACTACCTACACAGCTGCCCTGACTATTGGATAGTTCATCTTGAGGCAAAACCTACCTCCCTTGGTAGCCTTCCGTGGTTCTGCCTTCTGGGTCCTCCCAGAACAAGTCCACACCCTCTGCCTCAGGCAGGTCCTCCAGCCTCAGAAGCAGTGGCCACTAAATCAATTTCTCTCCACCTGAAACCTCCCCTGTGCCTTGCCCATCCTGGAGCAGGAAAGAGGCTACGTTTGCACAGAGCACCGGACCCGGGGAAGCGTGATAACACAGCCCTACAGAGAAGCCCAGGGAGCCACGCTGGCCTGCAGCACTGGCCACCAGCTGTGGAGCTTTCTTGCTGCCTAGCACAGAACTGCAGGCAGAGAAAAAGGCAAAGATTTGCCTGAAGCAAATACATCAAATCCTTCCGCAAACACACATTCCCCTGAACACCGACTCCAAAGATACGGAGGAGAAGAGGCCTACTTGATTAGATTTCTTTGGGGCCTGTCGCCTAATTTTGTTGCGCGTCTTAGCATGAGGTCCCTGTAGTGACTCTGTAGCGTGTTTAATTTCTCAAAGCCGCTCACAGGCTGGTGTGTAAACTCTCATCTCCGGATGTTACTGAAGGACCCTTGCGAGTTACAGCCCTCGGATCAGTGGCCTTGTGGGCAGTGGAAGGAAGGAGTTAAGGGTGTGAGTTCAGCTCCCATCCCAGCCTCCTCATTCCCCAGCACCGTATCCCTTCCACAAAGCCACTTTGCTTCTCCAGGCCTCAGATTCCATCTGTAAAATGGGGACAATAATTCTCCCTACTTCTCAGAGCTTTTGCGAGTATCCTATGAGGTCAATTCTCTAAGGCCTCAGACCCAGTCCCGGGCAGGCAGTAGGTCTTTGATACATGAAATAATTTTTGTTGCTGTTTTTGAGTCTTGCTCTGTCACCCAGGCTGGGGTGCAGTGGCACGACCTTGGCTCACTGCAACCTCCACCTCCCGGGTTCAAGCGATTCTCATGCCTCAGCCTCCTGAGTAGCTGGGATTACAGGCGCCCACCACCACACCCAGCTAATTTTTGTGTTTTTAGTAGAGACGGGGTTTTGCCATGTTGGCCAGACTAGTCTTGAACTCCTGACCTCAAGTGACACACCCACCTCAGCCTCCCAAAGTGCTGGAATTACAGGCATGACCCACTGTGCCTGGCCTGATAAGTGAAATAATTTGATCTCAGCCAGAAGAGCCTGGGGAACTGGTGAAATCGGTCGGATTTAGGGGAGATAACTCCCCCTGGTGAGAAGGCCTTGGTCTAGACACAACCATTTGGTCCTTTCTGGCCGTAGGTCCGTGGTCTCGAACTTTACTATGGTTAAGATGCACCCAAAAGAGCTTGTAAAATGCCAAGTCCCCGGCCCTGTGCACAGAGAGTCTGATTCAGTAGAATCTGAGGGGGGCCCGGGAATCCGCAGTTTAACAACATCCTGTTCCACGAGGTTGGGAATAGATGTTACTGCTACAGTCACTCTGTCGGCTGTATGTCTGTACTGCGTCAAGAGCGGGGAATACTGAGCCAAATAAAACAGATCCAGCCCCGAACACCAGGGAGCCCACCGGGGAACAGGGGTGCGCTCCCTCCAGGTGGACGGGGGAGCTGGAGTTCTGGAGTGAGCAGGTTACCATTGCTGGAATCAAAAGTTTAGAAGAGACCTACTTACTAGATCTGTGAGTGTTGTCACAAGACAGTATCTCTGAGGCTTGAGCCTTGGGACATGGAGGCCTCTGGAGGGAGGGACACAGACTGTTCTGGAAGCAAAGGCTGTTCTGACTGACCCTGCCTGGGCTGGGCACTGGTGGGGACAGGTGAGATGTGGCATGGGGTAGATGATATGGAAGGTGGCATTCCTACTGAGGCAGTTAGTTCAGGGTGCTGCCTGTGGGGTGGGACCTGGGTTTGATCCCAGCTTGTCCTTTCTACCTGTTGTGACCTTGGGCCAGCCTAAGCTTTGTTTCCACCTCTGCAAAGGGATGACAGTTGTGTTGTCCATCTACAGAGGTGAGTTACCGAGGGGCTAATGAAGCTTTAGCTCCTGGGACTGTCATTTACCAAGGCCCTGAGCTTAACCGCCTATTCATAACTTTGCACTATTCTTCTTCAAGTGGGTCCCCAGGATTGTAAAACCTTCAGGCCCCATAAAACCTGGATCTGCCCCATTCACCTAACAGAGTTATTGCAAGTTTTGGTGAAAGAAGACAGGCAAACCCCTAGGCAATCCTGGGTCGCAAACGGAAGCCTCCTTCACTTCTGAGTCTTGGAAGTAGAACGCCTTGACACTCCAGATAAGGGGGACACTTGTCCAGGGAGGGCCAGCTGAGCCCCCACCCCTGTTCTCACTGCCCCGTAGCCCCCATGGCCTCAGGGCTCCAATCTCCCTAGCCCAGACTAGAAGCAGGTTGGAAGGAGAACCCAGGTGGGGATGTGAAGGGCAGAGTCGGGGGAGGCAGCGGAGGTGGGGAGTAAAAGGACTAGATTGAGCCCCTCTGGCTGCCATATGCACGACCTTCTGCAGGGCCAGGCTGGTGAGAAGCCAGCTAGGGGTGAGCGTCCTGAGCAGTGGCCTTGGGGGTGGTGTGGTTTTAATAACGACCTTCAAATGTGTGGGCCCCGGGGAGAGGCAGATTATATGAGACCCAAAGTCGGGGCTTCGAGATGGGGAATACTGGGGGACTGGGCATGTTCCCCTCTATGTAAAGTTTCCCAAGGACAGGACCTCCCTTCGACCGCGCCCCCACAAACTCTCTGCCCAAGCGCCCCATCTCCCAAGTCCTGAAGACCACTGGCAGATGAGGAAGTGGAGGCTCCGAGAGGGCAAGCCGTTGCCTAAGGCCACACAGCAGGGGAGTATAGGATACAAATCCGGATTTGGACCCAGCTGTACCTCGAAATTCCTTCCTGCTCCTAACCCCTCCCTAATACCGCCCTCTGCTGTGGGCGCAGTGGCACGTAGTGGGCTCGCAGTAAGGATGGGGATGAAGG
Source organism: Homo sapiens (assembly GCF_000001405.40). Classification (NCBI taxonomy): domain Eukaryota; kingdom Metazoa; phylum Chordata; class Mammalia; order Primates; family Hominidae; genus Homo; species Homo sapiens. The sequence goes on from NC_000009.12 coordinate 129,482,082, forward strand.
AAGGAAGGAAGGGAAGAAATGCCTAGGCCAGGCTCTTCCCACGCCCCGGTCTCCGCGGCCCGCTCTTTCCAGCTCCGTCGCCCGCCCCCCTCTCCCCTCCCAGTCTAATTGGGAGGTCTCCGAGCCGTCTCTCCCGCTTCCTCAGGTTCCCCCGCGCTCCTCCCGGACCCCACCCCGAGGCAGCTTTCTCACAACGGGATCCTCCCCGGGCGGCGTGGGGACGCCTCCCGACCCCGAGGCCCGGCAGGAGAGCCGCCACCGCGGCCGGGTGGTCTCCGCGTCGCATGGCCCCTGCCGGCCCCCCCGCCCATGGCAGCTACATAATTAATTCGCCCATAAATAACTGATTGGGGTCGCGCACGCGCCCGGTGTCCCTAGGACTGGGATCCCCGTTAGGGTTAGGGGCGTGGGGGGTCGGGGGCCGCGGGGCTGTGCGTGCCGGGGCGCACGGTTTTGCTCCGCGGGCCTCTCTCGCTCCCTCGCGCCGGCTTTTTCCCTTTTTCTCTTTCCTTTTTTTCTTTCCTGGAGCGGAGCCCGGCGCCAGGAGTCTGGAACCAGCTTGACAGGCTTTTGAGTTATGGAGGGGGGAGGGGGAGAGGCGGGCGGCGGGGAGGGGGAAGGGAGGGCGCCGCCGCGGCGTGGGGGCGGGGCCGGCTCCCCGGTTTGGAGACTCGCCCCGACTTTGGGGTCCGCCAGCGGCGGCCGGGCGGAGGGCGGGGGACCGCAATCGTGGGGGGAGTCACCCCGCGGGGCCCGGCGGGCGAAACGGGCCGGGCTTCAGAGCCGCAGTAAATGAGGCCCGGGGCGGGCGGGGGTGGACACGGCCTCGGGGCCACGGCCTCCCCCGCCGAGCAAGGCATTCCTTTCCGCTGAACTGGGCGCCCGGGCCCGCGCCGCGCCCTGCACGCCTCGCGCCCGGCGATCGGGCCCAGGGCGGGGGAGCAGGGAGGCGGCCCCAGCCGGTCGCCGGCGCCCCCAGGCGCTGCTTCCCAGGAGCTCGGCTCCCCGGGATGGAAGGGACTGATACCCAGTTAATGGGCGTGGAGCCTGAGCCCCTGAGGGTCGTCGCTAACGGGGGTCGCTCAGCAGGGCCGGCCTCCGCTGCCTGCCCGGGGTGTCTAATCACCTCTCCGATCCTTTGCCCGGATCTGAGCTTCGTCATTCACGCCCCTCCTCCCTGGCGACTTTGGGCCTGGTGACAGTCCCCCGACCCTCGCAGAGCCAGGGGCACAGTAGGCGCCTTAGCCACTGGCAGAATTTCACCGGCGCTCTGCCCGACGCCCCCAGCCCCAGGGCCGGGCGTGGGTGGAAGTGTCTGGAAGGGTGGGTTCACCAGGGCTGGGCACGTCAGCGGCCCCGTACAGAGAATCCGGTGCCTGGGGTCTCTGGAGGGGGTACTCAGAGTATCCGAGGAGGAGACTCCTGGATGCTAACAGAGCCCCCAGTTAGGAGCAGTCCGCGAGACAGTTGGTAACAGTGCTGGCCTTGCCCGGGCGCCGGAAGGTTCCGTGAGGCCCAGCAAGTCCTGACTTGGCACAGGGCCCAGCACACGGTAAGCGCTCGGTACTTGGTCACTGTTGCTTGATTTTACCATTTCGGAGGGGCTCATCTACGCCTAGCAAAGCCCCCCTCCCGGTGACCCAAGGGGAGCTCCAGAATGTTGAGCGGCTGAGCGGCCTGGCTCCTCCTCTCGACCCCATCGAGCCAAGTGTCGAAATCATCCCAGACGAAGCTGCTGAGCAGAAATTTCCAGTCTCCCTGGCAAAGCTGGGAAGATTTTGGGTGCGGCTCAGAGACGCAGCTGGGTCGGCTCTGTGGGGCCAGGGCTGGGGAGGGACCCCAAGATGTTCTATGAGACCCAAGCAGCACCCCCAACTTGGGTTGGGGGCGTTGGGGGGTGGAGCCTGGCCTCCTGCTGAGCCCCAGAGCTGATACAGCACAGGTAAAAGCCCATTGTTCTCAGTGGTCCACAGAGGCTCAGGGCAGGAGCAAGATCAGGGTTCGGGTGCTGGCGCCACCCCTCGTTTAGCCCCTACCTGGGATCTGAGGGAGCACCCATCCTTGGAATGCAGGATAATAGGGTTGCTGTGAGGATGGAAGGAGACTGTGCCCATGAACACTTGACACAGCTCCCTGCCCTGGGGAAAGCACCCAGGAAATGCGGGCTGTTTGTCTTAGTGATGTTCCACTTAATAGCACTTGCGGTGGCTCCCTGGCCCCCGAGGAGCCCACCTTGCCAGTTCTTGGCCACAAGAGTACGAGCCCCTCTGTCAGGACGGTGGGTCTCATTGAGGCCATCCTTATCCTGAGCAACCTAAAGAACTCACATGGAACTTAGCAAACAGGCAGACCCTTGCCTTGTTCTCAGGGCTGTGTGATCCCGGGTGAGCAACTCGGCCTCTCTGAACCTGGTTCTCCTCTGCAAAACAGAGATGATGGCCTGGGACCCTCTCCCACTACAGGGAAGTAGCATTGGAGGGGGAAGAGACAGGGGGAGCGTCCCAGCACTGCCCAAAATTGGACAGGTGACTTTGGACAAGTCTGAATGAGACTGAATAAGACAAAACGGAGTAACATTAGAGCTTGCTGGCTACTCTCTGCCCTGGGCCGGTGCTAGATGTTTTACATGCACTGTTAATCACTGTTACTCGTGGAGGGAGATTTTATTATTAACTTTCTTTTCCAGATGAGGTAACTGAGGCTCAGAGAGGTTGATTCACTTTCTCAAGGACACACAGCTAGGAAATGATAGAGTCACGATTCAAACCATCATTTGTTGGCTTAGAGCCTGAATCCCTAAAGAAAAAGCAGGCAGGGTGTAGTGGCTCACGCCTGTAATCCCAGCAGTTTGGTAGGCTGAGGCTGGAGGCTCACTTGAGCCCAGGAGTTTGAGACCAGCCTGGACAACGTGGCGAAACCTCATCTCTACAAAAATACAAAAATTAGCCCGGCCTGATGGAGCGCGCCTGTAGTCCCAGCTACTCAGGAGGCTGAGGTGGGAGGATCACCTGAGCCTGGGGAGGTCAAGGCTGCAGTGAACCGTGATCGCGCCCCTGCACTCCATACAGCCTGGACAGCAGGATGAGACTCCGCCAAAAAAAAAAAAAAAAAAAAAAAAAGAGAGAGAGAGAGAGGAAGAAAAAAGGAAAGAAAGAAAGAAGGAAAAAGAGAAAAAGCAACTTTAATTTTTTTAATATAACATTTTAAAGTCCCTACTGTGTGCAGGGCATCAAGGTAGGTGGCAACAAAAACGAAGATGCCAGGACCCCAGCCTTTGAGATGCTCATAGCCGAGTGGGGACACAAGACTTGGAGGAGGCGCTCCTGAGAGTTAGATGTGAAAAGCAGCACCCTAGAGGCGTCCACCAGAGCTGAGGGCACCGGGAGAGAGAGAGGTGGGTTTTGGTGTAGGGGATGGGGAGGGAGGAGAGCTGGTGGGGGAGGCACAGAGGCCAGGGGACAGCAAAGGCTGCTCTTGAGAAATCTCAGTGGAGGGCACTGGGCCATTCCCAGAGGTTGGCACAGCAAAGCCAAAGGCATGGTGGCAGGAGAGGAGGCCATGCTCTGAGGAAGGGCCCGCAGCCCAGCGTCAGGGAGGGTAATGGGGAGGGGAAGGAGAATGGTGTTGCCGAGCCTGGGCCAGCCTGCAAAGGCTGGAGGAAGCTACCTTGCTTTATAAAAATGGGGAGCCATCGAAGGCCTTTGAGCAGAGGTGGATGTCATCCTATGGAAGTTTTACAAAGACAGCTCCATAAGCAGAGAAATGTCCCAGAAATGTACACGAAACCTAGAATGACAGCGTCAGGATGTACTGCATGAACTTTTACAATGCTTCCTTTAAAAAAAATGGTTTTGTGTTTTTTTGTCTGTGTGTGTGTGTGTGTGTGTGTGTGTGTGTGTGTGTGTGTTTGCCCTGTATAGGTATGACTATTCTAACAAAAGAAGGGAGGACATTTTCAAAAGACAGAGGGGAGCCAGGAGGCAAAGAGACACAGGCAGCAGGAGGGAGCCCAGAGCTGGCGGGCCAGGCTGCCCCTCTCACTGCAGGTCTGGCTGTTTGGGTGATGGGCCATCTGGCAGGTCTACAAGGAGCCCAGCAGGCAGGGCGGTGCGGCCTCTGAGATCCCTCTCTTACCTAGAGCCTGAGCCTTGCCTGACCCATGACAGTTTCAGGCTGTTCCCCCTCCTCCCAGCAGTCTGTCCCTACCAAACTCCACTCCATGGGTTAGACTGTGGGACACAGACTGATCCTTAAATCCCATTCTGGGCCAAATGGGGACAGTGATTCCAGAGGCCTCCCTACGTCCGTGAGGACACATCACCCTATGACAGAGCCCCAGCCACCGTGCTAGGTGCTGTACAGGCAGTGTCTCTTGATCTGAATATAAACCTGAAAAAAAAATGTTATTTTCCCAGTTTTGCAGATCAGGAAATAGAGGCCCTCACAGTGAGGAGGGAGGGGGAATTCTCACCCAGGATGGACCCACCCAAGAGTGCGGATGGACCACTAGGCTGTACTGCCTGGGGCCCTTTAGGAGAAAATCCGTCCTCCCAGTCTCCCCAGGTCTCTTGCCTTTGGCCTGCTCTGGTTCCTGTTATAGAATGGGGGCTGCAGGTAGGCACCCCTCTGAGCTAGTCCCCTGTCCTTGGGCCGCCTCTCCTAGGCAAACTCCTATTTAGCCCGTGAAGCCCAATTAAATTATCGCTTCCTCTCCCGAGTCCTCTGGCTGCACCCCTGTCCTCTTCTCTGTGTTCCTGCGGAGCTCCCAAAGGGAGGGGAGAAAAGGCTCAGGGGACATGGCTGGGACACAACTTCCAGCCCAGCCCTGCGTGGGCAGAGAGGAGGGAACAGTCCATCTATTCTAGGCTGGACGTGAGAGGGAGGACGGCCTTGGCTCAACCCGGGGTAAGGCAGGCTGACCAGCCCCTGGGGTTATTTGGCTTGGCAGTCAGAGGAGGACAAGTTGCAGGAGAGAGAATCAAAGATTCAGGCTGCCTAGTGTGGCCACCGCCCCATCAGCCCTAAGATGATCGCAGCCCCTTTCTGGCCACTGAATATGTGGGCACCCCAGACCTCTGTGGCAAGGCTGGGTGAGAGCTGTCTTTTGTGCACAGGTGCCCCTAGTCCCCCACCACTAGTGAGCATTCACACACAGAGGTGAACAGCCCCCTTGTGGGCCTGGAGGCTCCTAGGCCAGGTAGAGATGACCAGAGTAGGGAGCAGAGAATCCCCAGTGCCTAGCACAGTGACTGGCACTGAAGCATTTGTTGGATGAATGAATGAGTGATTGCCTGACCTCAGGCCCAGGGAGGAAGGCCTGGTGTGCAGGGCAGCTCCTGGGAGGCTTCAGGGATGGGGAGAGGACAGAGAGGGACTGGGAGAGCCACAGGAAGGCAGCCTCATCTGATGACTGACTTGGGAGGGAAACAGAATGTGGGCTGTGTTTCTGGGGAAACACCCCCCTGATGCCCGGGCACCCAGGAACTTCCAGGTACCCCCGGATCACCCCAGTGAGGACACTCCACAATTCCCCAGGAGGCATCACAGTGGGGCCGTTAAACCCAGGGACTTGGGATTCAGACACTTCTGGGCTCCAGTCCACCCCTCACTGGCTGGACCAGTTGCCTCAGTTTCCCTATGTGCACGGGGGACGGATAGGACCACGTGCTGCACAGGTTTGCTGGGAAGGCCATATGAGAGGTGCCGGCTCAGCACATCCTGTCTGCCATTGTTACAAACAACAGCACGGGAGAGTCGGGGAGCAGAGTCGGCCAAACGCAAGACCCTGGGCTCTGGCTTCCCTGTGCTACTGACCTATGGGGTGGCTTTGGACAAGGCCCAGCCTTTCTCCAGGCCTTAGTTTCCCCATTTGTACAGTCAGGCCCTGCTAACTTGGACAGACTTTGGCCCTTCTCCAAGCCCCACAGAGACATCAGAGACATGTGCACACACGGCCCTGGGATTGCCGACAGACACACAGGCACACATAGGCACGTACACACAGGCATACAGACACAGGCACAGACTCACACTCGGCCCCTCCCCACTCACACTCGCTCACACTCATGCTCACACTCACACCAACCCCCCTCCCCCAAATCTGCTGCGCACCAACGGTTGGTGCGAGCGGGGTTGAGAACGGGAGGAAAAAAGCCCACGACTCAGCCCGGGAAGAGGGGTGCGGTGGGGGAAGGGCGGGCGAGGGAAATGACAGCCCGCGGTCCCCCTCGAGTCCCGGCTCATGAATATTAATACGGCGGTAATTAAAATGCAGGGACGCAGCAGGATGGATGCGGCTGCCTCCGGAGCGCGGGGGAGCGCGGAGTCTTTGCAGGCGGGTGAAGCCCGCTCCTCGCCGGCGAAAAGCGGGGCCGGGCTCCGGGGCCTGGGTCCGGGGCGGGCGGGAGTGGGGACATTTTTCGTGGTCCCGAGCGTCCCGTCCCGGCGTCCCCGCCCCCGCCCCGCGGCCGCCTCTCCACGCCCTGCCCCGGGCCGCCCGCCAGGCCGCCGTTTCCCGGAGCCGGCCCCCTCCCGCCCTCGCGGCCGGCTGATGTCATCTGCACACAACTTTCCGCTTCCCGGCCCGTCTCGGGGCCCTGAGTCATCGCCGCCCCCGGCCCCGACGCTGGCCTGCGGCGTCTGTTTGTGCAGAGCGAGGCCCCGCCGGCCGGGCTTGACGTCAGGCTGGCAGGGCCTGGAACGGCCCCGCATCGCGGCCCCCTGGGGGCAGGACGACACCGCTGGGGGCCGAGGGCAGGGCACGCCTTCGGAATCCGGCTTCGAAGCCGGCCGCCTGACCTGGGGCAAGTGCTTTCAACTCTCTGAACTTCGGTTCCTCATCTGCCAGTTGGCAGACGCTCAGCAAATCTTCCTAGACTCACGGGGCGAATTGTACAGTTGGGTAAATCGAGGCCCAGAGATGGCAAAAGGACCGTCCAAGGTCGTACAGCCACCCGGAATTACAATTCTTTTCTGCCGGGTCACACGCTGTCATCCACGTGTTACCTAAGAGAGCTTTCCAGCCTGTGCTAAGAAAACTGCCCCACATCATCTGCAGTAGGACGGGGGAGTTGGAGCCCTGGTCAGGCCACTCTGCTACTGACCACAGTTTTCTCATCTCTAAAAAGGCGCAGTAACAATATAATTACCGTATGCAGTCCCCCAGGATACAGGGTCAAAGGAGAGCACAACCATCGCAGTTGGAAGCCCATGGGGCAGGTGAGTCACTGTTGTCACTACTGGGGTCAATTTTTTTTTTTTTCTTTTTGAGACGGAGTCTCGCTCTTTCCCCAGGCTGGAGTGCAGTGGCGCGATCTCGGCTCACTGCAAGCTCCGCCTACCGGGTTCACGCCATTCTCCTGCCTCAGCCTCCCGAGTAGCTGGGACTACAGGCACCCGCAGCCACACCCGGCTAATTATTTGTATTTTTAGTAGGGACGGGGTTTCACCGTGTTAGCCAGAATGGTCTCATCTCCTGACCTCATGATCCACCCGTCTCGGCCTCCCAAAGTGCTGGGATTACAGGCGTGAGCCACCGCGCCTGGGGTCACTATTGAAGTTGGCTAATGTCACTATTGAAGTCAAGTGAGAGAGAGGGCCCTCTTGGAGTCAGACCACCTAGGTTCAAATTCTGGATCCTGCTTCCGGCTCCTTTCCTCTGTCCCCCTTCTCCCCTCGGTGCCCTCCAACCAGTGGGCCTGGGAAAGCGTGTTCATGCTGGAAATGCCTGCCCAGCCCTTGCCCAGTCACACAGAGCAAGTGCCCCAGAAATGTCCTGAACCTCAGTTTACTGAGGGGAAACTAAGAACCTTCTGGCTACAGCTCTTGGGCTGAGCAGGGATTAGGCTCGGGTCTGCGATCCCAGGCCCTGCGGCCTCCCAGAGGCTTGGTTGAGAGCTCTGGCTCTCACTCCCCCACCTCCACCCAGCACCTGCCCCGGTCCAGGCTCACCCCCTACCCCTCCACCTGGTCAGTGGTGGCTCGGCCTCCTCTCAGCCCCTCCACCCCTCCTGGCTGTACACACCCTCAAGCTAACGGAATTCAAACTGGTGGAGGAAGGCCTGCCCTGTCCCTCCCAGCCCCTGCCTCTCCCTCCCTACTCCCAGCCTCACTGGACCACTTTCAAGTCCTCCAGTGCTCCAGGCTCCATCTTCATGCCTCCAGGCCTTTGCACGTGCTGGTCCCTCTCCCATTCTCCTGGTTAACTCCTCCACCTCCATCCGAGCTAGGATCTTCCCCTGGAGAGTGTCCCGGTTAGCACTACCCCACAACACACACACACACCGACATACACGCCCCACATCACAGGGACCACATCCCACACAGGCACAGACACACTGCATGACGCAGATCACAGGCACAAAGGTGCATGCGTGCACACATACACACTCCCACTCCATATGCCAATACACTTATCCCCCTACTCCCACATCACACAGACGGTTCCACACACTCCTCACACGCTCTGGCCACACAGTAAACACACACAGACCACAGAGCTCATGTCTGGGCTGCCCTGGTGCCCTCCTCTGGGCTCGTGCCCCCAGCCTCAGCATTTACCCCCCATTGAGGGCAGGGACCCACCCAGCTCCGTTTTCCTCCATTTCAGCTCAGGGCCCTGCACCAAGTCTCTCCCAGTTGTTGCTTGGACCCGGACTCCTCCCACAGTCACCACTGTCACAGTCCCACCTCCTTCAAGGTCTCAAACACCCCTCCCCTGTTTCTGGCAGGAGCCGTCCTCACTCCCTCTATTGCCTCTCCAGACCCAGACTTCACCCTCAGGTCACCCTCACCTGGACTTTGGGGTGCCCCACACCCCGCCCCAGGCCCTGGCCTCTGGAATATTTGGAAACTTGAACTGGGCCAGAGGCTTAAGCTCACATCTGTCTGGAGCCTCAACTTTCTCCTCTGTAAAATGGGCTAACACTGAAAGAACCTTGCAGAATCTCAGCAACGTCACAGAGGACATTGTTAGCACAGCCAGCGGGCTCCTGCTGGGCTGAGTTTGTGGGTAATCCAAGCCTCGGCAGGTACAGTTCCTCCCTCAGGTGAGTGTTCCACCCCCAAGTGAGCATCCTGCTGCCCTTCCTGCAAATCAGGCCCCTGGGACACTTAGTGCTGAGCCTTGGGGGTGGGGTATTTGATCGGGGTTCCTGACAAGTGGCTGGGTTGTCTGTTCCCTCTCTTCAGAGGGAGCCTCCATGGGTGGCCTGGGCTCACATCGGCTCCTCCAGTCCAGCAGAGCACCCCCCCCTGGCTGCCCAGCTTGTTGAGAGAACTTGCTGAGCAGGACAGTGAGCCCTTCCTGGTGGGGAACCGGAATCAGGAGAAGACAGAGGGGAGGTGGCAGGCCCCAGGATGGAGGGAGGGCAGCTGAGCTGCCTGCCCTCATCCTCCCTGCCCTTCAGGTATTAGGGCCCTTCCCATGGCCCAGTAGGAACCCAGCGGCTCACCTGAGCCCGGACTAAGGATGGGGCATTTTACCCCATATGCAGAGATGAGAAACAGAGGCCCAAGGAGGGAAGGGACTGAACACAGGGTGGAACAGCCCTGGGCTGCGCCTGTGTTTCCATCCGCCTTCCTCCTGCCTGTGCTCGAGTCACGTGCTGGTGTGCAGGGAACAGGAAGACAGCCGCTGCCCTCACAGGCTCAGGGTCTAGCAGAGTCCACAGTGACCACAGGCGAATAAACAAAGGCAGTGAGACAGAGGTGGGCAAGGAGAGGTGCTGGGATGGGGAGCAAGGGGGTACCCATGCTCATGGGTATGAACACATGGACCCATATACCCATATGTATGTCCCAGAGTTTCTTCCAGAACTTTTTTTTTTTTCCCAAGACAGAGTCTTGTTCTGTAGCCCAAGCTGGAGTGCAGTGGCACGATCTCGGCTCATTGCAACCTCCACCTCCTGGGTTCAAGCGATTCTCCTGCCTAAGCCTCCCGAGTAGCTGGGATTACAGACGCCCTCCACCATGCCCGGCTAATTTTTGTATTTTTAGTAGAGACAGGGTTTCACCATGTTGGCCAGGCTGGTGTCGAACTCCCGACCTCAGGTGATCCGCCCGCCTCGGCCTCCCACAGTGCTGAGATTACAGGGGTGAGCCACTGCACCTGACCCCTTCTAGAACTTCTCTATCAGTTCACTCTCACATCTACACTGAACACCTTTGCCCAAGGCTGGGGGCAGAGTGGTTAAAAGCCAAATCTAGACTCCTTCTTGCTGTGTGACCTCGGCCAGGTCACTGTCCCCCACTGTGCCTCCCCATCATGTCCTCCTCTAAAAAATGGATGCATAGCCCTCAGGGCTGTTGTTGAAGGGTCCCTGAGATGACTGTGGAGCTCTTGGTGTGGGGACCCAAGCTCAACCCTGCCCCAAGTACTGTCCCCCAGCCCAACTGCAGTACTTGGCCCCCCTCAACTTCTAGCCTCCAGTCTCTGCCTGAACCCCAGCACCTGGCAGTTCAGCTCAGTTCATTTACGTAGCCCAGCCTGGGTTCCTGTGAGATGAAGGCCGGTCACAATGACAAGACTGCTGGGGACGATTGGGTCCCTGGCCAGGTACTCAGGTCTACAGCCTAACACACGGTGAGCTGTTTCCCAGCCACCCAACTCTTGGGCATCCCTGCAGGACCTCCACGGGGAGTCCTTGGCTCCCTGAAGGATGGATCATCAGAGGAGCTGCCAGGCTGCCAGAGCTGGAAGGGACCTCAGGGATCACCACTGTGGCCAACCCTCCACTGCACACACAGAAAAGCTGCAGCTCAGAGCTGGGCGTGGTGGCTCACACCTGTAATCCCAGCACTTTGGGAGGCCAAGGCAGGCAGATCACCTGAGGTTGGGAGTTCGAGACCAGCCTGGCCAACATGGAGAAACCTTGTCTCTGCTAAAAAATACAAAATTAGCCAGGCGTGTTGGTGCATGCCTGTAATCCCAGCTACTCAGGAGGCTGAGGCAGGAGAATCGCTTGAACCCGGGAGGCAGAGGTTGCGGTGAGCCGAGATCACACTATTGCACTCCAGCCTTGGCAAAAAGAGCGAAACTCCATCCCAAAAAAAAAAAAAAAACAAAGCTGCAGCTCAGAGAAGTGGAGACACTGGCCCAGGGACCCACAGCAAGGCCTTGGCCCAGCTGGGGCTAGATGGCAAGAGGTGGTTCAGCATTGGAGCTCCATTGCCTGGGTTCAAATCGGGGTCTGTCACTGGCCAGCTGTGAGCCTAAGTCTCTGAACTTCTCTGTGCCTTAGTGTCCTCATTCTGTAGAGTGGAGATAGTAATCATTCCTATTTCAAAGATTGTTGTGAGAAATAAGTGAACTAATACATGTCATATGCTTAAAAGCAGGGCCCAGGACACAGTGAGCATACAATAGACATTAGCTGCTGTGGTGTCTTGATTTCAAGCCCAGTGCAGATGCATCTGACTTACGAAACTTCAGTGACACCTGCTCTGTGCCAGACACTGAAGATGGAGCAGTGAACAGCACTGACCCAGCCTGTCCTCCTGTTGCCTGCAGGCCAGGTAGGAAACACACTGGAAACTGATAACTCCATGTGCTCATCGCCATGTGGTTTCTGCTGGTCTGGGGAGCCGGGGACAAAGAGCAGAAAACATGGTTCCAGGTAGAGGGGGGTAGCACGCATGAAGACCGTGAGGCAGAAAGCACACAAAACTGAATTGGAGAGAAGGCCCAAATGGCTAGAGCTCAGAACCCGAGGAGAGGAGAGGGGAGGAAAGGAGAGACCTCCAGAGCCTGGGGATGATATGTAGAGAGCCCGGGAACCAGCGCTGGTTAGAGAGGGAAGGAAGCCTGCAGCCTTGCATTTTAGAAAGATCTGGCTGGCTGAGCTGAGGAGGGCAGATAGGAGGTTAGGGTGGCGGAGGGGGGTTGGGGGGCAGGCAGAGAGTAGGGGCTAGGAGCCCAGGGAGCAGGCGGGAGATGGAGCAGCCGGATAAGGGGGATAAGGGTGGGGGGCAGTGGGGACAGGGTAAAGGGAGCTGACTCATTGAGGTGGGAAGCTCCCCAGGGTCGGCATTTGGTTGGGGCATGGGGAATCTGGCTGGGGCGGGGGTACATGGCTGGAGGTGATGGTTAGGAGCAAGCTCAAGGATGGAGGGAGACCCCGTGTCCAGCTCTGGCCACCCCAGCTGCCGCAGCACCCTGGGGCCATCAGCCCACAGACTTGAGCCCTGTGCTTTAGAGGGCAGCGCTCCTGGACCAGGGAGACATTTCCAGCTGGAGCCATGGGCCCCTTGACCATGATCTGGCACCTGGGGCCCTGGAGTTCCCTGTTCAATGGCCCCAGCCTGCGTCCTGTGTGCATCCTCCTGAGGGTTGTCTGAGCCACCTGTTTGGGCACCCCTAAACCCCAGGAGTGACCAGGAGGTGGCTGTTGGCAGGGGGTGTGGACAGAACATGTGCTTACAGCCTGGAGTGCCTACACCTGAGCATGCACAGCCCCTCAGGGAAAAGGACAGAACCTGGGGCAAAAAGAAAAGAAGAGGCGAGTGTGAAGCCGGAGGCCAGAGGCTGAGAGGCGGGCTCCCCAACCCGCTACAGCTCCTCCTGTGGTCTCCAAGGAGCCTGAGAATTCTAAACACAAACCCAGCCTTCCAGGTGTGTTTGTCCTTATGAAGGTGTATTTGTCAAGGAAGGAGGACAGAACTTTTTTTTTTTTTTTGAGACGGAGTTTCGCTTTTGTTGCCCAGGCTGGAGTGCAGTGGTGTGATCTCGGCTCACTGCAACCTCCACCTCCCTGGTTCAAGCAATTCTCCTGCCTCAGCCTCCCGAGTAGCTGGGATTACAGGCATGCGCCACCATGCCTGGCTAATTTTATATTTTTAGTAGAGACGTGGTTTCTCCATGTTGGTCAGGTTAGTCTCCAACTCCCGACCTCAGGTGATCTGCCCGCCTCAGCCTCCCAAAGTGCTGGGATTACAGGCGTGAGCCACCGCACCCGGCAACAGAACATATTTTATTTAGCAGTTTGTTAGCTTGATTTATAACTTGTAAATACCTAGACATGAGGTATGTGGGCCTCGGCTTGCACTCCTGCCCCAGGCTGACCCCTGGTGCTGCCCAGAGAGAAGCCGCCTCCCTGGGCTGACCCCTAACCAGCAGGCTGACCCCCAGGGGATCCTGCAGGCTTCTTCAGAGCTTCCTACTCCATGCACCCTCGCTGGGCTCAGTCCAGCCCCCTGCCTTTGTCTGAGGGTCCTCCTGCCTCCCTGTTTGAGGATTCAACTCCAGCCCCTCCCTGCCCTCACCCTTCTTCCTGTCCCTTGTCCATGGAGATCCTGGGCTCTGGTTTTATTTGGCCACAGTGGCATCTGTCACGAGCTGACCAGCTGGGTATGAGTCCTGTCCCTCCTTCCGGAGAGACGGAGAGCTCCTAGAAGCAGCGCCTCCCAGCAGAAGCAGAATCTTGCCCTGGGGAGGAGTACAGCTCAGAACCCGCAGACTCGGGGTCAAATCCCAGCTCTGTGACTTTCTTGATGCGTGACCTTGGGAGGCAGCTTTGCTGCCCTGAGCCCTGTTTCCTCCCCGGAAAACCCATAATAATAACTGTACCTCTTCCAGTGAGGAGACAAGGTGGAATAGAACGCAGAGCCCACGTGTGCCTGGCACTTGGCAAGTACACCGGGAAGAAGGAATTGGGAAGGGCAGGAGTTACATCATTCACCTGTTTACAGCTGAGCAAACTAGCGGAGGCTCGGCGAGGTGAAGCCAGTCCCCCAAGGTCACACAGCCGGCCGGCCGGCCGCAGGACAGGGGCCGAAGACGTAGTTGTCTGACCTGTGCTCTAACCACTGTGCTCTCTGGCCTCAAGCCGGCTCCCACACTACCCTTCCCTGTTCTCCGTGGCCCTCCAGCGCCTGAAAGCCGCTTGGGGGCCGCGGAGGCAGGTGGCATGGCCAGGGCAGAGTCCGCGGGGCGGAAAGGGTTAACGGGCTCCGCCGCATTGGGCTGTCCTTCAAGGGGGGAGCCAGCCAATGAGCGCGCGCCGCGATGAGGTAATGCCGGGACCACGCGGAGTGGGCGGGGCTGACGGGGACCCCGCAGAGCTCAGCGCTTCTTCTCTCCCCACCTACCCCTCACCTTTGACCTTGATGTACACCCTCCCCTCCCCCAACCTTACCCCTGCAGAGGCGCCCGAACTGAAAGTCGGCTGCAGGGCCGCGGGCCTCCCTTAGTCTGGGACAGGAACTGAGAGACGTCCCGGCCTCAGTCACACCCTCTGGGCCTCAGTTTCCCTTTCTGCAAGAAGCAGAGTGGGTGATCGCTAAAGACCCTACCAGCTGTGGACGTCCTTGGATCCCAGGACAGTTTTCAGCCCTTCCCTGCCCTTGGCCCGAACTTTAACGGTCCCAGCCCCGGCTTCCCCTCAGGCGGTGCCCAGTGCCAGGACCTAGGAGTCCCTCGGGCCACGGGGAGAGAGCCTCACCGGCCCAGCCACGCCCTCCATGTGACCCCGACCCATCCCTTGGGTGTCGCACCTGGCGCGCCCACCGAGGCCACTAAGCTCTGCTAGCTGCACCAGCAGCAGGACCTGCCGGCGTGGCGGTCAGAAGTCAACATTCATCCCACCGCCAGTAAAAATCGAGGGCCTACCGCCTGCCGCTCAGGGCCTCGTCCTGAGCCGTGTCCCGGGGCCGCCCGCGCCCGCCACCCCTCCCCCCGGGCCTGCAGGGAGCCGGTCCGCCCCTTTCGCGCAGTCCGGGCACGAAGTGGTTAACGCCTTTCCAGCCGAGCTGGCACCGCGCGGCCGGGCTTATTAGTCAGCTCGCGGGGAGGCGGCGAGGGGAGGGGAGGGGCTCTAGTGGAGAACCGCAGAAAGCTATTCTCAGGGGCTCCCGAGTGTGGGGAGGGCGGCTCAGCAGGAGCTGCTGCTTCCCAGAAAGTTGATTATTTTTAACCCAGGAAGAAGAAAGGAAGGAGGCGAGGGAGAAGGACTCAGAGAAAAGAGGAGAGGAAAAGAGAGGAGAGGAGAGGAAAGAAGTGAGGGCGGGGGAGGTCCGGGAAGGGGAATGGGGAGAGGGGAGGGAACGGGAAAGAGAGCAGGAGAGGAGGGGAGAAGGAGGGGAGGCAGCAGGGTGATGGAGGGAGAGGGAAAGGCAGAGCCCAGTTGGAGCTGGAGAAGCCAGCTGGCAGGGCCTGGGGAGGAGGAATGGATGCGGAGCGGGCACTGCCACCTCTCCCGTACCCCTGGGGCTCTGTGGAGCTCCATCCTGGCCTCCTGGTGCCCCAGCTGAGAGCAGCCCCCCAGCATCATCAACCTAGGCCCGGGCGGGGGCGGGGAGGGGGGCGGTGGGGCGGGGCGCTGGGCTTGGAGGAGTGGAAGGCACAAGGCAGCCGCAGCCCTGTTCTGGGGGCTCTCCAGCCAATATGTCCTTGCCCTTTGGTGGCCACTGGGACACAGGGCTTGGGAGCCCTAGGGGAGGGGCAAGGAGGCCTCCCCTGATACTCCAGGGTCTCTCCAGGGAGGGCTTCCTGGAGGAGAGGGTGGGAGGGACTGGGGCTCCCTTTTTCCTGCCTCTTGGTGGAGCCAGGCTGAAAACCAAACCCAGAGAGGGCCCCAGGAGGGTGCTGGGGACACAGTGACAAACAAGACAGCCACAGCCAGGCCCACACAGGGCAGTCCTACAGCAGAGACGGTAGCTGCACAAATCATGATGAATAAGGCATTAAAGAATGACAAGGGGGTAGCGGGCAGGGAGCACTGGTCCCCTGGGCCTGGCCTCCGCAGAGGTCGCAGAAGACCTCCCTGAAGAGGGTGCCTGAGGACCAGGGTGGCTGACGAGGGGAGGAGAGACTGGTGGAGGCAAGAGGGACAGGGGTGGTCTGGATGGGGACCCCCAGCCACAGACCTAAGAGCTTGAGAGGGGATCACTATGGCCAGTGGCAGGGAGGGGGTCATTTGGCCTGAGACCAGCCCTTGTCTTGTGGTGGCTGGAAGCTTAGGAAAGGTTTTATAGAGAAAAGAGACTAGATTGCCAAAGCTTACTCAGAATGGTAGGGACAAGAGTGGACACAGAAGCCGGTTGGGAGTGTGGCACTGAGATCCAGGGGAGATGGTGGCAGCTGGCTGAGACAGTGTGGGAGGTACAGGGGACAGGGCATGGTGTGAGGGTGAAGGAGGCGAAGGAGGGGCTGGGGAGGCTCCTTGGGCCCTGGCATGTGCAGTGGGTGGACACTGGTGCTGTCCCCGAGGCAGAGGACAGCATGGGGGAGCAGGTTCATGGGAGGCCAGGCATTTGTTTTGAGACATGGTGGGGGCAGCCAGGAACGGTGTGCCAGGGGGAGGAACAGCTTGAGCAAAGGTGCAGAGAGGAGACAGGCAAAGAGAACCACATGTGACATGGTGGGACATGCCGGAATCTTCCAGAGAGGTGGGCCACATGTGACATGGTGGGACATGCCGGAATCTTCCAGAGAGGTGGGCCTCTGATGCAAGCAGACGGGTCTGCCCTGGATCTGCAGGCAGTGGACAGCTATGGGCATGTGGGAGCGGGAGAGGGGAAGGGAGCTTCCAGCTCTAGACACAGTGAGGGTGCCCAGCAGCCAGGGACCCAGGCTGGTGGTGGGGGAGTGTCACTGGGGCAGGTGTCAGGGCCTTAGCTCTGGGACAGCATGTGTGTGTGTTAGAATGAGTGTAAAAGTATGAGAGGGAGTGCGAGAGTGTGTGTGTATGAGTGTGTATATGAATGTGAGTGTGTGAGTATTCGTGTGTGTGTATATGAGTGTGTGAGTGTATATGTGTGAGTGTGAGTGTATATGTGTGTGAGTGTGAATGTGTGTGAGAGTGTATATGTGAGTGTGCGTGTGTGAGTGAGTGTATAAGTGAGTGTGAGTGTGTGTGAGACTGTCCCTTGCACTAAGTGCCCTGCCCTCCACTTGAGGCACAACCCATGGGACACCTCCAACCTCTCCAGGACCAGGGAATGGCCCAGCCAGGCCAGACTAGGAAATGATGGATGGAGGAGGGCCTGGGCTGCTCCTCTGAAAATCCACCCCCAGCCCTGGTCACTCTGGAACCCTGGAGCAGCATCTGAGCCCCTCCTCAAGGAGCCCAGTGGCTGGAGGGCAGCGTCCAGGGCCACCTGCCTACCTCTTACTCAGGACCTGGTCTGTCCTCTCCCAGGATGGAGCTTGGGGTTCCTGAGCTTGGAGCTGCCTGTAATACCAGGCCCAGTGGCTCAGCCAAGGTCAGGTTCCAGACAGTGGCTGGGGTAGTGGCAGGAGAATGAAGGTCTAGACAATCACAGAGACTCTGGGAGGCCCAGAGAAAGTGGAAGCCAGAGAGGAACCCAAAGTCCCAGAAACTGCAAAGAATGCCAGGGAGAGGAGGAGAGAGAAAAAGGCCACGTAGCAGCCCTGAGCCCGAGAACATGTGCCACATTTTCTCTGTCTGTGGGTCTGTTGAGTTTGGCCCAAATGGCTCTGAGCTGACTCTGCAGCCACAAAAACTTAGGGCCTTGAAGGTCCCATCCAACGCATGAAGGACTCTCCCTGGGATGGAAGCAAAGAGGGAAAAAGGATTACAGGCACATGCCTATAATCCCAGCTACTTGGGAGGCTGAGGCAGGAGAATCACTTTAACCTGGAAGGCAGCGGTTGCGGTGAGCTGAGATCACGCCATTGCACTCAATCCACCACACCCGGCCAATTTTGTATTTTTGGTAGAGACTTGGTTTCTCCATGTTGGTCAGGCTGGTCTCGAACTCCCGACCTTAGGTGATTCGCCTGCCTCAGCCTCCCAAAGTGCTGGGATTACAGGCATGAGCCACCGCACCCAGCCGATTTTTTGTATTTTTATTAGAGACAGGGTTTCGCTGTGTTGTCCAGGCTGGTCTCAAACTCCTGGCATCAGGTGATCCACCCGTCTCAGCCTTCCAAAGTACTGGGATTGCAGGCATGAGCCACCGCGCCTGGCCCAGGCAGTGTTCTTTTCCCTATTTTGCAGATGAGAAGACCAAGGCTGAGAGAAATTTGTAGTCGGCCCAGAGCTATATATACAGCAGGAAGCTGCGGGAATTGCGATTCAAACTTTCAGGCCTGCTGTCTCCCTGGGAATTCTGTTCTCACTGCCTCCATATAAAGAAATACACGTGCAGGAGGCAGCCCAGAGCACCCTCCTCTCCCTCCCAAAAACCCACACAGTGATCCTGGCCAGGCCCCCTGGGCCCAGGAGGAGCCGTGTCCCCATTAGGCATCTCTGAGCTGTGCTTTCACATTGGGGTCCCCCCCACCAGGGCTGGTGGAACACAAAGGGGGGTGGCCAAGGCAGAGAAAGAGCCCGACAGGCCAGGAGCCGGCTTTTCTCCCTGCTTTCTTCCTCCCTTGCTTCTTTGTTAAGCTCCCTTTCAGCTGAACCGGCAGAGCCTGGGTGTTCCGAGCTGACAATAATTGCTGCGTCTAGACAGTGTCTGGTATGAGGCCTCCCTCTCCGCGCCTCACCGGCCTCCCCGAGGCTCCTATTCCCAGCCCCGCTGGCCCCTGCTCTGCGCCCTCTGTTTCCCACACCCCTGCCCCTATCTGGCTGCCCAGGGTGCCCTGTCCTGCCTCCCTGCTGCTCTAGGCCTCCCTCGAGTTTTCAATCCTTGCATCTCTTCCTCCCTCCCCAGCCGCACCCCAGGCGCTGGCCCCATTCCCTCCCACGGCCTGAAATTCAGGGAACAAAGGTGGTTTTGCATCTGGCTGTGGCTGGGAGACCTTCGAAGGAGACTGAGCCAGGCAAACCCTCCCCTCCTGGCTCTTGGCCCCCTAGGAGCCAGAGACTCACATTGCTGGCTTCTGAGCTGAGCTGGGAAGTTCTGGGATTGATGCTTGAGACACCCTTAAGGCTCCTTCCCTCGTCTTCCTATCCGGCCTGGATGGGAACCCAGAGAAATCAACGCAGGAAAGACTTAGGATAGATACAAGGAAGAACTTCCTGGTGACTCTGACCGGCAGACATGGATGGGATGGTTTCAAGAGCTTCAGGGGACAGGAATTCAGTCTTCACAAGGTCTAAGAGTTCCTCCTGCCAGGCTCAGATCTGCAGCTCTGGAAGATTCCCCAGAAGCCAGAGTCTCCTCACTGGTATCAGATGCTCAGGGTGACCCCGAGATAATAACAACCACAGCCAGCATTTGCCCAGCCCTTGCACCAAGTGCTGTGCAAACTCTGCATGCATATCAATTGTTATAATCCTCTCCAGGGCCCTGAGAAACAGAGAAAATGAGCTTATGATTAGTTCCATTTTACAGATGAGGAAACTGAGGCACAGAGGGGTTAAGTAACTTGCCCAAAGTCACCCAGCCAGGAGAGGAGAAGCCAAGATTTGAAGCCACAGAGGTTGGCTCCAGAGCCCCAATAACGACCAATGATAGGAACACGAAATGCTTAAAATCATCTACCCGGGACTGGGATGAGCCCTTGGCGTCTGGTGTTTCCTTGCATCTCACAGGCTGTTAAGATCCAGGGTTATGCCCACTATCTAGATGAAAAGAGAAGAGCTTGGGGCTGCAGGCTGTGACCAGATGGTGACCTAACTCCATGTCAGAAAGGCCGAGCCATCCAGGCTACTGGGCTGCAAGTAAAAGGCTCACTGTGGAGCGGGAGCTCAATACATGTGCGGGACCATTTCCCACTCCTTCCTTCTGGGCTTTCTTGGGCACCTCCTGCCCTGATCAAGCTGGGGGAGACAGAGGCCAATGTGTGGCTCTGTCCTCAGGAGACCATGGCCTAGAGGAGACTGGCAAAGCAGCCAGCTTCAATCTGGAGGAGGAATTGTGATGATGCAAGGGATATGGGACCTCTGGGAGCCAACAGGAGGGACCCTAAATCCAAGAAGGCTTCCTGGAGGAGGTGGAATCAACATGGCTTCCTGACAGATGAGTAAAAGTTAGGCGGGCCAAGAGGGGAGGGAAAAGTGCTCCAGGAAGAGGAAATCTACACATAAGAAGGTCTCAAAGTGGGAGAACAGGGTAATCTAGAAGAACTAGAGAAACTTAAGCAGCTGTGTCAGGTCAAACAGTGGGTGGGAATCACGAGGCTGGAGCCCAGCTGATCAGGAAGGCCGTCGAGTGCCAGGTTGAGAGCTGGGACTTATCCCCAGGCAGGGAGGCCTATTGGGAGACTGCTCTGAGAGTCCAGGCAAGTGGGGCTGTGTTGACTGTGAGGATGTGGAATGGAGTGGGGCTGGAGGACTGGAGAGGCCCTCAAGAGTTGTAGAAAGAGGGTCTCCTCTGATGTGGAGCTGGCCTGCAAGTGTGATGCTGTTCCAGACAGAGAGAACAGCATGGACAAAGGCTTTCTTTTTTTTTTTTTTTTTTTTCAGACGGAGTCTCACTCTGTCACCAGGCTGGAGTACAGTGGTGTGATCTCGGCTCACTGCAACCTCCGCCTCCCAGGTTCAAGCGATTCTCCTGCCTCAGCCTCTCAAGTAGCTGAGATTACAGACGTGTGTCACCATGCCCTGTTAATTTTTGTTTGTTTGTTTTGTTTTTTGTTTTGTTTTGTTTCGTTTTTTGTTTTTTTTTTTTGAGACGGAGTCTTGCTCTGTCGCCCAGGCTGGAGTGCAGTGGCCCCGATCTCGGCTCACCGCAAGCTCCGCCTCGCGGGTTCATGCCATTCTCCGGCCTCAGCCTCCCGAGTAGCTGGGACTACAGGCATCCGCCACCACACCCAGCTAATTTTTTGTATTTTTTTTAGTAGAGACGGGGTTTCACTGTGTTAGCCAGGATGGTCTCGATCCCCTGACCTTGTGATCCACCCAAGGCCTCGGCCTCCCAAAGTGCTGGGATTACAGGCATGAGCCACCGTGCCCGGTCAATTTTTATATTTTTTGTAGAGACAGGGTTTCACCATGTTGGCCAGGCTGGTGTCGAACTCCCGACCTCAGGTGATTGTCGGCCTTGGCCTCCCAAAGTGCTGGGATTACAGGCGTGAGCCACCGCGCCCAGCCGGTGGGCAGCCAGTTGTGTTCCGGGAGGAGGAGGACACCCTGGAAAGACAGTGGGGCCAGACACTGAACTGCCTTTGGAAGCAAGTAGGAGCAACAGCGAAGGTTTGCTGGCTCAGGTAGGAGGATTAATTGGAACGATTAAGCTGGAAGCTCTGTAAGACGGATTAGAGGGGCAAACTTGGAGGCAGGAAGGCTGGGAGGAGACCACTGCTGAGTGATTTTTCTTCCCCCACAGGTTCCCAGTCCCTGATTTCTGGCCACTCCGCCTTTCTGTGAGTCATTTTGTTTTTGTTTTTCAGAAGCAAGGTCTCGCTGTGTTACCCTGGCTGGAGTGCAGTGGCTACTTACAGGCATGATCATAGCATACTGCAGCCTCGAACTCCTGGACTAGAGCAGTTCTCCTGCCTCAGCCTCCAGAGCAGCTGGGACTGCAGACACGCACCACAGAGCCCAGCCTGAGTCATTTTGATTCTGTAACTGGCTTCCTCTCGGCGGGCAGGCTCACACCCTCCACCCCCAGCTGGAGATGGAAGGAGGATGCTCACCGCCCATTCCTCATGCAGGCCATCGATGGAAATGTCAGACAGTGCGAGTCCACGCCTGAACACTTCTGGGGTCCGCTCTGGGACTGACACTGGCAGATCCATCGGTGAGCTCCCGCCTGCCACCTCTGGGCCTGCATTGCGGTGATAGGGCCAAGGGCCTGGGCCTTCAATTCTCCAGACTTGCCAAAATGCTCAGCGCAGGCCTCGTCGGCAACTGCAGACAAGCAGAGGCAGCACCTGGGCTCTGCCTGTGCCTGGCACAGTGAAGCGAGGGTGGGGGCAGGAATGAGGGTCCTCTCCATGCAAGGGGGGAAGATAGAAGAACAAAATTTCACCCTAATGTAGTGTCTTTAGACCGTGCAATGTTGTGCTCCTGTTAGTCTGATATCAGGGGCTTGCAGCCTGGCAAAGGAAAAAAAACAGGCTGAGGCACATGATAGAAGACAGGCAGGGATGCCACAATCATAACCATGGCAAAGACCAGGATCAGAAAGGCCCACCATCTCTGACCCCAAATCCCTGGGCAGATGGTTCCAGAACTCAGAATTTTCCCAGTTGTAGAAAGATGGGGCCAGGTGCAGTGGCTCACGCCTGTAATCCCAGCATTTTGGGAGTACAAGGTGGGCGGATCACCTGAGGTCAGGAGTTCGAGACCAGCCTGGCCAACATGGTGAAACCCTGTCTCTACTAAAAAAAAAAAAAAAAATTAGCCGGGCGTGGCGATGCATGCCTGTAATCCCAGCTACTCGGGAGGCTGAGCCAGGAGAATTGCTTGAACCCGGGAGGCGGAGGTTGCAGTGAGCCAAGATCGCGCCACTACACTCCAGTCCGGGCGACAGAGCAAGAGTCCATTCCCCCACCACCAAAAAAAAAAAAAAAAGAAAGAAAGATGATGTGATACATATCACATATTTCCTAACACCCCCAACCAAACACATTTATGCATATGCATAAAGCAGACGAGGAAAGATTCTAAATAGGCTCTGAATCTCAGTTTTCTCATCTCTACAATGGGGCAGTGATGGCATGCACCTCCCAGGGCTGTTCTGAGAATCTGATGCCTCCCATTGCACTGGTGAGCCTGGCACAGGCACAGGTCCCACCCCAGGCCCTTTGAACTGGCTGTTCCTTTGGCCTGGAACATTCCTCCCCAGATACCTCCTGAGAGGGCTCCCTCACTTCCTTCAAGGCACTGCTCAAATGCTACCTCTTCACAGAGGCTTTCCCTGACCACCCCGTCTCTTTCCTCTTCCTGCATAGCCTCTGTCACCTGACATTTTATGTCATAAATTACTCATTTATTAATTTCCTGCTCTCCCACAGTGGCACCCGAGCTCTGTGAGGGCAAGACTTTGTTCGGTTGTGGGCTATGCCCCCAACCCCTCGGACAGTGCCTGCACAGGTGGACATTTTTGTTGGATGAAGGATTTTCTGTTAAATGTGTCTGGCACACACAGAAAAACAAAGCCCAGCAGGTACGATGGTGATTATTATTGTTACTGGTGGCGCTCTATTATTGTTATTAGTGTCTGTTGAAAAAGACCCTGAGCTATACCAGCCCTTGGTTCTCCAGCCTGTGAAATGGGCATCCTGGGCACTGAGGCACTAGCCTTGGGAAGCTGATAGGGGGTCCCTGCAGGAGAGACAAAGAACACTGCCCACCCCCCCGGGGGAGCCTGCGCCCCTCACCGGAAAGAGAAGCAGGGGGGAGCAGAGGGAGCTTGCAGCCCCACACGCAGGGCTGCCAGAAGGCCATACATAATTCATTGCCAAATGGGGCTGCGGGCGGCTCTCCGCGGCGTGCGCTGGGGGCTCACTCTGCGCCTGGCACTTCGCTGACTGCGCCTCACACGTTGCCTCATTGCATCTTCATGGATTTGCAGGGTGTGACCCTTCCCCCTGTTTTACCCAGGGGGATCCTGAGGCTCAGAGGATGGGGCCACCGTGCTAGTCACACAGCCTCTCTGTGGCCAAGCTGGGCCTCGGGCCAGCAGATTCGGCCCCCAGCGGCCCCCATTCACTGCCTCTCTGCTGAGGGAAAAGACGGGCCTGGGGAGCGGGTGGGAGGCACAAAGGAGACCCCGCTCTGAGACAGGCTGCAGAAGAGGGAGCTGGGTCTCAGCAGGGCTGGGGAAGGCTCTGGCCCCAGCCCTCCGCCCAACCCCCTGCCCTCCTCTCCTGGAGGAGATGCTCCCCAAATTAGCCATCATGAGCGCTGGCTCTGGGGGTTGGGCGTTGGGGAGCAGTTTGCTCAGCTGTAAAATGGGAATAACAGAAGCCGTCCCTGGGACTATGAGATCAAGGTGCTCAAGAAAAGTGGTGTCTGCTGAGGGGAAAAGCCAGTCCCAAAAGGTTGCATACTCTCATTCTGTTTATTTGTTTTTGTTTTTGAGACAGGGTCTCGCCCTGTCACCCAGGCTGGAGTACAGTGGCGCAATATGGGCTCACTGCAACCTCCACCTCCTGGGCTCAAGTGATCCTCCCATCTCAGACCCTCAAGGAGCTGGGGCTACAGGCACGTGCCACCGTGTCCGGCTAATTTTTGTATTTTTTGTAGAGACAGGGTTTCACCATGTTGCCCAGGCTGGTCTCAAACTCCTGAGCTCAGGTGATCCGCCTGCCTTGGCCTGCGATAAAATTGCACAGAAGTAAATACACACACGTGAGGATACGGAAAACCGGGGAAACCTGAGCAAGAGCAGTCAGACCCCGGCTGTGATGGCGCCCAGTAGTTCTGCGAGATGTTACCATTGGGGAAACTGAGTGAAGGCGGGTACCTGGGATCCCTCTGTTTTCTTTTTTGTTGTTGTTGTTATTTTGAGATGAAGTTTCCCTCTTGTTGCCCAGGCTGGGTGATCCACCTGCCTCGGCCTCCCAAAGTGCTGGGATTACACGCGTGAGCCACTGTGCCCAGCCTCTCTGTTTTATTTCTTCTTTTTTTTTTTTTTTTTTTGGAGACGCTCTGTCGCCCAGGCTGGAGTGCAGTGGCACGATATTGGCTCACTGCAAGCTCCGCCTCCTGGGTTCACACCATTCTCCTGCCTCAGCCTCCCGAGTAGCTGGGACTACAGGCGCCCGCCACCTCGCCCGTCTAATTTTTTGTATTTTTAGTAGAGGCGGGGCTTCACCGTGTTAGCCAGGATGGTCTCAATCTCCTGACCTCGTCATCCGCCCGTCTCGGCCTCCCATAGTGCTGGGATTACAGGCATGAGCCACCACGCCCGGCTGTTTTATTTCTTATAACTGTACAGGAATCTACAATGATTGTAACAAAAATTTCAATTAAGGCCACTCTAGGCACATGGCCTGTGGGGTAGCCCTGCTCAACAAGAAGCCGTCAAAAAAATGTTTTTTAATTAAAAAATTTCTTCAATTAAAAAGCGTTATCTTCCTCTGCCCGGAAAGGGTTAAGTGAGTCACTGCAGTTAGCTCCCCTTCCCCCACAACCACCTAGACCAGGCCAGGGACCAGCGGGCAATTGCCTGGCAGCTGGAGTTTTCCTCCACTGTGGACTGTACTTCTTGCGTCACTCTGAATGTCTCCAGTCTTTATTCCAGAATGTTCTGGTCCTCTCCCACTTTTCCAAGGACAGGAATTCCCTAGTGGGGCTCCAGAAGAGGCTCTGGAGGAGAACAAGAAAGGCCCTTGTCATCCATTGGCCTCAGGCTGGGAAATCTCGGTTCCACTCCCAGCCCAGCCTCAATATTAGGTTGTCAGTCTGGAGTCTGAGAGCCATGCCCCCACCCCCTTAGTCCTTCACCTCCAGGAGAGTTGGGGATACTGGAAAGAATGTTGAGTGTCAGAGCCCCTCTCAGTGGCTCACGCCTGAAATCCCAGCCCTTTGGGAGGCTGAGGCAGGTGGATTGCTTGAGGCCAAGAGTTCAAGACCAGCCTGGCCAACGCGACGAAACCCTGACTCTACTAAAAATACAAAAATTAGCTGGGCGTGGTGGCACACACCTGTAATCCCAGCAGCTCGGGAGGCTGAGGCAGGAGAATTGTTTGAACCTGAGAGGTGGAGGTTGCAGTGAGCTGAGATCACAACACTGCACTCAAAAAGTAGTTAATTAATTTAGTTTAATTAAAAAAGAATATTGAGTGTCAGGCAATCTGGGTAGAACCCATTGTGTTTCTACAGGATAGAATCTGCTGTGTTCTCTAGCGGAACTTCCGGATCACCTTCACCGTATGACTCTAGACAATCCCTGTCCACTCTTCAGTTTTAGATGCCCCATTCAAAGAATGAAAGAATTGTCCTAGATGATCCTTTAGGGTCTTCCAGGCTGATGACAAGGGGGACCTGGCCCCTCTGCTGCTGGCCAAAGAGGACTTTACTTCCCATTCCGTGTGGTTGAACAAGAATTGCTGGGCTCCAGTCCTGCCTTTGGCCCTTCCCTACATGTGACCTTGGGCCCTCTTTGCCTTTCAGAATCAATACAGTGAGAGAGTTAACACAAGCTCAGGTTAGTAAGTCATTCAACAAACATTTACTGAGCGCTTATCAAATACTGCATGCTGGAGTGGACACTGGAGAAAAAGGTGAGGAGAAGGCCGGGCGCAGTGGCTCGTGACTGTAATTCCAGCACTTTGAGGGGCAGAGGCAGGTGGATTACCTGAGGTCAGGAGTTTGAGACCAGCCTGGCCAACATGGCAAAACCCCGTCTCTACTAAAAATACAAATATTAGCCAGGCATGGTGGTGCATATCTGTAGTCCCAGCTACTCAGGAGGCTGAGCAGGAGAATCACTTGAACTCAGGAGGTGGAGCGTGCAGTGGGCCGAGATTGCACCTCTGCACTCCAGCCTGGGCAACATAGTGAGACTCTGTCTCAAATAAATAAATAAAGTGAGGAGAAAAAAATACCATCTCTGTCTTCACAGAACTTATAGTTTGAGAGGGGAGAATCCCACAAGTAAATTATAAATCTCAGCTGAGATTATGCAAAGAAGCAAAGGCCGGACGTGGTGGCTCACGCCTGTAATCCCAGCACTTTGGGAGGCCGAGACGGGCGGATCATGAGGTCAGGAGATTGAGACCATCCTGGCTAACACGGTGAAACCCTGTCTCTACTAAAAATACAAAAAAATTAGCTGGGCGTGGTGGCGGGCGTCTGTAGTTCCAGCTACTCGGGAGGCTGAGGCAGGAGGATGGCGTGAACCCAGGAGCACAGGTTGCAGTGAGCCGAGATGGCGCCACTGCACTCCAGCCTGGGCGACAGAGCGAGACTCTGTCTCAAAAAAAAAAAAAAAAAAGGAAGCAAAGTGCCCAGCTGGGATGGTGGTTTCAGAGGCCACAGTGGGAGCTTCCCAGAGAAGGGATGATTGAGCTAAGTCTAAGCAAAAGGGGTGGTCAGGGCAGCAGCTGCTCCAAAACAGGGGCTGGGGGCTTATGTGGAGAGAGAAGACATGGAGAGACCATGCCCAGAAGGAGGCGGCGGCTTCAGTGAACAGTGCAGGGGAGCAGGTCCGAGGAGGCCGCCTACCAGGGGAAGGAGTCTCATCTCCATCCTAGACAAAAAAAGGATCTTTTGAGATGCATTAAGCAGGGGAGTCACAGATTGGATTTGTGTTTTGAGAATCTCCTGCTTACCTAGAGAAGAAGGGCATCTCCTGGGCCCTCACTGTTGCCTTAAATGATTTTTATTGTGTATTACTTAAACATGTGCAAGCATAAAATGAGATATAAACTCCTTGTAGCTCTTATACAAGCATCAGACCAAGACAAATTGACCCATCACGTACAAAATCGATTCAAATCAGATTAATTTTATGTGACATGTTATTATGCCTTTTGTCTGAAACCCTGCCACCACCCACAGTGCAATTATGGCCCAACCACTGTGGTGTTCTGAATTTGTGGGACAGAGAATATTGGCCTTTTAAACACGTGCATGCATGCATTTGCGTGTGCGCACACACACACATCCCAAATGATTTTTTCCCACTATATATGAAGAACTCCTACAAACCAAAAAGAAAAAGGCAGACAATTCAAGAGAAAAATGGGGGAGGGCTTGCATTAAAGTACTTCATAACAAGAGTACTTAGGAGGCCAACAAATACACGAAAAGCTGCTAGCTTCATGACTCATGGGGGTGGCTTGGTCAGTTCAGGATACTGTAACAAAATACCTTAGACTGGGAAATTTATAAACAACGGAATTTATTGCTCACAGTTCTGGAGGCTGGGAAGTCCAAGATCAAGGCAGCAGTAGATCCGGTGCCTGAGCCCGTTCCCTGCTTCAAACATGGCACCTTCTTGCTGTATCCTCACATGGTGGAAGGGGGAAGACAGTTCTCTGGGGCCTCTTTTATAAGGGCAGTTATCCAATTCACAAGGATAGAGCCCTCATGACCTAATCACCTTTCAAAGATCCCCATCTTCTAACACCTTCTAACACCATCACCTTGGTGATTAGGTCTTTTTGTTGTTGTTGTTGTTGAGATGGACTCTCACTCTGTTGCCTAGGCTGGAGTGCAGTGGCGTAATCTTGGTTCACTGCAACCTCTGCCTCCCGGGCTGAAGTGATTATCCTGTCTCAGCCTCCCAAGTGGCTGGGATTACAGGCGTGTGCCACCATGCCCGGCTAATTTTCATATTTTTAGTAGAGACAGGGTTTCACCATGTTGGTCAGGCTGGTCTCGAACTCCTGACCTCATGATCCGCCCACTTCGTCCTCCCAAAATGCTGGGATTACAGGCATGAGCCACTGCACCCAGCCGATTAAGTCTTAACGTATGAGTTTTTGGGAGAAACTCAAACATTCGGACAATAGCAAGGAGAATACAAAACCACAGTGAGCTACCGCTTCAGACACCAGAGAAGTTTAAGTGAAAAAGACTGGCAATACCAAGTGCTGATGAGGATATGGAGCAACCAGAACTCTCAGACATTGCTGATGGGAATCTAAATTAGTATAACCACCACGAAAGCATCCGTAAGGTTTAATTGTGTTGAACACACCCTGCCCTCTGACCAAGCATTTCCACTCCTGGGCATACAGGCAAAAGAAATGCATCCACGTGTTCATCAAAAGATGTAACCTGTGCCAGGTGAGGTGGTTCATGCCTGTAATCCCAGCACATCGGGAGGCCAAGGAGGGAGGATTGCTTGAGCCCAGAAGTTCGAGAGCAGCCTAGGCAACAAGGCAAAACCTCGTCTCTACTAAAAAGTAGCCAGGCATGATGGTATATGCCTGTAGTCCCAGCTACTCAGGAGGCCAAGGCATGCAGATTGATTGAACCCGGAAGGTGGAGGCTACAGTGAATTGTGATCTCGCCACTGCACTCCAGCCTGGGTGACAGAGCAAGATCTTGTCTCAATTAAAAAAAAAGGAAGAAAGAAAGACATAACCTGGAATATTCACACCAACACTATTCAGGATAGCCCTAAACTGGAAAGAATCTGAATATCCTCCGGCTTTAGAACAGAGAGAAATTATAGACTATTCATTCATACAGGGGATGATTGATCAGCTTTAAGAATAAACAAACCGTACACAACAATATAGATGAATCTACAACCTTAATGTGCAAAATAGTTCACATATATAAAGGACAAAAACAGGCAAAACTACTCCATGGTGTTAGAAATAGGGGTAGAGGTTACCCTCATGCGGCAGGAGGGTTAGTGATAGGGGATTTGGAAGAGGAGGAGCCCAATGGACTGAACAGCTGAGCTGGAAACAGCAATTTGTTCCTTAAAGTTCTGAACCCAACTGTTATCCAGCATGGAGTCTGTCTGGAGAGGCCAGATGTGGGGCCTCTCACAGGGGAATGAGAAGTGCCTCTCAGGGTCCCACCCATGATCCCCCTTTCCTTGCCCACACAACCACCAACTGGCAAGTAGTAACCCAGGACCTGTAGCCCCCACTGGCTTGACACAGAGCATAATGCAAGCTTTTCCTGCTCCAGGTCCTGGACACCACTTTGCCCTTTGCCCCACACGTACAGCCCCCTGACCAAAAGCTGGGTACTCTGGCTTGACTAGAGGGAGCTAGACTCCAGGAATAAGTAAGGAGCTGGGCTTCCACGCTAGAGAACAAGAGCTTCTCTGGGGAAAGGGGCTTCCCATGAAGCCCTGGGGCACTGGGAGATTAATGGGCAGACCTCTGGCCTCAGCTTCCAGGGAAGGGGAGGGTGTGGGCCAACATGCGGTGGCTACACTGACCACAAGCCGATGACCCCAGCCAGCCTCAGGATGTCTCAGCTCTAGGCATGGTTTTTCGTTTTGTTTTGTCGTGTTTTGTTTTTGAGATGGAACCTCGCTCTGTCGCCTAGGCTGGAGTGAAGTGGCACCATCTCGTCTCCCTGCAACCTCCACCTCCTGGGTTCAAGCGATTCTCCTGCCTCAGCCTCCTGAGTAGCTGAGATTACATGTGCGTGCCACCTTGCCCAGCTAATTTTTGTATTTTTAGTAGAGATAGGGTTTCATCATGTTAGCTAGGCTGGTCTCAAACTCCTGACCTCAAGTGATCTGCCTGCCTCAGCCTCCCAAAGTGCAAGGATTACAGGCATGAGCCACCATGCCCGGCATAGGCATGGTTTTGACAATCTGTCTCTTTGTGCCCTGGCTCCTTCTCCAACTCCTCTTTGGAGGAGGCACAGGAGGAGGGGTCATTTCACTGTTCCTGAAAAGTAGACATATAACCTACATGCAACTGCCAGGTGATAAGGGCCCCATCTGTCTGGCATGACGTTGGAGGTCCACAAAGGCTGATTAGATGAATGCTCAGCTCTGGGGCCTCCCCACAGAGCTCACAGACAGGCGTGAAGGAAAGCAGGACTCTTATTAGAATATGTTCAGAGTTTTCACTGAAGAAGCCTCCTGTGTGGGCCAGGCACTGTGCTCAGTGCTTTGATTCACAGTCTCATTTAATTCTCACCATTTACAGACAAGAATTCAGCTAAGATCCTTTTCAATCAAGTCTGGCAATATCTGCCTTTCAATGGCAGTGCCTAGTCCTTTCATATGTAATATACTTATCATTATGGGTGGGTTTAAGTTTTATCATCTTGCTATTTGTTATCTATTTGTCCCCCCTCTTTTGTTCCTCCTTTACTGCCTTCTATTTGGTTGAGACTTAATAAAATATTTTATTCCATCTTCTCTACTTACTTTTTAGCTATGCCTCCTTATATTTTTGGTTGCTGGAGTGTTACAATATGCATTCTTCAATATCCAGTCTACTTTCCAATAATATTACACCACTTCATGTATAACGTAAGAACGTTACAAAAATATAATGCCAGGGCTGGGCGCAGTGGCTCACGCCTGTAATCCCAGCACTTTGGGAGGTCGAGGCGGGCAGCTCACCTGAGGTCAGGAGTTCGAGACCAGCCTGACCAACATGGAGGAACCCCATCTCTACTAAAAATACAAAATTAGCCGGGCATGGTGGCTCATGCCTGTAATCCCAGCTACTCAGGAGGCTGAGGCAGGAGAGTTGCTTGAACCGGGGAGGTGGAAGTTGCAATGAGCCAAGATTGCGCCGTTGCACCCCACACTGGGCAACAAGAGCGAAACTCCGTCTCAATAAATAAATAAATTAAATAAACAAATATATATATATATATATATGTAATGCCATCACATCTTCTCCGGCCTTTGGTGTTATTGTGGTCATATACTTTATTTTTGTATGTCTTATAGATCCCAGAATGCATTGTTATTTTTACTTTAAAAGGTGGATTAATTTTTAAAGAATTTAAGAAAAGAAAAACAGTCTTTGGACTGCTGGCCACAAATTCTCTGTTTTATTTATCCCCAAATAGTTTTATTTTTCCATTTTGAGAGAGATTTTCACTGATACCATTCGGAGTTAACAGATTTATTCTTTCATCACTTTTCAGATGCCGTTCCATTGTTTGCTGACTTTCATTGATTCTATGAGAAGTCTGCAGTCTTTTGCAGCGTTGTTTTCCTATGTATAATTGTCTCCTCCCACCCCACTCACCCCAGCTGCTTTCCACATTCTCTCTCTTTGATTTTCAGCAGTCTGCCCATGATGTGCCTAAATAGGACTTTCTTTGCATTCATCTTGGCTGGGGCTCACTGAACTTTCTGAATCTGTAGATTAATTTTCTTTTTTCAATAAACCTTGGAATATTTTCAGCATAATTTTTTTCCTGTCTTCTTCTCTCTCTTTTCTCCTCTGAAATGCCAATTAAATATATGTTAGACTGCTTTATCCTGCCCCACAACTTACTGAGGCGAAATTTTTCAATCACTTCTCTTTGTGCTTCTGATGACACTGGTGGCCCATCTGGAGTGGCCGCTGCCATCACACCAGCTGCAGGGGGAGGTGCAGCCAGGCTGCACATTCCATGGAGCCAGCAGGAACTGCAGACAGGTGGGAGCCCCACCTCTTCTGAGCTAGTGGGGCAGGAGCTCCCTGGATGCAGCCGCAGCCACCCAAGTTATGCCTGTGGACCCGGGCCTCCCACTGCATGAAGCAGGCAGAAACCCCACCCCACTAGGCACAGCTGCCACCCAAGTTGTGGCTGCAGACCCAGGGCTCCCTGGGCTCCTGCTAGGGGCAGGAGCAGGCAGAAGCCCTGCCCTTCCAGGCGCAGCTGCAGCCACCCACATTACAGCTGCAGACCAAAGCCTCCCAATCCATGGAGCAGGCAGAAGCCTTGTGCACCCCACTCTGCCCCGTGCAGCTGCAGGGCCCAAACATGAGCAGGTCAGTGCTGACACGCCAGCCCCCAGCCACTTCGGCCCCCTCCAGACTTTGGGCACCAACGAGCACAGGAGGGAAGCTGATGGGGGCTGAGGGCAGCTCAGCACTGGCCTGCAGGTGCCCCTTGGCACCTACAGCCTGGGTGCCATGAATGGCAGCAGGAGGCAGACAGCTTCCTGGGCAGAAGGGGGTGGGTCTCTGGTGAGGTCCCACCTTCAGGCCAGGGAAGGCCTGAAGGCTGGGGGCCAGACTGCCAGTCCTGCAGACTGAAGTGGGAAACTTGTGGTGCCTTTTCTGGGCCTGCCCATGGCCGCCTATGGACCAATTGGCGTGTACTTCCTCCCCTCTGAGGCCCATAAAAGCCCCAGGCTCAGCCAGAGCTGAGCAGAGGTCAGGAAGGCCAGCTGCAGAGAGGAGCTACCCACTCCAGGGCCTCCTCTGAGCTATTCTGTTACTCAGTAAAGCTCCTTTCGCCTTGCTGCCCCTCCACTTAATTCTTCCTAGACACAGGACAAGAACTTGGGACCAGCCAAATGGTAAGGCTGAAAGAGCTGTAACACAAACAAGGCTGAAATACATCCATTGTGAGTGAAGAGAAGTAGAGAAGAGCCACAGCCCTTCAGGGAGCCCAGACCTGAGAACTCCCCAAGCCAGGGCTGTGACCCCCTCTTTGGGGCCCTGCAGTTCCCAGAGTCTCCAAGCTTCTGGGCACCACCATGTTCCCCAGTGGCAGCCTTGAAAGATGCTTGCAGTGTGTCTGATCCAGTCACAGCCTCACAGAGAGCCAGCACTGATGCTGGCACCTGGAGCTGTCCACCCTGCTGCAGCAGCTGGTATGCCTGTGTGCAGTGGCCAGACCCCATGTTTGTTTGCTCACACACCCCTGGCCACTCCACACCTGGCTCGCCCTTGGCAGACATGAGATCCAGGCTGGTAGAGTGAGCTGAGTGCAACCAGGCCAAGTGGGTGGAACGAGCCTAGTGGGCCTGAGCAAATCTCAGGCAAAGGTGCCACAGTCCAGAGGTTTCCAGCTAAAAAAGTGACACCCCAAGGATCCTGCAACACTTTATGTAGATAATTTCTACCGACCTGTCTTTACATTTATTGGCCCTCTTAAAATTGGGTCTAATATGCTATTTTTTTTTTAGACAAGCTCTCACTTGGTCACCCAGACTAGAGTATAGTGACATGATCACAGCTCACTGCAGGCTCAAACTCCTGAGCTTAAGCGATCCTCCTGCCTCAGCCTCCCAGGTAGCTGGGACTGTGGATACATGCCATCATGCCCAGCTTATTTTTGCATTTTTTGTAGAGATGGGGTTTTGCCATGTTGCCCAGGCTGGTCTTGAACTCCTGGTCTCAATAATCCTCCTGCCTTGGCTTAGTGCTGGGATTATAGATATAAGCCATTGTGCTCAGACAAGTCTAACAGGCTTTAGTCCCATCAAATGAATATTCAATTTCAGACATTGTATTTTTTAGCTTAAAATTTAATCTGATTCTCTCTTTTTAAAAAATAGTTGCCATATCTCCCCCCCACACACCTTTTTTTTGAGACAGAGTCTCATTCTATTGCCCAGGGTATGCAGTGGCATGATCCTGGCTCACTGCAACATCCGTCTCCTGTGTTCAAGCGATTCTCTTGCCTCAGCCTCCCTCCTACAACTACAGGTGCATACCACCACTCCTGACTAATTTTTTGTATTTTTGGTAGAGACAGGGCATGTTGGCCAGGCTGGTCTCTAACTCCTGGCCTCAAGTGATCCACCTGCCTCAGCCTCCCAATGTGTTGAGATTACAGGCATGAGCCACCATGCACAACCTTGTTATGGGTTTAATTACATCCACCACCTTCAAAAGATACGTTGTATTCCTAACCCCCAATACCTCAGACTGTGACCTCATTTAGAAATGGTGTCATTGCTGATGTAATTACTTAAGATAATATCATAGTGGAATAAGGTAGGCCCTTAATGAAATATGACTGGTGTCAATTTTTTTTTTTTTTTGAGACAGGGTCTCACTGTTGCCCAGGCTGGAGTGCAATGGTGCAATCTTGGCCCACTGCAACCTCTGCCTCCCAGGCTCAAGCAATCCTCCCACCTCAGCCTCCTGAGTAACTGGGACTACAGGCATGCACCACTGCACCCAGCTATTTTTTGTATTTTTAGTAGAGACAGGGTTTCACCATGTTGCCGGGGCTGGTCTTGAACTCCTGGGCTCAAGTAATCCACCAGCCTCATCATCTCGAAGTGCTGGGGTTACAGGCATGAGCCACCATGTCTGGCCAGACTGGTGTCCTTTTAAGAAAAGACAGGAGGCTAGGCACAGTGGCTCATGTCTATAATCCCAACACTTTGGAAAGCCAAGGCAGACAAAGCACTTGAGGCCAGGAGTTCAAAACCACCCTGGGCAACACAGCAAAACCCTGTCTCTACTAAAAATACAAAAATTAGCTGGGCGTGGTGATGCATGCCTGTAATCCCAGCTACTCCAGAGGCTGAGGCAGGAGAATAGCTTGAACCCAGGAGAGGAAGTTTGCAGTGAGCTGAGATCATGCCACTGCACTACAGCCTGGGCAACAAAGTGAGACTCCGTCTCAAAAAAAAAAGGAAAGAAGACAGAGGCTGGGAGTGGTGGCTTACCTGTAATCTCAGCACTTTGGGAGGCTGAGGCAGGTGGATCACTTGAGCCCGGGAGTTCAAGACCAGCCTTGGCAACACGGTGAAACCCTGTCTCTACCAAAAATACAAAATTCAAGCCAGTCTCATAACCCAGCCTCAAAATAAATAAACAAATAAATAGATTAAAATTTTAAAAGAAATAAGAAGAGAGAGACCCAGGAAGAATGCCTTGTGACGAGGAAGGAAGAGATTGTAGTGACGCATCTATGAGCCAAGGAATGCCAACAACTGCTGGCGTCGCTAGAAGCTAGAGAGAGGCATGGCACAGATTCTTCCTGAGAGCCCTCAGGAGAAATCCACCCTGATCATACCTGAATTTCATACTTTTAGCCTCTGTAACTATGAAGGAGAAAATGTCTTTTGTTTTATGCCACTCAGTTTGTGCTACTTTGTTCTAGCGGCCCTGGGAAACGAGTACACTCCGGAAATTTCTCTTGTTTTTGTCCACTATGATTGCCTTTGCTTTTCCTTATAGATGAATTTTACTTTGCTACTTTTTTCTTCTTCTTTCTTTCCTTCTTTCTTTCTCTTCTTCTTTCTTTTTTTTCTTTCTTTCTTTCTCTCTCACTCTCTCTCTTTCTCTTTCTTTTCTTTTCTTCATCCAGTGATGCAATTATAGCTCACTGCAGCCTCAAACTCCCGGGCTCAAGCAATCTTCCTGCCCCAGCCTCCCAAGTAGCTAGAACAACAGGCATGTGCCACCACATTCAGCTAATTTTTTAAAATTTATTTTTTTAATTTTTTTTGAGATGGAGTCTCACTCTGTCACCCAGGCTGGAGTGCAGTGGCATGATCTCAGCTCACTGCAACCTCCGCCTCCCAAGTTCAAGCAATTCTTCTGCCTCAGCCTCCCGAATAGCTGGGAATGCAGGCGCATACCACCACACTTGGCTAATTTTTGTATTTTTAGTAGAGACAGGGTTTCACCATATTGGCCAGGCTGGTTTTGAACTCCTGACCTCATGATCTGCCCGCCTCAGCCTCCCAAAGTGCTGGGATTACAGGTGTGAGCCACCGCACCTGGCCTCAGCTAATTTTTTAATTTGTTTGCAGAGATGGGGTCTCACTATGTTGCCCAGGCTTGTCTTGAACTCCTGGCTTCAACCAATCTTTCCACCTTGGCCTCCCAAAATGCTGGGATTATAGGCATGAGCCACTGTGCCCAGTCTTCTTGTAGATTATAATAAAGAAATGTATTATAATGATTTAAAGTCTGCTTATGAATTCCAAAATAGGCACCTGTTTCTATTTTTTAAAATCTTAATTATGTGTCTCACTTTTCTGTTTCCTTACATATCTAGTAATTTGCTATTTTATGCTGGACATTGTAAATAATACAGTATAGAGATTCTGGATTGTGTTGTCTTTCTCTGAAGAATTTTGCATATTGCTCTGTTTAGTTGCTGACCATTCACCTTGATTTGGTGGAGTCTCAATTTGAAACTGTGTTGGGGTAGGTTTGTTTTAGTGCTTCTTCCTAAGTCATGATCTCCCAGGATCTCAATGAAAAAGCCTGGAGTGTTTACCAAGCCCCACTAACTTGGTGAGATTTGAACAGGAAAATCCATCTCCCAAATATCAAGCAGCTACAGGAACCTATGCTCCCCTCTTTTAGTCTTCCATCTGTGTCTTCCCCTAGGCTTCTTGGAGTCATGCCCCATGCCAGAGTCAGCCAAAGATTTAAGGGGAGTTTTCTCCCTCTGTGGCTCTCTTTTCTGGGATATTTTTTTTCCCTCTCAATTTCCAGTTGCTCTGGAAGCCCTCAACTCCAACTATGTAGTCTTGAGCCAATAAGACTTCTGTTTTCTGCTTAATTTCTTTTTTTGTTTTTTTTTGTTGTTGTTGTTGTTTTGAGATGGAGTCTCGCTCTGTTGCCCAGGCTGGAGGGCAGTGGCACAATCTCCACTCACCACAACCTCCGCCTCCTGGGCTCAAGCGATTCTCCTGCCTCAGCCTCCCAACTAGCTGGGATTGCAGGCCTGCACCACCATGCCTGGCTAATTTTGTATTTTTAGTAGAGATGGGGTTTCTCCATGTTGGTCAGGCTGGTCTCAAACTCCCAACATCAGGTGATCCGCCCGCCTTGGCCTCCCAAAGTGCTGGGATTACAGGCGTGAGCCACCACCCCAGCTAAACAAATTATTTTATATATTTTTTCAGACTTTATAATTGTTAGCTCCAGAAAGTTAATCTGACACAAGCTACTTCTCCACTACCAGCAAGTCTGCTTTGTAAATCACTACACCATACTACCTAAGACTTAGAACTTAGGGCTCATATTCCGTCTGGTTTTAGACTTGACGTTGGAAGTGATATGACTTAGTGGAAAGTACAGGCCCTTTTGTTGGGGTCTGGAGCCAGCCAACCCTGATATTGAGCCTTTACCGTGACCCTTCACTGTGTGACCCTGGGCAAGCCCCTTTACCTCACTGAGCCTCGGTGGCCTCATCTGTGTAATGGGAATCACCCTGTCTTGCAGGATGAGGAATGGAAGGAACCCCAGTGGAAACCCAGCACATTGTTAAGAGTGAATTACAGACCAGCCGCAATGGCTCACACCTGTAATCCTGGCACTTTGGGAGGCCAAGGCAGTAGATCATTGAGATCAGGAGTTTGAGACCAGCCTGGCCAACATGGTAAAACCCCATCTCTACTAAAAATACAAAACTTAGCCAGGCATGGTGGTGGGTGCCTGTAATCCCAGCTACTAGGGAGGCTGAAGCAGGAGAATCGCCTGATCCTGGGAGGCGGAGGTTGCAGTGAGCTGAGATTGCACCATTACACTCCAGCTGGGCAACAAGAGCGAAACACTGTCTCAAAAAAAAAAAAAAAAAAAAAGAATTCCACAGTTCTTTTCTGAAGTAAAGATCCCCAGATGATGTGACAGTAGCCTAGACCCAACACTGGCTTTGAGTAAGAACCCACCCTCCTCTAGTGACATGCTTTGACATACAAGCTGATGTCCACAAGTCTGGTTTTAGTTTTCACTGTCATGTCAGGGGTGCACCTGCTGAGTGCAAGGACTTGTACCCCCTGGGATGGCCCAGACTGTGCCTCCTGGGCAGCAGAAAGTCACCAGTTAGAGGGCTCATCTCTGAGTGAAATCAATTCCTGATTGAGTGGAAGGGGTCAGCTTGGGTGACACTCAACAGGCTTTCAACAACAACCCAAATAGGAAGAAATCAAAACACCTGGTATTGATGGGGACAGTCCCCCTCTGAAGTGGCAGAGGTCACTGACACAGAGCCAAAACAAGCACCTTGGCAGAGGGGACTCTTGTCTTCAGGCAGAGCTGTAGGAGCCAGTGCTATGTCCTGGACTAGCTTGTGTGGCCTTGGGCAAGTCCCCGCACCTCTCTGGGGCTCCTCCCATCACTTGCACAGAGAGCTGATTTGATTTGTTTTGTTTTTGTTTTTGTTTTGTTTTGAGACAGAGTCTCGTTCTGTCACCCAGGCTGGGGTGCAATGGTGTGATCTCTGCTCACTACAACTTCTGCCTCCTGGGTTCAAGCAATTCCCCTGCCTCAGCCTCCCGAGTAGCTGGGATTACACGCTTCTGCCACCGTGCCCAGCTAATTTTTGTATTTTTAGTATAAATGGGGTTTCATCATGTTGGCCAGACTGACCTCAAGTGATCTGCCCGCCTCAGCCTCCCAAAGTGCTGGGATTACAGGTGTGAGCCACCATACCCAGTGGAGAGATGATTTCTAAGGGCCCCCCCAACATGGGATCAGAAATCAGGAGCCCTGACCCCTGACCATGGTCCTGCCTCCCACATGGTAAGTGGGATTGGGCACCTCAGTGAGTCTCTGCATCAGTGTCTCCATCTGTAACACAGGGGCACATGCCACACCTCAGAAATAATACGGTGCCCTGAAACCCAGAATAACAAACACATAGCGCACCCAGCGATCCACAGCCTTGAACCTCACTGGGCAAATTCCACAGTCTTAAGGCAAGTAGGGGAAATGGAGCCAGCTCCCCTTGGGGAAAAAAATGAGAGCTTTCAAAGAGAGACAAATAACTTGCAATTTAAATGCATAAGAGACCAGGCTGTGCCACCACATATGCAGATAGATGCAAATGATATGCAAATAGCTCAAGTAAGCCTGAGTTTGCCAATATCCTTTGCCAAGCAGCCAGTTTTGGGATCAGCCAGGTCTGATCTGTGCCAGAAGCTCACATCTGGGGCCCAGAGGCCTTGGGTGAATGTTCAACGGCACCTCCTCCAGGAAGCCTTCCAAGACCCAGCAGTTCTTGGCCCCCTCTCCACTCTCCCCAGGGCTTGGAGTCTGCCTCTGAATCATCTGCAGGATGGTTCCTTCTCCGCCTCCATGAGCTCCCAAAGGTAGGGACTCCCTCTTGTTCACCACAACTGCAACTGGTACAAAGCCTGGCAGTAAGTAGGCACCAGGGCTGTGGGCCAAGTGGACACGGGAAGGCAGGATGAGTGGATGAGTTCATTTCTTTTTTTCTTGCTTATGGCTTCTTTTTTTTTTTTTTTTTGAAACAGGGTCTTACTCTGTTGCCCAGGCTGGAGTACAGTGGTGCAATCCCAGCTCACTGCAACCTCCACCTCCCAGGTGCAAGTGATTCTCCTGCCTCAGCCTCCTGAGTAGCTGGGATGACAGGTGTGCCCCACCATGCCCGGCTGATTTTTTTATTTTTAGTAAAGACGGGGTTTCACCATGTTGGCCAGGCTGGTCTCAAACTCCTGACCTCAGGTGATCCGCCTGCCTCGGCCTCCCAAAGTGCTTGGATTACAGGCATGAGCCACCGCACCTGGCTAGGTGGATGAATTCATTTCTAAGTCCTCCTTCATTCAGGACAGGGCTGAGCCCTCTTCAGGGCCTTCAGCTGTCTTGTCACCCAACAATGAGTGACATTCAGCATCAGTCTCTCGTTACCAATGAAGATGCAGGGGCTGAAGCTTGCAAGTGACTGATGTAATTAATACATGAAGCAGGAAAACCTCCCTTCGGTTGATATCACGACTTCCTTACCCTCCCTTTCGTTCCACCATCCTTTCTGGGGTGGGCCAGGGCCTGATGCAGATGAGGTGTACAGTAAATATTGGTTGACAAATGAATAAGCAGACGAACCCCATGAATGAATGGGTGCATGAATGAACAAACAAGTGAGATTTCCGCTAGCTTGCCAGAAATTGCTTATATTGCCAGAAATTGCCAGAATCATCAGGAGCTGCAGCCCATTCTGTCTATGCCACATCCCTTAAGTTCTGCTATGATTTTTTTTTTTTTTTGAGACAAAGTCTCGCTCTGTCACCCAGGCTGGAGTGCAGTGGCACGATCTCAGCTCACTGCAGCCTCTGCCTCCTGGGTTCCAGCCATTCTTCTGTCTCAGCCTCCCAAGTAGCTGGGATTACAGGCACCTACCACCACACCGGGCTAATTTTTGCATTTTTAGTAGAGACAGGGTTTCACCATGTTGGCCAGGATGGTCTCAAACTCCTGACCTCAGGTGATCCACCCACCTCAGCCGCTGCTACTGATCTTTATCTATTTGTTGTAGCCATTATGAGTGCTTTTTGGTGTCTGTGAACTTCAAGACTGTGGCAGACACTGTTTGTGCCACATCACATCCCCTCGGCCGCCTCTGATCGGGGCTGCAGCACGGGTTCCACCTCCTGCTGGCCAGGGGCCTCCTCCCACAGGTCCTTCCTGCCTTGGGGGGTGAAGGTTCCTGGAGCAAACTTCCGCAGTGGAGGGCAGGAACCAGCAGATAGATACCCCCACCTGGAATCTTCCAGAAGACGATTCTGGGAGGCATTCTGTTTGCTTCCAGAATTCCCAGAGGCATCCAGCCTCCCCTCCCAGACAGCAGCCATCTCAGACACACACACCTCCATCTCTCCTCCTCCCCTGCCACACTCTCCTTCCTCCTGGCATTGCCCCCAAGTCCTTAATGCAGGCTCTGCTTTCAACGGACCCCAAATTAGGACAGAGGTATAAAAAAAATCTCACATGGCAGTGCCCCTCACAGATATGGTATAAATGCGAAGGTGGAAAATAGATTGAGAATGGCTCCTGTTCACAGCCAAAGTGAACCGTTTCATTCGGAAGCCAGGGTTGAGTGGTGCTGAACAAGCACTCACTCATTCATTCATTCATTCTTGGCCACGTGCTCTGTGCTAGGTACTGAGGACATCACACAAGGCCCCACCCTCATGGCCCCCACAGCCTGATGGTGAAGACAGAGACTGGGCGAATCATCACGCGGGGAATCGTTTCATGGATGGGTGATCGGCTAAGCACCGTCTTTGAACCTCAGACTACTTGGCTTTTCTGGGGGCCCAACTGTGCCCACTTATGGGTGAGAAAACTGGGGCCTGGAGTGCAGGGAGGGGCCTGTTGTCGTAGGAAGGTCAGACAGGTCAAAAGTGGTGGAGCTGAGGCCTGAACCCACAGCATCTAATCCGGAGCCGGCAGAGGCCCCTTGGCCCTCACATCTGCCGAGGAGTCACCTGGCCTGAGCGCTAGACAAATGCAAGACCTATAAGCCATTTTAAATGTTCCGGTAGCTACATTAAAACCAAATAAAAAGAAACTGGGGCCGGGCGCAGTGGCTCACGCCTGTAATCCCAGCACTTTGGGAGGCCAAGACGGGCAGATCACTTGAGGCCAGGAGTTTGAGACCAGCCTGGGCAACATGGAAAAACCCCATCTGTGTTAAAAAATACAAAAATTAGCTGGGCGTGGTGGTGTGTGCCTATAGCCCCAGTTACTTGGAAGACTGAGGCAGGAGAATCACTTGAACCCAGGAGGCAGAGGTTGCAGTGAACAGAGGTTGCAGTGAACGGAGGTTGCAGTGAGCGGAGGTTGCAGTGAGCGGAGGTTGCAGTGAGCGGAGGTTGCAGTGAGCCGAGATTGCGCCACTTCACTCCAGCCTGTCTCAAAAAAAAAGAAAAAAAGAAACTGGTAGAATTATTTCTCATACTATTTGTATTTAACCCAATAGATCCAAAATATTATCACTTTGACAGGTAATTAATATTTAAAATTATTAATGAGATATTTACTTTTTTTTCCATACTAAGTCTTTGCATTTGTGTGCATTTCACACTCAAGGCACACAGCAGTTCAGGCTAGCCACATTTTGAGTGCCCTGCGTGCAGGACAGTGCAGCCCTGGCCTCCGCTGTGTCACCACCGCTTGCCTTGTGACCTTGAGCAAGTCCCTTCTCATCTCTAAGTCTCCATGAGTTCCTCCCGGTGTGTCTTGGTCAGACAGCTATCACGGAGGGAAAGTGCATTGTAACCTCACTGTGAGCCGGCCACTGTAACCTTCCTTCCAGTCATCTGCCCTGGCCACCAAGGGACCCACACAGACAAAGTTGCTGAACTTGCATCTCTTGCTTTTGAGGGGGCACAGGTTTGGGGAGACAGACATCTGGTTCCCATTGTGGAAACAGATCTCTCCTCCCAAGCTTGGGCTCTAGAACCCCACCCCGGAGAGGGAGAGGGGCGGGGCTGGGGAGGAGCCAGTGATCAAGTCTTCCCCTGCCTCCACCCTTTTTTTTTTTCTTTTTAGAGCAGTTTTAGGTTCACAGCAAAACTGAGAGGAAGGTGTTGAGACATTTCATATGTCCCTTGCCCCAACCATGCATAGCCTCCCATTATCAATGTCCCTACCAGATGTGTTAGTTGAGAACCCACACTGACACATCATTATCACCCAACATTCTCTGCCCTTTTTTTTAGTGTGTCAAAACAGGTGAGGCTCTCTCACTTCGTCAAAGGTCTGCTCCTTCTCACCCTCCCCCAGGCTGAGCTCTTACGAGGACTAATTAGAGTCCATTTTAACCCAAATGACCTGTCACCTCCCTATTAAAATGCCAGACGACAGTTCTGCTCCTGCAGTATCTGGGACCATCTGGGACAGGGGAGTGAGGTTAAGGTTGGGTTTAGTAAGGGGCCTGCCACGGCTGCTTTAATGTTGTAAAGTGCAAAGTTGGTGCTTGGAGCTGGTGGAGTGGGAATGCGGCTTGCTCGTTGGCGCATTAGACACACATCTCTCCAGCGCCTTGGATGTTTATGCAGCTACTGTGAGGATGCTGGAGATACAGAGAGGAGAGGAGGCCGGCCTCGCCCCCAGGGAGTGCAAGTCTGGTGCAGCAGAGAAGACAGCAAGTAAACAGCCACAGTGAAGTGCCAGGGCCTGCAGGGGACGCGTGGGCAATGTGTGTGGGTGGACGTTCAGCCTGGGCCAGACGGTGGGAGCAGGAAGTTCAAAGCAGGGTGGCACGGAGCCTTTGATCAGGTGTGTGGCTGGAGGGCAGAATGCCAGAGAGACTGGCCAGCCGTGAGATGGGACCCGAGGCAGGTTGGGTCCAGGCCAGGGTGGGCCTTCAATACCAGGTTCAAGAGTATGAATATGGTCCTTTGTTCTCTAAGACTCCTGCTCCAAACAGCAGGACTGCTTGGCACAATTGCCAATTAGGTAGAAATGGGGCAATTCCATTCCATTTCCCCAATATTCATGGACCACTATTGATGGTCTGCTGCAGGGAATACAGAGATGCAAAAAGCATTTTTATTTTTATTTTTTATTTTTTTGAGACAGAGTCTTGCTCTGTTGCTCAGGCAAGAGTACAGTGGTGCAATCTCAGCTCACAGCAACCTCTGCCTCCCGGGTTCCAGTGAGTCTCCTGCCTCAGCCTCCTGAGTAGCTGGGACTACAAGCACATGCCACCACGCCCAGCTAATTTTTGTAACAAAAAGCATTTTTAAGGAAACCAAAAAATAGCCAAACAAAACCCTGGACTTCCATTTCCAGCCATATTGCAGGCTAGACAGCAGAAAACCCTCCTGCTACAACATACTACTTGGAAATGGTGGCCAAACTATAACAACTATCCTTTTAAATGCATGGCTGAGCTTGCAAGAAAGGAAAAGAACTCCCCAGGGACAAAAACACAGAAGCAGCTGAAAACTAGAGCAGGAATCGGGCGACAAAAACACAGAAGTAGCTGAAAACTAGAGCAGGAATCAGGCAGCCGATGTTGGTGTGGTGTGAGCAGCATGGGTGAGGTGGAGGGTGTTGGTCTCTGCAGTCTGGGGATTGGAGTTTATAGCCCCTCTGGGGACAATAAATGAGGCTTTGGGCTCCACAAAGCAAGGGATTGTAAATGAGACCCACCCCCAAACCAGACTCTCCAGAGTTACATTCTCAGTGAAAAGGTAGAGAAGGGTAAAAACCAGTCTCCACTCAGGCAGATCACCTGCCACATCCTGGGCTTGGAGTGGGGAAAGCAGGCTGCTCTGGGAATTTGTAACCATAGGCTTAGCCTCAGGGGGTTTGAGATTTAAATTTAGACTGCTACTTATAGGCTCTGG
The DNA here is from genome assembly GCF_000001405.40 of Homo sapiens. Classification (NCBI taxonomy): domain Eukaryota; kingdom Metazoa; phylum Chordata; class Mammalia; order Primates; family Hominidae; genus Homo; species Homo sapiens. Next base: position 129,526,290 of record NC_000009.12, read on the forward strand.
GGACTCCCAAAGCAAAAGCTTAACACAAAAACAGGTCCCTTGGCACGGGGCAGAAACAAATGCAAACGTGCACTAGAGGGCTATGACCTCAACCCAGGCTGCCCAGGGTTCCCACCAACAGATGCCCCTGCAGATGAGCTCACAAAGGTAAATTACAAAACAAAAGTAGCCATAAGTGAGATCCAGCTGCAAAACCAACAGTACAAGTGGACACCCCAAGAACCCCAGATGATAGATCCAGGAGATAGAGACCATAAAATAGCTATGATTAAAATTACTAATGACAGGCCAGGTGCAGTGGCTCATGCTTGTAATCCCAGTACTTTGGGAGGCTGAGGTTGGCAGATCACTCGGGCCCAGGAGTTCAAGACCAGCCTGGGAAACATGGCAAAACCCCATTTCTATGAAAAATACAAAAATTAGCATGGCGTGGTGATGCATGCCTGTGGTCCCAGCTACTCAGGAGGCTGAGGTTGGAGGATCACTTGAGCCTGGGAGGTCGAGGCTGCCTGCAGTGAGCCATGATCGTGCCACTGCACTCCAGCCTTGGTGACAGAGCAAGACCTTGTCTAAAAAGAAAAAGAAAAAAAAGACACCCAGCACTTTGGGAGGCAAAGGCAGGTGGATCAGTTGAGGTCAGGAATTCGAGACCAGCCTGGCCAAAATGGCAAAATCCCATCTCTACTAAAAATACAAAAATTCGCTGGGCATAGTGGTGTGCACCTGTAGTCCCAGCTACTCGGGAGGCTGAGGAAAGAGAATCGCTTGAACCTGGGAGGTGGATGTTGCAGTAAGCCGAGATGGCACCACTGCACTCCAGCCTGGGTGACAGAGCAAGACTCTATCTCAAAAAAAAAAAAAAAAAAAAAAGACATAAAGAAGTTTTGGGAAATATCAAAATGAATTAGATATTATGAAAAAAAAGCAGAGTTTCTGGTTAGAGACAGCAGAATAAACGCAGGTATTTATCCCTGCTACCTCCTGAAATGCCTTTAAAATGGCAGAATAGGCATTTTCAAAATATCACAATGACAAAGAAAATGGGATGTGAGGTAAGAGAAACAAAATTTTCAAATTGGAAAGCAGACGGATGAGTGAGAACCACCTTAGTGGATGAAAAAAAAAACAGTCCTAAACTGGCAGTAAGGAGGGCCTAGACACAAAAGAAACCCCCAAAGGCTAGGAATTGAGTACCAGGTGCTTCTGGCAGCAGAGGTAAGGAGCATATTGAACCACAGGGGATTTGTTGAAAGACAGTTTAAAGAGCCATCAGTAACGTCCCAAGGTGACTCTCTCTACCACACCCCAGCAGAAGACAGATGGTTTATTCTGCAGAGCGGCTAAAGCCAAGGGTCTCTGGACTGAGGAAAAGTAAGTCCAGCTGGGGACGGGGTGCATCTTATTGAAAACAGGGGAATACAGTGAGGGTCTTTGTACTGAATATGAAGACTCCCAGTTGGCATCCAGGCTTAGTATGAACCTGTAGGCAGGAGATTCAAAGATAATTCCCTGGGGATCTGAGAAGCCCAAGAGCAAAGATCTAAAGACACTGACATTGTGAGCTCACTGATGAAGGAACCCAGCCAGATCACCCAACAGTGAAGTTCCTGGTGGGTAGCAAACTCTGAGCTCTCAGCTTCCTAGCAGCCTCTACACACAGAAGCCAATGGTCACCAAGGCACTTGGGGGAGACAAACAATAACAAATAGATCTTTTTTTAAAGAAAAAAGCTTAGGGAAAGAGATAAGAAGAAAATATAAAAAAAAATTATCATTAGTAGTACCAAAGATGAGCTATAGCACACATTAAACAAGAACAGGATGTTATCAAAAAGGAACATTCTGGCCAGGCGCAGTGGCTCATACCTGTAATCCCAGCACTTTGGGAGGCTGAGCCAAGCACATCACTTGAAGTCAAGAGTTCTAAACCACCCTGGCCAACATGGTGAAACCCCATCTCTACTAAAAAAAAAATAAATAAATACAAAAATTAGCCAGGTGTGGTGGCACACACCTGTAATCCCAGCTACTTGGGAGGCTGAAGCAGGAGAATTGCTTGAGCCTGGGAGGCGGAGGTTGCAGTGAGCAGAGATCGTGCCACTGTACTCCAGCTTGGGTGACAAAGCAAGACTGTGTCTCAAAAAAAAAAAAAAGGAACATTCTGAGAACAAAAAATATCTCATATCATTTGGATAGCACAAATTAAAAGCTTAGTGGAAGGGTTAGAAGATAAGGATAAAGATGAGGAAATAACTGAGATGGCAGAGCAAAAGGACAAAGCATAGGAGATTAAAGACATGAAAGTTACAGAATTATTCTGGGAGGATCTAACACCCAAGTATGAGGAGTCTCAGAAAGAATATAGAAAATAAAAGGGAGAGGGATCATCAACCAAGTTACTAAAGTAAATTTCTTTAGTTTTTAAAATTTTATTTTATGTGTATTTTTGTTGTTGTTGTTGTTGAGACAGAGTCTTGCTCTGTCTCCCAGGCTAATTTTTACACAAAAATTATCACAACCCCCGGATAATTTTTGTGTTTTTAGTAGAGATGGGGTTTCACCATGTTGGTCGGGCTGGTCTCGAACTCCTGACCTCAAGTGATCCACCTGCCTCCGCCTCCGCCTCCCAAAGTGCTGGAATTACATACGTGAGCCACTGTGCCTGGCCGACTTCTTTAAATTAAATGTGGGACTGGGCCCAGTGGCTCATGCCTGTAATCCCAGCCCTCTGTGAGGCCGAGGAGGGAGGATTGCTTGAGCCCAGGAGTTGGAGACCACAGTGGGTAACATAGTGAGACCCATCTCTACAAAAAATATTTAAAAATTAGCCAGCCATGGTGGCAGGTGCCTGGGGTCCCAGCTACTTGGGAGGCTGAGATGGGAAGTTCACTTGAGCCTAGGAGGTCAAGGCTGCAGTGAGCCTGATCGTGCCACTGCACTCCAGCCTGGGCAACAGAGCAAGACAGTGTCTCAAAACAAAACAAAACAAAAAGATATGAGTTTCCAGATTGAAAATGTGTAACAAGTATCTAACAAAATGGATGAAGATATTTGCCCACTAAAACACATTAATGAACCTTTTTTTTTTTTTTTTGAGACGGAGTCTCACTCTGTTGCCCAGGCTGGAGTGCAGTGGGATGATCTTGGCTCACTGCAAACTCTGCCTCCTGGGTTCAAGTGATCCTCCCACCTCAGCCTCCCAAGTAGTTGAGATTACAGGCTTGAGCCACTGCACCCGGCCTAATGTACTATTTTAAAAAAATACACTAACGTAAAATTTCAGATCACTGGGAACAAATGAAAAGTCATACAAGATTTCAACAGGAAAAAACAGGTTATAAACAAAGCACAAAGAATCAGAATGACATCAGACTTTTCAAATGGCCCTCCTGAAACCAAACCACAGTGGAGCAAATGCCTTCAAAATCCCAAGGAAAAAATATTTCAAAATATAGAATTCTATATCCAACCACATTATCAATCAGTTGTGAGAACAGAATAAAGACGTTTTCAGAAATGAACACAGAAAAAGTTCAGCTCCTGTGCATGCTTTCTAGAGAATTTACTAGAGGACAAGCTCCACCAAAACAAGGGAATAAACCAAGAAAGAGGGGAAAGTGGGAAACAAAGGCAGAAGAGAGACAGTGAGAACTCCCAAGATGGTGGTGAAGGGAGATCTCAGCAGGCCTAGAAAGCTGCCAGAGAGATTGAAACAAACCAGAAGGATCTGCAAAAAAATGTTTCCAAGAAGATGCAACTGAAAGATTAACTGATGTGCTTGGATGTACCAAGCAGCAGTTTGTGCTGCTGAATAAGGGTTTGGGATGAAGTGAGATAGAAAACTAAGAAGTCGGCCGGGCGCGGTGGCTCACGCCTGTAATCCGAGCATTTTGGGAGGCCAAGGCAGGCGGATCACGAGGTCAGGAGATCCAGACCATCCTGGCTAACACGGTGAAACCCCGTCTCTACTAAAAATACAACAAAAAAATTAGCCAGGCGTGGTGGCGGGCACCTGTAGTCCCAGCTACTCGGGAGGCTGAGGCAGGAGAATGGCGGGAACCCGGGAGGCGGAGCTTGCAGTGAGCCAAGATGGCGCCACTGTACTCCAGCCTGGGTGACAGAGTGAGGCTCTGTCTCAAAAAAAAAAGAAAAAAGAAAACCAAGAAGTCAAATAAATAAAAATAAGGCAATATTATTACAAGGAAAACAAAAGACTGTGGAAGAAAAAAAATAACTGCAGTGTTTTACTTAGCACAGGAGATGAAGAGGATTTATACAATCACAATATTGTAAACTTTCAATATTGAGCTAGCCCAAATTATGACTGAAGTATGTTGGAAGAATGATGAAACAGTAAGTAGGGTGAGGGTAGAGGGAGTAGTGGTGCTGGTGAAAGTCAGACAGTTTATTTATTTATTTATTTATTTATTTATTTTGAGACGGGGTTTCACTCTTGTTGCCCAGGCTGGAGTGCAATGGCACAATCTCGGCTCACCACAACCTCCACCTCCCGGGTTCAAGCGATTCTCCTGCCTCAGCCTCCTGAGTAGCTGGGATTATAGGCATGCACCACCATGCCTGGCCAATTTTTGTATTTTTAGTAGAGATGGGGTTTCTCCATGTTATTCAGGCTGGTCTCGAACTCCCGACCTCAGGTGATCTGCCCACCTCAGCCTCCAAAAGTGCTGGGATTACAGGCGTGAGCCACCACGCCTGGCACATTTTTTTTCTTTTGTGGAAAGTTGATACACAATGCTTAAGACTAAACACACACACACACACGCACACACACAGTTATTTAGTGATACAGAGGTAAATTTTAAAAGCAACAGCTACAAGAGTTCAAAGAGTTTGCATCTAAGAGCAAAAAAGCTGAGGAATTCAGGGATGGGGGACAGGAGGCTGTAGTTTCTCATAATAAACATTATGGACCTACTTGATGCTTTAAACTGCATACACGTATACAAATGAAAATTGAAAAGCAGTTGAGAAAGATTTAAATTTGGATAAGTTTCCCATATAATCATATGTGCCATCTTGAATCCTCTCAGCTCCATCAGTTTATGAGGGTCTTGGCCACTTGTTCTGTCCCAACCAGTTCCGCATGGGCACAGCTCCGTGCAGGCACAACCCGACAGTATTCTCACCTCCGGCCCCCACGGGCTGTTCCATGCTTGCTTGTGTTCCAAATGCTATGGGATCCACTCAATGTCCATGCATGTGCCAGATGGTTCCCCAAGATCAAGAAATCAATCGTGATTAACATCAAGCAGTGGCCAGATCAATCACGTACTTTCATATGAGTTCTCCCTTTTTTCCTATTTCCCCCTCTTCTAGCTTTCCTGTGCTTGCGCTCCCTAACACATTACTAGCCCTTCACTTTTACTTCAATTCTCAAGCCCTAGACAGTGGCCCTAGAAAGCAACCTTTGGTTTGAGATTTGGTGTTGGATTGTTCAGATCATACTTAATAGTGAAAGACTGAATGCTTTCTCCCTTAAAATCAGGAACAAGGCAAGGATGTTTTCTGTCACTACTGCTAGTCAACACCAGAAAGGAATTCCTAGCCAATGCAGTAAGGCAAGGAGAAAAGACATACAGCCAAGAAAGAAGAAAGAAAGAAAGAGAGAGAGAGAGAGAAGAAGAAAAAAAGAAAGAAAGAGAAAGAAAGAAAGAAAGAGAGAGAGAGAAAGAAATCTGCCTGTCTTCACACACAAGATTGTATATGTTGGCTGGATGAGGTGGCTCACGCCTGTAATCTCAACACTTTGGGCGGCTGAGGAGGGCAGATCACTTGAGGTCAGGAGTTCAAGACCAGACTGGCCAACATGGTAAAACCCCATCTCTACTAAAAATACAAAAATTAGTCAGGCGTGGTGACACATGCCTGTAGTCCCAGCTACTTGGGAGGCTGACACACGAGAATCACTTGAACCTGGAAGGCAGAGGTTGCAGTGAACCAGCAGCACGCCACTGCACTCCAACCTGGGTGATATAGTGAGACTCTATCTCAAAAAAAAAAAGAAAAAAGACTTTATATGTTTAAAAATCCCATAGAACTAAAAAGTTTAGCAAGGTCACAGGATGTAAATCAATATACAAAGATAAAAAATAAATAGTATATTCCTATACACTCCCAATGAATGACTAGAAATGAAAACTAAGAGATAGTGCTGAAAAAATAAATATTTGAGTATAAATCTGTATGCTGAAGGCTACAGAACATTAATGAAATAATACCTAAATAAATGGAGACATATACCATGTTCATGGATTAGAAGACTCAATATTGTGAAGCTGTCAACTGTGGTCAAGCTGATCTACAGATTCAATCCAATCCCAAAGAAAATCTAAGGATAATTGTTAGTAGAAGTCAACAAGCTAATTCTAAAATTTATATGAAAAAGAAAAGGAAATGGAATAACAAAAAGAGTTTTTAAAAAGAACAAAGTTAGGAGAGTGACATCATCTGATTTCAAGACTTAGTATTAATATAAAGCTACAGTAAGCAGACAGTGTGGGAATGGTAAAGGGACAGACATACAGGTCAGTGGAGCAGAGAATTCATAAATGGAACCACACAAATGTGGCCAAGTGATTTTTATTTATTTATTTTGGAGACAGAGTCTCACTCTGTCACTCAGGTAGGAGTGCAGTGGTGTGATCTCAGCTCACTGCAACCTCCAAGGTTCAAGCACTTCTCGTTCCTCAGCCTCCCAAGTAGCTGGGACTACAGGCAGGCACACACCACCATGCCTGGCTAATTTTTTTATTTTTTTTTTAAAGATGGGTTTTTGCCATATTGGCCAGGCTGGTCTCGATTCCTGACCTCAGGTGATCCACCTGCCTCGGCCTCCCAAAGTGCTGGGATTACAGGCGTGAGCCACCACGCCCGACCTGTATTTTTTTTTTTTTTAAGATGGGTTTTTGCCATATTGGCCAGGCTGGTCTTGACTCCTGACCTCAGGTGATCTGCCCGCATCAGCCTCCCAAAGTGTTGGGATTACAGGCATGAGACACTGCATCCGGCCAGCCAAGTGACTTTTGAGAAAGATGCGAAGGCAATCTAATTGAGAAAGGATAACTTTTTTTTTTTTTTTCCAGAAATGGGGTTGGAAAAACTGGATGGCCACATGTGGGAAAAAAAAAAAGAATGTCAACCCTTATCTCACATGTTATACAAAAATTAACTCAAAATTTATCATACACTTCAATATAAAATGTAAAACAATAGAGCTTTTAGAAAAAAACATTGGGGAATTGTAACCTTGGGATAAGCAAAGTGTTCTTAGATATGACACCAATGCATGATCCATAAAAGAAATAATAAACTAGATTTCCTTCAAAATTTAAACATTTACTTGTATTAATTTTGTTAAGAGAATGAAAAAATAAGGCCAGGCACGGTGGCTCACGCCTATAATCCTAGCACTTTGGGAAGCCGAGGCAGGCAGATCACCTGAGGTCAGGAATTTGAGACCAGCCTGGCCAACATGGTGAAACCCCGTCTCTACTAAAAATACAAAAGTTAGCCAGGCGTGGTGGCATATGTCTGTAATTCCAGCTACTTGGGAGGCTGAGGCAGGAGAATCGCTTGAACCCGGGAGGCGGAGGTGGCAGTGAGCCAAGATCGTGCCACTGCACTCCAGTCTGGGTGACAGAGTGAGAATCTGTCTAAAAAAAAAAAAAAGAATGGAAAAATAAGCCACAGTTTGGGAAAAAATATTTGCAAACCAAATATCCAACAAAAGATTTATATCCAGATTATATAAAGAACTCTAGGAGCTTAACAATAAAAAGACAAACAGGCCAGGCACAGTGGCTCACGCCTATAATTCTAGCACTTTAGGGAGCCAAGGTTCATGGGTCGCTTGAGCCAGGTATTTGAGACCAGCCTGGGCAACATGGTGAAACCCCACTTGTACAAAGAATACAAAAATTAGCCAGGTGTGGTGGTGCACACCTGTGGTCTCAGCTACTTGGGAGGCTGAGGTGGGAGGATCACTTAAGCCTGGGAGGTCAAAGCTGTACTACTGAGCCATGATCACAGCACTGCACTCCAGCCTGGGTGACAGAGCAAGACCCTGTCTCCAAAAAAAAAAAAAAGACAAACAATATGGTTTTTTTTTTTTGACACAGTTTCATTCTTGTGGGTCAGGCTGGAGTGCAATGGCACAATCTTGGCTCACTGCAACCTCCACCTCCTGGATTCAAGCAATTCTCCTGCCTCAGCCTCCCAAGTAGCTGGGATTACAGGCGTGAGCCATCACGCTTGGCTAATTTTTGTATTATTAGTAGAGACGGGGTTTCACCATGTTGGCCAGGCTGGTCTCAAACTCCTGACCTCAAGCAATCCACCCACCTTGGCTTCCCAAAGTGCTGGAATTACAGGCCTGAGCCGCCGCACCGGGCCACAATACAATTTTTTAAATGGGCAAACGATTTGAACAGATACTTATCAAAGAAGATATATGAATGGTAAATTAATGAATGAAAAGATACTCAATGTCATTCCCTAGTCACTAGGAAAATTTATATGAAAACCACATTGGGATGCTATTACACTTATTAAAATGGCTAAGTTCTAAAAAACAAACAATATCAAGTGCTATCAATATCATAGCATGACCAAGCCGGATTTATTCCAGGAAGCAAGAGTGATTCAATAATTTTAAGAGTTTAAAAAATCAACCAACATAAGACTGAGCACGGTGGCTCACGCCTGTAAACCCAACACTTTGGGAGGCTGAGGTGGGAAGATCCCTTGAGCCCAGGAGTTCGAGACCAGCCTGGACAACACAGTGAAACACAGGCCAAGGTGGGGGGATCACCTTAGGTCAGGAGTTTGAGACCAGCCTGGCCAACATGGCGAAACTTCATCTCTACCAAAAATACAAAAATTAGCCAGACGTGGTAGTGCATGCCTGTAATCCCAGCTACTCCAGAGGCTGAGGCAGGAGAATAGCTCGAACCCAGGAGGCAGAGATTGCAGTGAGCCGAGATCTCACCATTGTACTCCAGCCTAGGTGACAGAGTGAGACTCTGTCTCAAAAAAACAAACAAACAAACAAACAAAAAACCAGATTAATAAGAGAAGAACATAACAGAGGGCCAGGCGCGGTGGCTCACACCTGTAATCCCAGTACTTTCGGAGGCCGAGGCGGGCAGATCAGAGGTCAGGGGATCGAGACATCCTGGCCAACATGGTGAAACCCTGTCTCTACTAAAAATACAAAAATCAGCTGGGCGTGGTGGTACATGCCTGTAGTCCCAGCTACTTGGGAGGCTGAGGCAGGAGAATGGCTTGAACCAGGGAGTTGGAGGTTGCAGTGAGCAGAGGTCGCACCACTGCATTCCAGCCTGGTGACAGAGTGAGACTCCTTCTCAAAAAAAAAAAAAAAAAAAAAAGCCGGGCGCAGTGGCTAATGCCTGTAATCCCAGCACTTTGGGAGGCCGAGGTGGGTGGATTACCTGAGGTCAGGTGTTCAAAACCAGCCTGGTCAACAGGGCGAAACCCCGTCTCTACTAAAAATACAAAACTTAGCCTGGTGTGGTGGCATGCACCTGTAGAACCAGCTACTCTGGAGGCTGAGGCAGGAGAATCACTTGAACCCGGGATTGTGCCCCACTGCACTCCAGCCTGGGCAACAGAGCGAGATTCCATTAAAAAAAAAAAAAGAACATAATAAATATATTTCATAATAGTTTTACTTGATTATGGGAGCTTTCAGAATGAAGACCCAAAGACCCAGGGTGAACTGTGCACTTTTATACTTAGGTTCAATCAAGTATAGACAACTGCATAGAAATATGATTGGACCAAAAGGGTGTGATCTAATAGTAAGAGGCTGAGTATGGAAACCCAGCAAGGCCAGTCTGTTTAGACTTTTCTTGGCCTCTCTGTGCACGTTCCTTCCTTCCAGGTATGCGGCAGGACGTTCCCTGGAATGAGGGTCCCATGACCTACAATCAAACAAGGTAGGTCAGAAAAATGTCTTTCTGGCCAGCTGTTACACAGAAAGGTGAAGGAGGGTTAGGGTCATATTTGTAGGCATTGTGGCTGGCTTCAGGGAAGAGGGTTCTGGTTTCTATGATCCACTTTGGGGAACAGGAATTGTAGTTTCCATGGCTCGCCTCAGGGGAGAATGAGGGGTGAGAGACAGAAGGGCAGGGAAAGGTCAGGGAGAAACTTTGCTTCTGAAGCTTTTACTTTGAGGCATTGTTTTCTGAGCCCCAACAACCTCAAGCCAGAAACAACCCAAATATCCACCAATAGGAGAATGTGGAACTATATTGTGGGCTAGTCACACAATGGAATACTAAACATTAAGAACAAGTGAACTGGCCGGGTGCAGTGGCTCACGCCTGTAATCCTAGCACTTTAGGAGGCCAAGGCAGGCAGATCACCTGAGGTCAGGAGTTCAAGACCAGCCTGGCCAACATGGTGAAACCCCATCTCTACTAAAAGTATAAAAATTGGGGCCGGGCACGGTGGCTCATACCTGTAATCCCAGCACTTTGGGAGGCCGAGGAGGGTGGATCACGAGGTCAGGAGACCGAGACCAGCCTGGCCAACATGGTGAAACCCCGTCTCTACTAAAACTACAAAAAATTAGCCGGGCATGGTGGCAGGCACCTGTAGTCACAGCTACTCGAGAGGCTGAGGCAGGAGAATCTCTTGAACCTGGTAGGTGGAGGTTGCAGTGAGCTGAGACCGCGCCTCTGCACCCCAACCTGGGCAACAGAGCGAGACTCTGTCTCAAAAAGAAAAAAAAGGATAAAAATTAGCCAGGCGTGGTGGTGCGTGCCTGCAATCCCAGCTACCTGGGAGGCTGAGGCAGGAGAATATCTGGAACCCGGGAGGCAGAGGCTCCAGTGAGCCGAGACTGTGCCACTTCACTCCAGCCTGGGCAATAGAGCAAGACTCTGTCTCAAAAAAAAAAAAAAAAAAGAACAATTGTACAATTGTGCTTCAGAACATCACACGTACTCCATAAATATATACACCTATTATGTACCCACACAAATTAAAAATTAGGCCAGGCACAGTGGCTCATGCCTGGAATTCCAGCACTTTGGGAGGCCAAGGTGGACGAATTGCTCAAGCGCAGGAGTTCGAGGCCAGCCTGGGCAACATGGTGAAACCCTGTCTGTGCCAAAACTATAAAAAATAGCTGAGTGTGGTGGCCACACATCTATAGTTCCAGGTACTCAGGAGGCTGAGGTGAGAGGATTGCTGGAGACCAGGAGATGGAGGTTGCAGTGAGTTGAGACTGTGCCACTGTACTCCAACCTAGGCAACCTTGTCTCAAAAAAAAAATTAAAAATGTGAAAAGAGAATGATTGAGCTATTGTTACACAGAACAACATTTATGAACTTCACAAACATAATATGAATAAGATAAGTCAAATGTAAATGAATATACTGAATGATTTCATTTATAAAAATTCCAAAAACAGGCAAAACTTTTCTATGATGATAAAAGTCGAATCCATGGTAATCTTCTAGGAGTTAATGACTTGGAGGGTATGAGGAACGCTTCTAGATGCTGATCATGCCCTAATCTTGATGGTAATTACATAGGTGTGTTCACTTTGTAAAAATTTATCAAACTAAACATTTAAGATTTCTGCCATTTTCTGTATATTATTCATTAATAAAATGTTTACTTGGCTGGGCGCGTTGGCTCATGCCTGTAATCCCAACACTATAGGAGGCCGAGGCAGGCAGATCACCTGAGGTCGGGAGTTCGAGACCAGCCTGACCCACATGGAGAAACCCCGTCTCTACTAAAAATACAAAATTAGCTGGGCGTGGTGGCACATGCCTGTAATCCCAGCTACTCAGGAGGCTCAGGCAGGAGAATCGTTTGAACCCAGGAGGCGGAGGTTGCGGTGAGCCGAGATCGCGCCATTGCACTCCAGCCTGGGCAACAAGAGCGAAATTCCATCTCAAAAATAAATAAATAAATAAAAACAAAATGTTTAAGCAAACAGCTTTGGCTTGTTTTATATAGATATCATTCAAAAATACTTGATAAATACTAAAAGGTATAGAAGAGAATAAAAATGACCCATATTCTCCCACTCCTGTTCACACTTTGGTGGGCCACCCCATTCAGTGTATACATATCCTAAAAGCCTCACTCACCGAAGACAAAATTTCACAAGCCATAGATCAAATGCTAAGGCTAGAAGGACACTGATATAAAAGCTGAAGGCACCGGGCACAGTGGTTCACACATGTAATACCCAGCACTTTGGTAGGCTTAGGCAGGAGGATCCCTTGAGCTCAGGAGTTCGAGACTAGCCTGGGCAACATAGTGAGACATGTCTCTACAAAAAATTTATATTTATTCTTATTTTTTTGAGACAGAGAGTCTCACTCTATGGCCCAGGCTGGATTGCAGTGGTGCGATCATGGCTCACTGCAACCTCCACCTCCCGGGTTCAGGCAATTCTCATGCCTCAGCCTCCTAAGTAGCTGAGATTACAGGCATGCATCACCATGCCCAGCTAATTTTTGTATTTTTAGTAGAGACAGGGTTTCACCATGTTGGCCAGGCTGGTCTCAAACTCCTGGCCTCAAGTGTTCCACCCACCTCGGCCTCCCATAGTGCTAGGATTACAGGTGGCACCACCATTCCTGGTCTTTTTTTATTTTCAATTTTTTTGTGGACAAAATTTTTTTAAAAAATTAGCTGGGCTACTCAGGAGGCTGAGGTGAGAGGATTGCTTGAGCCCAGGAGGTTGAGGCTGCAGTGAGCCATGATTGCACCACTGCACTCCAGCCTGGGCAACAGAGCAAGACTTTGTCTCAATAAATAAATAAATAAATAAAAGCTCACGAGATGGAATAAACTCTTGACTAGACACAAAGAGAGAGGTGGATAATAGAAAGCTAAAACTGAAGAATTCACATAGAAGGCAATACAGCAAAAGTGATGAAAAATATCAAAGAAAATTAGGAGAAATGGAGGATAATATTAGAAGGTCAAGCATCCATATGATAGGAATTTCTAGAAGTACCATATAGAGGGAATGACAAGAGAGGCATAGTCAAAGGCATAAAGGCTGAGAATTCTCAAAAAGTGAGTAAGTTCTCAGAATAAAGAGACATGAGTTCTCAGAATAAAGAAGCCCAATGAAAGACAGGCTAAATAAGTAAAAATACACATTTCGCCTAGATACACTGTAATTCAGAATGCCAAAAATAAGGATAAAATCTTAAAAGCAACTCTGAGGGAGAAAAACAATTACCTACAAAGAAATGACAAATAAACCAACAGAATTCTCCTGAGCCACAAAAGGAGCAAGAAAACAATGGAATAATACCTTTAGGGTGTTGAGGAAAATTAACTACCAACTCAGATTAACATACCTAGCTAAACTGTCAGTAAAGAGTGTGAGCAGGCTGGGTGAGGTGTCTCATGCCTGTAATCCCAGCAGTTTGGGAGGCCAAGGTGGAAGGATCGCTTAAGCCCAGGAGTCGAGACTAGCTCTGGTAACTTAGCGAGATCCTGTTTCTACAAAAAATTTAAAAATTAACTAGGCATGGTGGCACATGCCTATAATCTCAACTACTTGGGAGGCTGAGGTGAGACAATCCCTTGAGCTGGAGAGATCAAGGCTGAAGTGACTCCTGATCATGCCATTGCAGCCCAGCCCGCGTGACAGAGCTAAAACAAAAAAGGGGAGTGAAAGGAAAATGTTTTCTTCTTTTTCTTTTCTCTTTTTTTTTTTTTGAGATGGAGTCTCACTTTGTTGCCCAGGCTGGAGTGAAGTGGCACCATCTTGGCTCACTGCAAACTCCGCCTCCCGGGTTCAAGCGATTCTCCTGCCTCAGCCTCCTGAGTAGCTGGGATTACAGGCACCCACCACCACACCTGGCTAATTTTTGTATTTTCAGTAGAGATGGGGTTTCACCATGTTGGTCAGGTTGGTCTCAAACTCCTGACCTCGTGATCTGCCCACCTCAGCCTCCCAAAGTGCTGGGATTACAGGCATGAGCCACCGCACCTGGCCCAATGTTTTCTTCTTCTTCATTTCAACACTATCCACTTGGAGAGGAAAGCATTTTCAAACCTACAAATCCCAAGATTTTTCACCCCCAAACTTTTGCTGCAAAAACTCTTAAAAGAGATTCTCTGCCAAAAAGAAACATAAATTAAAAGGGAAGGAGTATCAAGGAGCGGTAGTGAACAAATAATTTAATAAATGATATTGGTAAATCTAGCTATTATCCTAGGATAGAAGTTCAGCTGCTCTGACAGAGATCCAAAATACTAGCAGCTCACAAAGATAGAATTTTCTTTCTCCCTAAGTAACAGTCTGGGCATAAATAGTCATACGGCAGCTCCGAGTTATTGGAGACTCAGGTTCCTTATGTTTTCTTTCTTTCTTTCCTTTTTTCTTTTTTTTTTTTGAGACAGAGTCTCGCTCTTGTTGCCCAGGCTAGAGTGCAGTGGCATGATCTCAGCTCACTGCAACCTCCACCTCCCGGGTTCAAGTGATTGTCCTGCTTCAGCCTCCTAAGTATCTGGGATTACAGGTGCCCGCCAGTATGCCAGCTGATTTTTGTATTTTTAGTAGGAACGGGGTTTCACCATGTTGGCCAGGCTGGTCTCAAATTCCTGACCTCGTGATCGACCTGCCTCGGCCTCCCAAAGTGCTGGGATTACAGGTGTGAGCCACCACGCCCAGCTCGGGGCTTTTCTTTGAGACAGATCTTTGTTCTTGTTGCCCAGGCTGGAATGCAGTGGTGCAATCTCAGCTCACTGCAACCTCCGCCTCTGGGTTCAGGTGATTCTCCTGCCTCAGCCTCTCAAGTAGCTGAGATTACAGGTGCACATCACCACCCCCAGCTAATTTTTGTGTTTTTAGTAGAGATGGGGTTTCACCATGTTGGCCAGGCTGGTCTCGAACTCCTGACCTCAAGTGATCCAACCGCCTCATCCTCCCAAAGTGCTGGGATTATAGGCGTGAGCCACCACGCCCTGCCCCTTATGTTTTCTTGCTTCTTGATCCCTGTAATATTGCTCTGAACCCCCTAGTTCAAGATGGCTCACCACTGCACCCTCCTTCCCATCAACAGAAAGGGCAGGGTGTGCTGTTTCCTTTCAAGAGTAGGATCTGTAAGTCACACACACTGTATCACTCCTCTTACATCCCATAATCCATAGCTAGCTCCAAAGGAGGCTGGGAAATATAGTTCTTATCGGGTCTACCACATGTCCAGATAAAAAATTTTATTACTTTGCAAGACAGGAAGAGTGGATATTGGGGGACAACCAGCAACTCTGCCACAACCATTGTCTGTAAAAACTATATAATCCTAATGAAATTTTTGACATGAAATAATATAATTAAATCAAGAAGGAAATGTATCTAGGCAAGAAAGCCTGGAGCAGGGATATGTATTGAATGATCATTTGTACAGTTTGCAAAATGACACTCATTCAGTGTCAAGTGTCTGCAAAAGAGTGAAATTTCCATCTAAAATCAAGAAGTTCCATCTAAAATATAATAAGAAAAGACTAAGACTTTCACAAAGATGGAAGATCATGCAAATGACAATGTTAAGAATTAGATTGAGAGCCGGACGCGGTGGCTCATGCCTGTAATTCCAGTACTTTGGGAGGCCGAGGCAGGTGGATCACAAGGTCAGGAGTTCGAGACCAGCCTGGCCAACATAGTGAAACCCGGTCTCTACTAAAAATACAAAAAATTAGCCGGGCGTGGTGGCAGGTGCCTGTAGTCCCAGCTACTTGGGAGGCTGAGGCAGGAGAATCACTTGAACCCGGGAGGCAGAAGTTGCAGTGAGCCGAGATTGTGCCACTGCACTCCAGCCTGGGCAACAAGAGTGAAACTCTGGCACACACACACACAAAAGAATTAAATTGATACACTAAGATATGTCAAATCACATTCAGAAGACGGGCAGTAAATTTATACACTATCTAACTGTTAAAAAGGTGGAGTTCACATTTCAGACAAAAGTAACCAGGGTTATTTTTCAAGGTTTATGATATTTCCAGACTTACTATAATGCTACAGTAATCAGGACAATGGGATGTTGGCCTTAGGACAAACCAAAAGATCAATGGAGCAAGGAATCTAGAAATAGACCCATATATATATATATATTTTTTAAAGGCAGCTTAAAATAACAACTATATCTTCTTTTTTTGTTTTTTGAGACAGGGTCTTGCTTTGTAGCCTAGGCAAGGAGTGCAGTGGCATGATCATGGCTCAGTGCAGCCTCTCAACCTCTCAGACTCAAGCAATCCTCCCACCTCAGCCTCTCAAGTAGCTGGGACTACAGGTGTGTGCCACCACATCTGGCTAATTTTTAGATTTTTTATAGAGATGGGGTTTTGCGTTGTTGCCCAGGCTGGTCTGGAACTCCTGGGCTCAAGCAATCCTTACCTCTCAGCCTCCTAAAGTGCTGGGATCACAGGCATGCACCACCACACCCAGCCAACAATCCTGTCTTTGAAAACTAAGAAGCACATTTCTATTTCATAGGTTCAAGAGGAAATTGTTGCAGGAACGTTATTTCCTAATCTTGATGCTTCCTTCCATGCAGTGGGAGCTAAATCTGCATGACACACCCAGCCTCTCCCTTCTCCTTTCCACCCTCAGGCCTGGAGAAAGAGTGACTTACCTGACTGGTGAATGTGGGAACCGTAAAATGGGCCCACTTGACTCACCCACTCCCTTTCTCTTCCTGGGAGTGAGTGAGCCGCCCACAGGCAGTGGTCATTCTCTGCTCCTGCACCTGCCACCGCCAGCATCACAGTGACCAGGGGTTAAGGTGGCCAAATCCCCCTTTTCAGAAACCCATTTGGCTGTTTTACCTACCCTCATCCTCCAATCTTATTTCTATCAGTTTTTTTAAAAATGATTTTTTAAGGCCGGGTGCGGTGGCTCACATCTGTAATCCCAGCACTCTGGGAGGCCAAGGCAGGAGGACCCCTTGAAGCCAGGAGTTTGAGATCAACCTGGGCAACAAAGCAAGACCCCCATCTCTACAAAAAAAAAAAAAAAAAAAGTTTTAACCGCAAAAAAAAAAAAAAAAATTTTCCCTCCTCTGCTGACTCTTGCCTTATCTCTCAGTTAGTTCAGAATCCAGGAAGGAAAAGGGAAGTTATTCACTGAGCCCACTCAAAGACAACAGAAATCCCAATGGGAATTATGAAATATTTGCTCAATATGAAATATTTGCTCAATACAAAACAAAATTTGCAGAATGCAACTAAAAGGACATTTATGGAGAAATATATAATCTTAAGTGCATTTACTTTAAAACAAGAATGACTAAAACATACATGTGTAAAGCTTTCAACTAACTAAAGAAGCTTCAAACAAACAAAAAACAACAGTGGAAGGGAATAAACAATAAAGATAAGAGCATCAATGAAAAGGAAATCAACAATTACAGAATATTCAATAAAGCCCAAAGCTGTTTCTTTGAAATGACAAAATAGAAGAACATCTAGCAAGATTAATCAAGGAAAAGAAGAGTAAAGGCACAAATATCTAACATTAGGAATTTTAAAAAGTATGAAACTACAGATAGACTGGAAGTTTTAAGAATCATAAATGAAATAGAGAATTTACAGGAAAGCATAAATGATCAAAGTTTATTCAAAAACAAGAGAAACCCTGTCGGGTGCGGTGGCTCACGCCTGTAATCCCAACACTTTGGGAGGCCGAGGCGGGTGGATCACGAGGTCAGGAGATCAAGACCATCCTGGCTAGCACAGTGAAAGCCCATCTCTACTAAAAATACAAACAAAAAATTAGCCGGGCGTGGTGGCGGGCGCCTGTAGTCCCAGCTACTCGGGAGGCTGAGGCAGGAGAATGGCGTGAACCCGGGAGGCGGAGCTTGCAGTGAGCTGAGATCGCACCACTGCACTCCAGCCTGGGCGACAAAGTGAGACTCAGCCTCAAAACACACACACACACACACACACACACACAAAAACAAGAGAAACCCTAAATAAATCAATGGCCATTAAAGAAAAGAAATCAGCATTTTAAAAAATCACGCTTTGGCCGGGCGCGATGGCTCATGCCTGTAATCCCAGCACTTTGGGAGGCCAAGGTGGGCAGATCACAAGGTCAGGAGTTCAAGACCAGCCTGACCAACAGGATGAAACACTGTCTCTACTAAAAATACAAAAATTAGCCAGGCGTGGTGGTGCGCACCTGTAATCCCAGCTACTCAGGAGGCTGAGGCAGGAGAATCGCTTGAACCCGGGAGGCAGAGATTGCAGTGAGCTGAGATGGTACCACTGCACTCCAGCCTGGGCAACAGAGCAAGACTCCATCTCAAAAAAAAAACAAAAAAACCAAAAAAAAATGAGCCAGGTGTGGTGGCACGCACCTGTAATCCCAGCTACTCGGGAGGCTGAGGCAGGAGAATTGCTTGAACCTGGGAGGCAGAGGTTGCAGTGAGCCGAGATCATGCCACTGCACTCCAGCCTGAGCAACAGAGACACCGTCTCAAAAATAAATAAATAAAACTTAAAAAAATAAAAAATCACCCCTCCTACTCTCCACCTCCCCAGAGAAACCCCATATGCGGTGGACAGAAATGAGACCGAGATGTTTCTCAGAGGCAGAAGGAAGACAGGAACAGCTAGGGGTCTGGAAGTATTTGAGTCTCATGATCTCATCCTTACTCAGGGCTGCTCCATTCCTGTCCTTATCCCTGTTTTGTTTCACGTGGACTCCTAAGTTCTCCTTTTCCTTAGGCACATTCGGCTTGGTGTCTGTCATCGTATGTAACCTGAATACAAGCAGGGTACTAAATGTCCCAGTCATTTTCAAAAAATGATGGAGTGGCACAGTGTCTCACATGGTCCCAGGGTTCCCCTTTACACAAATACCTTCAAAATTCCACATTGGTGGCCACTGCTAAAAACAAGCTTTCCTTCTCTGTCTGCTTCTGAAACACCTCCCTAGCAGCTGATCCTACGTGCTTCCTTCCTTTGTGCCACATCAGCCCAGTCTTGGGTGGGGGGCTTCTGGTCCCACCTGCTGTTCTGCTCTTGGAGGGCCAGAGAATCCTAGATCTCCATGCCAGCCACGCAGCCCCCATCCTCCCCAGTCCCCTGGGGAAATCTTGGTGAGGAATTTCAGGTAACTCAAGTTTGCCTCCCTGTTGTACTGGAACCCATTCTCTACTTCTCAGAGCTCTTAAGCGGATTCAGTGCAAGGTGTTCAGCCCCGGTCTGACACAGGGCTGGGCCTTAAGAGTTCAGTATATGACGTATCTCCTTCATCCTCCACCCCAATGCCAACACAGAGCCTGGCCAAGCAGCACTTCCTCTAGAGGGAAATTTCCTCTAGTAGAAGGCAGAGAACGGGAGGAGCTCTAGACCACTGGGTAAGAGACTTCGGGGGCTACCGAATGACAGAGTTAAAAGGGACTTCAGGGCTGGGCATGGTGGCTCACGCCTGTAATCCCAGCACTTTGGGAGGCTGAGGCGGGTGGCTCACTTGAGGTCAGGAGTTCAAGACCAGCCTGACCAATATGGTGAAACCCCGTCTCTACTAAAAATACAAAATTTAGCTGGGTGTGGTGGTGTGTGCCCGTAGTTCCAGCTATTCGGGAGACTGAGGCAGGAGAATCGCTTGAACCTGGGAGGCAGAGGTTGCAGTGAGCCGAGATTGTGCCACTGCACTCCAGCCTGGGTGAGAGAGCGAGACTCCATCTCAAAAAAAAAAAAAAGGAAAGGGAAGGACTTCAGGCGTGAGCAACCAGGTTATTGCTCAACCTTGAATTTTTCTTCTGGAAGACTCTGGCATACACAGTCCCTTGTAGTAAGCTCCCAGCATGGAAGAAGGCACCAAGACAGAGACTGGGTAAGAACTGAGGGTCCATTGAAAGTCCTTAGAATCAATGCCCTTGAGCGGACAGACTCCCCAGCAGCCCTGCAGGCATTGTCAGAGGATAACCCGATGTTCTAACCCCTCCTGTCAGGCCACCATCATTCAAGCACAACTACACATGTGGAGGCCCAGCCGGGAAACCAGTAGCTGGTCAAACGCGTTGCAATAAATATATTTTCAGCCAATGATAACTATTTAATTGGGTCCTAATTAATGAATGTTCACAGAGCATTTGTGATGCTTCAGAGAACGGTCCCCTGAAAGACACAAGTGCTATGAGTCTATTAGCAGTGGCATTTTAAGGCACTCAAAATTGTAGGTGTGCTAGATCCCAGAAGATTACATTCACTGAAAGTGAACATTAAAATTAGTGCCCTTGTGTGACCCCACCTTTCTCCACTCCTTCTTTCCTCCTTCCTGCTTCCAGAAACATCACGGGTCTGACAGAGCCATGTGGTGGGAATAAGGCTCTTGTAGACTCACAACATTTGACTCTCAGGCTGAGAACTAGACCTTCTCACCTGGGACTCCACGGGGGCAGGTGTGGGTCTCCTTCATTCATGGCTGCACCCCAGCCCCTAGTGTAGGGCTGGCCTGGCACCAATAAGGGGCCTCATCTCTCAGAAGGATGAATACATGAAATGTTAGCCTCAACTTATCAGAGCGCTGGGCTCCCAGCCTCTCCATAGCAGGATCACAGACTGCTGGGCTCCTAGCACCCTAGACTGAAGGATGTGGAGGGCAGCACCCCTATTCTGCAGATGCAAAACCAAGAAACTTCAGGGCTTCCGCCTCACACTTCTGGTTGTTGGAGCAGGAGAGGAATGGAGAGAAGGAAGGAAAGGGGGCGAAGGAAAAGTCTTCTCTCCTGGTTATCAAGGGACACCCCATGAGCTGGGACAGCAACAGAAGCTCCCTCTCCCCAGAGGGCCCCAGGACCCCTCCACTTTCCCTGCTCTGCCCTCATTCTCCCCTCCACAGGGCCAGGAAAGGCAAGGTAGCTCTGGGAGCTGAGAAGATCCTGAAGGAAGAGTGTGGGCTGTGACCTGCCCCCATGGGCTGCACTCTCCCTCTCCCACGCTGGGGAATTCCACCAGGGCTCAGGGAGTTCTTTCATCCGCCCCTGGGTGAATCTTGGACTCTTTTTTTGAGATAGAGTTTCATTCTTGCTGCCATTACAATGGCACAATCTTGGCTCACTGCAACCTCTACCTCCCGGGTTCAAGCGATTCTCCTGCCTCAGCCTCCCAAGCAGCTGAGACTACAGGTGCACACCACTGCGCCTGGTTAATATTTTTGTGTGTATTTTTAGTAGAGATGGGGTTTCATCACGTTGGCCAGGCTGGTCTCGAACTCCTCGAACTCCTAACCTCAGGTGATCCGCCTGCCTCGGCCTCCCAAAGTGCTGGGATTACAGGTGTGAGCTACCGCGCCCGGCCAAAACTTGGACTCTTTTATTGAGCTGTTCTCCCTAATCCACCTTCCATTTCCACTCAATGGGACTCACTAGTTAGCGGGCTATGGATCCACTGGGGAGGGTTGTGTGGCCCAAGATGATGGAGAAAGAGCTCCAGTCGGTCCCGGGAGGCCTGGCCTTTTTTGGACCAGTTTCCCTGACTGGAAAATAAGCTTTGATTAGAAGAGCTCTGAGCCCCCTTGCAGCTCCAATCTGCTCAGATTTTATTTTTTTATGGACTCCATTCTTGAGCAGTGCAGCCTTGGGCAAGTCACCAAAGCGAAATCCTGGTAGCTCATCTGTAAAATGGGCACATTACTGGAGGAAGCCTGGCAGCAGGGGGGTGGGGGAGCTTCTCACCACTGCCCACTCCTTGCTGCACGTCTCTTGGGTCCACCTTGGAGGGGGTTCGCAGCTCACAGTTAAGAGCTCAGACCTGGGTGTCTGGCAAGGCTGGCTTTGAGTTCCAGCTTCACCGGTGACTGACTGCGTGTCAGCAGCTCAGGCCCTGCCTTTCAGTCTCCTCATCCATAGAAAGGAATGTAATGAGTACCAACTCCCTAGGATTGCTGGGAGACAATACCTTTAAGCTCATGGCATGTCCTAAGTGCCAACTCAGTGCCAACTGTCACTTTGTGATTGGCTGAAGTTTCCAGGGCTCACGGCCTGGAGAGGGCCACTGGCTCAGGGACAGAGCCAGAACCAGATCTTGAGGTCCCAAGGAGTGATGTACATGCAGCAGTGAGCACAGGCTGTTCCTGGCTGCCCTGTCCCCTCCCCACTTGCTACAAACCTTTCTCTGAGAAGCCCAGGATCTCACGGAGGCTCTAAGATCTGCAAGGGCCCGACCCATCTCTGGAAGAACCCTATGTGACAGGCCTCCTTCCCTCGTCTGCCCCTTCCCAGGCTCTGCAAGGCCAACTCTCCCAGAAGGCAGCAGCACGTCCTGCCTGCTGCTTTGCTGGGCTCAGAGGAAACCCTGTCCCAGCCCGCCGGAAGGTGGTGACTTCCCGGGCTGCTGTGTCCAGAGGCAAGCGGCCAGGCTCCACCAGGACCCGTGAAACAAGAACTGGAGCCTTGACCCTGGTTGGTCTGAGTGTGTGTGTGTCCTTGTGGAAGTCATGCTTTGGACCTTTGCCTTTGGCTCCCTGTTTGTTCCTGGAGTGCCATGATACACCCACCAGCCCTGGCCCAAATCCCCCTGCCTCCTGGACACTTAGCTCAGGCGTCTCAGCTGAGGCTCCCTCTCTATTTATGCACTGGGCTCCAGTATTTGCAGGCTTCTTTTAGAGCCTTAATAGTAAACTTTCCCAACTGGGGCTCACACCCATGGTTGTGCTTGAATGATAGTGGTCTGACATGAGGGGGTTAGAAAACTCGGTTATTCTCTGATGATGCCTGCAGGGCTGCTGGGGAGTCTGTCTGCTCAAAGGCATCGATTCTAAGGACTCCAAATGGACCCTCGGTTCTTGTCCAGTCTCTGTCCTCGTACTTCCTTCCATGCTGGAAGCTTACTAAAAGGGACCGTGTATGCCAAGAGCTACTGGTGTTATCTCCTTAAACCCTCCCAACCTAGCCCCATGAGGTGGCGCCGACTGACAATTCTATTCCCATTTGACAGCTGGGCCAGCTGAGGTTCCAAGTATAATTTGCCCAAGGACACACCCAGCCAGGAAGTGGAAGGGCGGAATTTAAACCCAAAGCTACTGACTGGACTCCAGAGTTCAGCTTTTACCCTCCTCCCTGGGCAGCCTCCACTCTGCCTGCCAGGGCCTGAGTTCTCAGAGGGCAGGGGCTGTTTCCGGCTCAGCCCAGGTGCCGTCCAGGGCCCAGTGCAAGGCCCAGGACCTGGCTGGTATCTAGGTGGCACCGAATGCATTCAGTCTACTGACAGAAGCAATACAATGTGTGTGCGTGACAGAGAGGCTGTCAGACACACAGGAACAGAGGGAGAGGAGAGAGAGAAAGAGAAAGAAAAATAGGAGGAGGCTCACGGGGTAGGCCGGTGTCTGGTCCAGAGCCCCTCAACCCACAGCCCAACCAGAGAGGAGGACCCCCGGTGCTGGAGAGTGGGACACCCGAGCCTACCCGCGGTGCTGGGCCCTACTCAAGGCTGTAAACCAGAATGTAGAGGTGGTAATAGGGAGCCGCAGATGGTCCGGGAGCAGGGGAGTGACGCAGTGCGGTGCCCACACCACCTGATTGGGTGCAGAAGACACCAGCCCAATCCCACGAGAGCTGGGCGGACCCGGCGGACCGCGAGGGAAGGAGGGGGTGGGCGCAAGTGGCAGCCCTCCTGCCCGTGTCAGAGCCCACGCGACCGCTCCAGGCGGGCTCGTTCTCGGGGGAGAGGGGACGGCCAGCGGGAGCGGCCGGACTCTGGGATTTGGGGAGGCCGTGGGGGAACGGTTCACTGGCCTTCTGGGGCGGAAAGCGGGCGAGGCGACCCCCAAGAGAGCCCCGGCCGGGACGCGCGGACCCCAGAAGCTCGGGCGGGGGCGCCCCTCGGAGGAATGTTTCCGGGGCCCGGACCGCGCCGCCGCCGCAGCCTTTCCTCCCTCTCCCCGCCCGGCTCGCCGGCCGCCCTCGCGCCCCCTCCAGGGCCCCCTATCTTCCCCCACCCGAACCCCACATCACTGCCCTCCGGGCCGGCTGCGCCCAGGCACTTGGTGCAGATGTAACCTCTCCGCGGGCCCCGCCTCCGCCGGGAAGCCGCGCGCGGTTGCCAGGAACGCGGCAGGCGATCGGAGCTGGACGGCGGCCCGGGCATCTCGGCACTGGCGGCGCTCGGCCCTCCTGGGCGGCCCTGGCCCGGCCCTCTCCCCACTGGCGCCGCTGCGCTTGCTCCGATTCCCTCCGCGGGGCTGAGCCTCTCCACCGCGCCCCTACCCTCCGATTCCGGTCTCTTCCGCTGCCTCGGATTCTTTCCCTCCTGTGTTCCCGCTCCTCCCCGATCACCTCCTACTCGCCCCCTTTCCTTCTGGAGCAGAGAGTACAAGAAAAGGGGTTCATCCACCCCACTCTTCGCCAGCCCGCTGTGGGGTGGTTGGGGTCCCCATGTCCCCCTTGGTAACACCTTCCCCACCGTCTCCCCAGGATCTCAGGAGCCCCCTCTCCCTCAGACAAACAGATCTTAAGCTGGGCTTTGTGGATGACCTTGGGTGGGGGGTGTCCCTGAAATTCTGTGTCACATTTGGGGTGCATTTGTCTGGAGAGAATCCAAACATTTCATCGGTTTCTCAAAGACACCAGTGGTTAAGAAAGGTTAAAAAAAAAAGCAGTCCCAGGTCGGGCGCGGTGGCTCACGCCTGTAATCCCAGCACTTTGGGAGGCCGAGGCAGGCAGATCACTTGAGGTCAGGAGTTCAAGACAAGCCTGGCCAACATGGCAAAACGCCGTCTCTACTAAAATACAAAAATTAGCTGGATGTAGTGATGCGCACCTGTAATGCCAGCTACTCCGGGAGGCTGAGGCATAAGAATCACTGCAGCCTGGGAGACCGAGGTTGCAGTGAGCTGAGATCTCACCACTGCACTCCAGCCTGGGCGTCAGGGGGAAACTGTGTCTAAAAAAATGAAAACAGGCCAGGTGCTGTGCGTGGCTCACAACTCTAATCCCAGCACTTTGGGAGGCCAAGGCAGGCGGATCACTTGAGGTCAGGAGTTCAAGACCAGCCTAGCCAACATGGTGAAACTCCGTCTCTACTAAAAATACAAAAATTAGCTGCACGTGGTGGTGCATGCCTGTAATCCCAGCTACTTGGTAGGCTGAGGCAGGAGAATCCCTTGAACCTGGGAGAAGGTTACAGTGAGCTGAGATCAAGCCACTGCATTCCAGCCTGGACGACAGAGCAAGACTGTGTTTCAAACAAACAAACAAACAGAACACCACAGCCCCAGTGATGCCTCCCATGCACCTTACTAATCTATGCAGCACTTATTTATTGAAGACCTACTATGCTCCAAGTGCATTCTAAGCCCTAGGGCTGCAGCTAGGAACTCTAGACAAGGACCTCACAGGAGACAAAGGGGTCATGACAGGTGCTCTGGGGCTGGGAAGGAACTGGGGAGAGGCATGAAAAGGAATGACAGGTGGGCTTCACCCAGGGCTGAGGTGTGGGGTGTCTCTGAGGACTTCACAGGGGCACTGGCACCTACCTGGCCTGCCCCCAGCCTCCCCACTTCCAGAACTTACCTTAGGAGTGCAGCCCTTGCCCACTCTGTTCCCACAGCTATGGTAAATAGGACTCAAAACATACTTGGGCCGGGGGGGTGGAGGTCCCCAACTCTACCCCACCCTCTGCTCTCAGTGAGCTGAGATCGAGCCACTGCACTCCAGCCTGGAGTAGGTAGAGCCCAGAGTGGCCCAAAGGTCTGTTATATGGAGACAGGCTCCAATTTTGAGTCTGTGTTTGTTTTATCGTTAAGAACAACAGCTAGCATGTATTGAGCACTTTCTATGCAGCAAGCACTGCAGTAAGCATTTTTTGTGCCTTTATTCACCACTTGAGCAAGTTTTCTACAGAGCCCCTCCCCTTGCCAGGCACTGTGCCAGATGCTGGGGCTATGCAGTGGGGAGGCAGACAGGCCCTTGCCCTCATGGAGCTCACAGACTGGTAGAAGAGACAACAAATGAATTCAGAACGAAGCGCAGCCTGTCATAAGGACCAGAAATGAAATCAGCGAGGTAATGAGATGGACAGCAACCAGCCAGCAAGGGAGGACGGGGCGGCTGCTTTGGATAGGGGTGGTGTCTTGGGCTATAACAAAATGCCTTAGACTGGGTCATTTATAAACAATAGAAATTTATTTCTCACAGTTCTGGCGGCTGGGAATTCCAAAGTCAAGGCACCAACAGATTTAGTGTCTGGTTAAGGACTTGTTCTCTGCTTCCAAGATGGTACCTTTTAGCTGTTTAGCTGTGTCCTCACATGGAGGAAGGGCAAAAAGGTCCAAGCAGACTGCTTCAGGCCCTTTCTTTCTTTTTCCTTTTTTTTTTTTTTTTTTTTTTTTTTTTGTGAGACAGAGCCTCTGTTGCCCAGGCTGGAGTGCAGTGGCAATCACGGCTCACTGCTACCTCTGCCTCCCAGGTTCAAGCTATCCTCGTGCCTCAGCCTCCCAAGTAGCTGGGATTACTGGCGCCTACCACCATGCCCAGCTAATTTTTGTATTTTTAGTAGAGGTGGGGTTGTACCATGTTGGCCAAGCTGGTCTCAAACTCCTGACCTCAAGTGATCCTCCTGCCTTGGCCTCCCAAAGTGCTGGAATTATAGGCATGAGCCACCACGCCTGGCCCTCAAGCCCTTTTTTAAAGGGATTAATTTCCTTTGTGAGGGCAGAGCCCTCACCACCTAATCATCTCCTGAAGGCCCTACCTCTAGTGCATTGGGGATTAAGTTTCAACGTGAATTTTGGAGGAACACAAACATTCAACCCATAGCAGGTGGGCAGGGGGCACTGGAGCTGAGACCTGAGGGTGAGAATGAGCTGGTCTCTCCAAAAGCCAGGAAGAACTTCAGAGGCAGAGGAACAGCCTATGAAAATGCCCTTGTCATTTTCACAAAAATCTTGTCAGGTGGATACCAGTACTGTGCCTGTTTTACAGATTAGGAAATTGAAGCTCAAAAAAGTGAAACTCCTTCTTGGATGGAGTCACCCCTCTGGGACCAGATGGAGCAACCCCTGGAACCCAGAGCTCCCCTCCCCTTTTCTCTGCCCCCTTTCCCCGACTTTGATCCTAAGAACTGGCCAGCAGGCCCTCTGCAGGCAGCAGTGTGTGGCAGTGTGCAGGAGAACGTGCTCAAGTCTGGATCAGGAGGCCTGAGTTCTAATCCTGTCCCTGCCTCTCCCAAGCAGGGTGATGTTGGGTGATTCACCTACCCTCCCTGGGCCTCAGTTTCCCTTCTGTGTCATCACCCCGGCTAGCTTAAGCAATAAGCATATCCTTATCCTAAGAATAACATACGGCATGCCTCTCACAAGGTCACAGTCCAGCAAAGTCAAGGACATAGAGAGCTTAACAGACGATGCACACCCAGAAAGTGCTTGATGTAATCTGATCATAACTGTCATCCGATTAAATCAAGTGTTGTTACAGAAGTGGTTTTTAACCTGGCAAAAATGAGACAGGGTTTTTTGTTGCTGCAGGGCATCAACGGAAAGGGCAAGAGGGGTTGCCTTCTGGGTCTAGCTCTGTCACCCAGGCTGCAGTGCCATGGTGCAATCATGGCTCACTGCAGCCTCGACTTCCTGGGCTCAAGCAATCCTCCCTCCTCAGCCTCCTGAGGAGCTGGGACTACAGACGCATACCACCATGCCCAGCTGGTTGTATTTTTTGTAGAGACGGGGTTTTGCTATTGCCTCAAACTTTTGCTAAAGGGTGTCTGGCAGCATGGCCCCATACCCCCTTTAATGCTCTTCCCCAAGCACTTGATCCCTGTGTGTCTCTTAAGGACGCAGCTCTAGCAGGTGCCATCTGCACCTTTGCCCATCAGGTACAAGGAGGAGATTCTGCTCACTTAGTCCTTTCCTTAGCAGGAGCTGACTCAGACCCCACTGTGCTCCCCCGCTGAGGTGCAAGAGACAGGAGGCAAGAAACGCTGAGCTGAGAGAATGGAGAATCTCACAGCTGGTGGTAAATTAGCAGTGAGGGCCAGGCGGGTGGCTCACACCTGTAATCCCAGCACTTTGGGAGGCCGAGGCGGGTGGATCACTTGAGGCCAGGAGTTTGAGACCAGCCTGGCCAACACAGTGAAACCCCGTTTCTACTAAAAATACAAAAAATTTGCCGGACATGGTGGTGCACGCCTGTAATCCCAGCTACTCGGGAGGCTGAGGCAGGAGAATCGCTTGAACCAGGGAGATGGAGGTTGCAGTGAGCTGAAATCGAACCACTGCACTCCAACCTGGGTGACAGAGCGAGACCCCGTCTCAAAAAAAAGTAAAGAGAAAAGAAAAAAAGGAAAGAGAAGGTGGGACCAGGTCTTCGAGGCCTGAGGGCCACACAGGGGAGTCTGCTTGGATGGCATGGCTTCCTTTTCCGCACGCTGCCTCAGAGGGGATGCTTTTGGCTGTAAGTAACAGGAAATCTGACCCCGGCTAGCTTAAGCAATAAGGATATCACATGGCACAACACAACAGGAAGCCCAGAGGTGGGCAGTCCTCTGGAGTCCCTTCTTCAGTGGGAGCTTATTCCTCAGGGAGCAGCGGAGGCCACCTGCTTCCTTCCTTGAGCCCAGCAGGAGGGAGAGAGGGCCTCCTGGGTCCAGCCTGGACCAACCTAGATCCCCAGGAGATGCTGCTGTGTGCTGATTGGCTTAGACCAGAGCTCCTGAACCAATCAACTGCCAAGGAATTGGCTGAGCCTAAACAAGGCCGGCACCTAGAGCTGGCTCATCCCCCAATCCAGTGCCGCTACACACTGATAAAACAGAAGGGCAGGCCAGCGAGGTGGTTCATGCCTGGGAGGCTGAGGTGGGATGATCACTTGAGTCCAGTAGTTCAAGACTACCTAGGCAGTATGGCAAAACCCTATCTGTACAAAAAATACATAAATTGGCCAGGCGTGGTGGCACATGCCTATAGTCCCAGCTACTGAGGAGGCTCAGGTGAGAGAATCCCTTGAGCCTGGGAAGTCGAGGCTGCAGTGAGCTATGATTGCACCACTGCACTCCAGCCTGGGCAATAGAGCAAGACCTCATCTCAAAAAAAAAAAGGAGGATGTTTGGTTCTTGTTTGCAAAAGACCATTCACTGCAGGGACAGGGACAGGGGCTTGGAGCCTGAGCCCCCCCTCAACCAGGCTTAGAGTGTGAGGGGCTGTGTCCACCTCTTCCTGGTCTCTGCCGCATCCAGCAAGCACAGGGCCAGGCATTTCTCAGCCCAGCATAGTCTGCACCACCCAATGCCTACAGATGAACCCACAGATTAATCATCCCGTGCCAAGTCCTGTGCTGGGCACTGGGATGCAAAATCTCTGGTGGGGACCACAGAAAAGAAATAGCACAGGGATAAGATGGCAGCAAATAGCAATAAAGGCCCCACTGTCAGAGGCATGTGAACCAGAGCAACTCCATCTTGAATGGGGCTGGGTAAAATCAGGCTGAAACCTACCGGGCTGCGTTCCCAGATGGTTAAGGCATTCTAAGTCGCACAGGATGAGACTGGAGGTCGGCACAAGGCACAGGTCATAAAGACCTTGCTGATAAAACAGGTTGCTATAAAGAAGCTGGTTAAAACCCAACAAAACTAAGATAGTGATGAGAGTAACCTCTGGTCGTCCTCACTGCTACACTCCCACCAGCGCCACGACAGTTCACAGATGCCATGGCAACGCCAGGAAGTTGCCCTATATAACCTAAAAAGGGGAGGCATGAACTGCCGGGAGCAGGGCCAGCAGTTGGGAAAGTCCGGGCGGCCCTCCGTCTCAGGCTGGGAAGGCCCTTGTTTAGCATATCATCAAGAAATAACCATTAAAGTGGGCAACAAGCAGCCCTGGCTGCTATGTCTATGGAGTAACCACCCTTTTTTATTTGATGGAGTCTCACTCTGTCGCCAGGTTGGAGTACAGTGGGGAGATCTCGGCTCACTGCAACCTCCGCCTCCCAGGTTCATGTGATTCTCCTGCCTCAGTCTCCCGAGTAGCTGGGACTACAGGCACTGGCCACCACACCTGGCTAATTTTTTGTATTTTTAGTAGAGACAGGGTTTTACCAGGCTGGTCTCGAACTCCTGACCTCAGGTGATCCACCCGCCTCGGCCTTTTGCCCAAGATCCAAGAACCCTCTCTTGGGGTCTGGATCGGGATCCATGGTGGGATCGGGATCCCACCATGATAACTGAACCAAAGAACAAGATCTGGGGTGAAGGGATGGGAGATGCTGTGAGACCAAGTGGTCAGGGACGGTGTCTCTGAGAAGGTGACGGTTAGGCTGAGACCTGAAAGCTGAGAAGGAGCCAGTCACTCCAAGGACAGGGGGCGGAGTGGCTCCTGGCTGAGAGAACAGCATGTGCCAGGGCCCTGTGTCAATGCCTGCTCCTGGTGGGGTACTGGGGAATAAAAAGTCACATCAGTCCCTGCCTCTCCTCAAAGACAGGTGACCCACAGCGCTTCACATATCATTGCCCAGGACCAGCAACAATAGGCCTGGCCATTAGCAAGGGGATGAACAGACAGGGAAATACTACTGAACAATGGCAGGGGAGGGCTACGGAGACAGGCCTGGACAGGGACAGGTCCCAAATAGTACGCTGGGCAGAAACCAGGAGAGGCAGAGTGCGTGCTCTGATTTCAGTTGGGTGAAAAGGCAAAACTGTCGGTGGTGATGGAGGTCAGGCTGGCGGTTCCCTCTGGAGGGATGGAAGCCATCGGCTGTCTTGCCAACAAACATGTAAGAAATTGTGGGTTATACGTTGAAGATCAGGGCATTTTACCAAACGTAAAATATACATCAAGAAAGTACTAAAAAGAAAAAGTACTAAAAATAAGAGAAGATACTATGTGGCCTACAAGGAAAGAAAGAATCCCCCTCCCCACAGCCCACCTCCTTCAAACCAGGAATCTCCTGGCAAGCTTTGTTCCGAGGTCAGCTTCGGGGCAGAAAACAACAGTCCCCGCTCCCTTCCAGAAAAACAACCCAAACCCCATCCCCCATCATCTACAGAGGATGGGGCTGGGGCCTTCCCCCTTCTCTTCTCCTCCCGGCTCCTTCCTCCTCCCTCCTAAGGCCCAAGGTCCAGAAGGGGGTCCCAGGGTGGGGACAGGGTGGTCCAGGAGCAGGTCTAGCAGTTGGGAAAGTCCGGGCAGCCCTCAGTGTCAGTCTGGGAAGGCCTGGGCCTCGCCCGCAGCTGGGCTGTATGTAACCCGAGCCTCTGGCTAAGCGGATTTCTCCCAGGGCAGGACCCCCTCCGGTTCTGGAATGCAGCCTGGGGCGGGAGGTGGAACTGAAGAGGGGGTAACAAAGGGTGACACCGCTTTGAAACTCCGCTTCCTGCCCCCCACCAGCCTCCAGCCTGAACAAACACGCCCTCTCCTCGCTGGGCCTTTGTTGGGAGAGGTGGGGCTGGCCCAGGGCTGCGGTGGCAGCTTCCGCCCCTGCCAGGGCAACCCCAGCCAGGCTGGGGTCAGGGCTTCCACCCTCACCCCCACCACCCATCCTCCAGGCCCAGAAGCCCGAAGCCCACCTCCCACTCCCCTCTCCCCTTGGTTTCTCGAGGGTTCCTACTTGAGTGGGGGCGCCAGTGCTAGGCCCACCCGGTCAGGATCCAGATTGGCCCCCCATGCTGGGGACCTGGCTGTCAGGGGGGTCGTAACACCTTCCAAAGAGACACCCTGTCCCCACATCCCCACCATGGTGGTCCCCGCCTCACCCCTGTCCGCTGGGGCTCAGTCTAGCTTTTTCCCTGTCTGTCTCCTTCTTACCCTGCACACCCTGAAAACTCATCTCCATCCAACTCTGCCTCACTCTCCTCTCCCACCCCACCATTCCCACGTGCATACCGGGGCCCCAGCACACAAGATCCCCAAGCCCAGGCTATCCCGTCCCAGTGCCAGGACAAGACCACCAGCCCGGGTCCTCGGAGCCTCCCTCTCCCCGACGCCCCCTGGGACCCTCCCCTTGGCTGCTCACTCCCCTGGGGACTGTCCTCTGGCCATCCTGCTCCAGCCTCCACTGCGGGGACCCTCAGTCCCCTCCTCAGCCACCAGGCCACAAACCCTGCAGGACAGCCAGGCGCAGCGGATGGGGTGGCCTGGCGGCCAGGCCACTGGAGGCAGTCCCCAGGGAGCCCCGGCGAAAGGGAAGCAAGGATAGAAGTCATCTCGATGGCAACAGCCCTGAGGAAAAGGGGGTGCCGCCAAAGGTGAGCCAGGCTGGAGTGGGCTGGGAGCCTGCCAAGGACCCTGACGGCACCAAACCAGTGGGATATGGGCCAGTTGCACGGACCCTGCGGGGCTCCTCGGGACGTCTCCCCTCCACCAGCTGTGCTGATTTCACCCACACTGCCCGGGGGTCTCCCCTGGGCTCCCTAGCACTCCTGTGCCATCCCTGCCATGCACAGACCACTTTGAGCTGTCCTTGTCTCCATTGCCCCGCCCCCCTCCCCTGCCCATCTGGACTCCAGGGCCCTGCTAATCGCCAGGCACAGGGTGAGGGAAGGAAGGAAGGGAGGGAGGGAGGGAGGGAGGGAGGGACAGAGGGAGGAATGCTCCACCAACTACTCAGGTGCAGGCTGCCCCGACCTTGCAGGTCACGCCCACCCTCCGGGGAGGAACTGGCCCCAGCCTGGTGCTGGTCATTAACTCAATGCCTGGACTCGCCTGGTTAATGAATAATTAAGCTGGACAGAGTCTGACCTCGGGATGACCTTGAGCTGCCCGCTGCAATGTCCTCCCCCAGTTGGATATGTGACCCATTCAGAGCGACCCTGCTCTTCTTCCTCCCTATTGGTAGGTTCTGAATCCTGGGGAAGGACCAGACAGGAGAAGTCCTGACCCCAACTCCCGAGGGCCCCGGCCAGCCCAGGAGGCCACCACTCCAGCACACAGGGCATGAGGGACTCCTTTCTCTCCACACTCCTTGCACGTGGGCTTCCAGCGCTGAGCGACGCTAGGTCCAGCTCTTCCCCTACCCACAGCCACCCCACCCCTGAGTTTCAGTTTCTCCATCAGTCACCCAAGGAGGATGGGCTCAGCATGACTGTGATTCCCTCCATGTGGCTGTGGAAATGGGTGAGCATGTGGCAGTTGGAGCCAGATGCCTTGGAGACCACTTTGTCATGCATAAAACAGAACTTCAGAGCCGTAACCAGCTAGAAAGAAGCCCACAGCAAGCTGGGGGGACTGGGAGGAGGATAGGGTCTGCTGACCCACAGTCCTGGCCTGTCTCCCCTTTATGCTAACCCTCCCTGTTGGGCTTTGTCCATTATTCAATTCAATTCATTCATTCATTCATTCAGCAGCTATGTTAGGCAGGCCTCTGCATGAGCGGCCAGGGTGAACCAGGCAGGGTCTTGCCCTTGGGGAGGCCCAATCCAAGGGACGGAACCATCCAGAGCACTCAGCGCAGGTTTGCAGAGGACAGAGGCCCCCTCCCCTACCTGAGAGGTCAGAGGGCACCTGCAGCAGGGCCTCTCCCATGCTGAGCCTCAAGGAAGGGAAGAGAAGAGGGAGGCAGGAGCTCCTGGAGGAGCAACCGCAAGAGCAAAGGACTTGCAGAGAGAATGTTCCATTGGGAAAATTCCTAGCAGTTCGGTTTGCTTGGCTGTCTTGAGACACAATGAGCCACAGATAAGAGTTTTAAAAAAAGACTATAAGGAGCAAAAGGTTTGAAGCCGGGGTTTGAACCTGGGGAGAGTCTTGGTCAGATCTATTAAGTAATTGCGGTTTTTGCAATTCCTTTTTTTTTTTTTTTTTTGAGACAGAGTCACTCTGTCGCCTAGGCTGGAGTGCAGTGGCGTGATCTCAGCTCACTGCAGCTGTCGTCTCCTGGGTTCAAGCGACTCTCCTGCCTCAGCCCTGCCCCCCCACCCCCCCAGGAGCTGGGATTACAGGCGTGTGCCACCATGCCCAGCTAATTTTTGTATTTTTAGTGGAGACCAGGTTTCACTATGTTGGCCAGGTGGGTCTCGAACTCCTGACCTCAAGTGATCCAACTGTCTTAGCCTCCCAAAGTGCTGCGATTACAGGCATGAGCCGCTGTGCCTGGCCTACAATTACTTTTAATTGCAAAAACCACAGTTACTTTTGCACCAACCTAATACACTCTGGAAAGACGGCCCTGGCTGCTGCTGCGTGGAAAATGGCTTGAATGGAGCAAAGCCGCAGCCCTGGGTAGCTATAAGGGATCACCCGGGCAGAGGGAATGGGGTCTGGATCAGTGGCAAGAGGTGGGAGAAAAGTTGACATATTCCAGCATTATTGGTGATTGACTTTCTTTTACTTTTACTTTTTTTTTTTTTTTTTTTTTGAGACGGAGTTTTGCTCTTGTTGCCCAGGCTGGAGTGCAATGGTGCAATCTCGGCTCACTGCAACCTCCGCCTCCCAGGCTCAAGCAATTCTGCCTCAGCCTCCCGAGTAGCTGGGATTACAGGCATGCGCCACCACACCCAGCTGATTTTGTATTTCTAGTAGAGTCGGGGTTTCTCCATGTTGGTCAGCCTGGTCTCAAACTCCCTGAGAGGGAAGCATGAAGGAGAAGCAGGTGGGGAAGACTGGGGTGGAGGGAACCTGGGTGGCCCACAGGGACACCTAGGGGAGGTGTTCAAGGGCAGCAGACGTGATGGTTCTGGCGTTCGGAAGGTGATTAGACCGGAGATGGAAGTCTAGGAAGCCATGAGTGTGATGGACACTGCCCGGGAGAGCTGAGGGCCAGAACATACCGTCAGTTACTCGAGAGGTGAAGCAACAAGCGCCACGTGGGCGGCCTCATGAGTGACCTGCAGAGAGCCAGCAGGGAAACCGAAGGATACGTGTCAGAGATTGGGTTAGAGTGACAAGGCCATTGCTTAAAGGTCAAGTCTGGTGAGGCTGGTCTGGGTTCCCCCAGCTGGGGCTGGCACCAGGGCGGAACTGTCACAGGATATTGTATGGAAAGTGGTAGGCATGAGGAGTTCTGGGAGGGGTGGGATCTGTGGGGACAGAGGGTTCTGGAAGAGGGGGGTGAGCTTAAAGTGCTTCTGAGGACAGTGAGGGCTAGGTGGCCAGGGGCAGTGTGGAGCTAGGGATATCTGACCTTCAGACCTCAGAATGGGGCCGAGGAGGCAGTGATCAGGTCAGGGTGTCTGTGGTACAGGGGGCACAGTGGAGGTCCCTGAGGATGATGGGGTGCAGGAAGGGAGAGGCCAGCGTGTCGGCCAGGGTGTCTTTCTGGGTACCCAGAAGGGACACTCTGAGTGGGGAGAGAGGACTCTGGGTGACCCCAGGTCTTTAGAGGATGAGGGGTCACACCAGAAGGTGAGTAGCTGATCCCCGGTGCAGGGGTGACAGGAACACAGAGAGAGGGTGTTCGGGGTTGGGGTAAAGTGTTCTGAATTACTGAGATATCGCCCGCAAGCTGATTTTCTGCACCGGGGGCTACATCGCTGTCAGCCAGGATGCAGCCCAAGGACGGACATGCTTGTGTGTCTGGCTTGCCTGGGCAGCTCCAGTTGCGGAAGAGGAGAGCCCTGGCCCACCCCCGGCCTGCACTTTGAAGCCAGGGCTGTGAGATGGAGAAAAACTCGAGAGAAGCCAGGATCCACAGCCGGCCACTGGAGCACGGCACCTTTAGAAAAGAGGCCCAGGCGCAGCTGCGACGAGCGCACGCAGTGGACACAGGAGCGCAGCACGGCTCAGTAACCTCAGAGGCGCTTGAGAGGCTCCCTTGGCAAGGGCCCCAGGAGATCTCAGCCTGCTCGAGGCTGCGGCAGGCTCCCGCCCCTACCAGCCCTGCAGGCCTGCGGGAAGCAGGAGGAAGCCATTTTCCTGAACCCCAGCTGGGCAGTGGGAAGGCAGGGGTGAGGGGCAGCTGGGTGGCGCTGGATGGCTTCTGCCTCCCTCAGCATCCCCCATCAGGCAACCAGCAGCCGAGCTCCACCCCATTCTCTCTGTCCTCCAGCAAACCCGGAAAAGCACGCTCCTCCCCATGGCAGGCAGTGTGCTGTGACCCCTAATGAGTGTGCCCTTGCACACACCCAGGGCACCTCTCAGAATGTGCACAGAGGCACAAGCACCCACAGAAATGTTCGTGCACTCAGGGGAAGATACCCACACAGACACACGTGTGTGAAGGGGAATGACACAGATGCATATGCAAAGAAACCACAAAGGTGTGCACAGAGATTGTGCATGGCACTATGCATGCAACTGCACATTAAACGTACAGATGTACATACAGCCATTACATACGCACCCGTGCAACTCCCGCAGCCACAAAGATGCCCGTTCCATGTGCTTATAAACATTCACAGAAATTTTCACCCGCTCGCAAATGTGCACTGAAAACCAAGTACAAATGGATAGACATGGGCACATGTAAGATGCACATACAAATGTCCACAAAGATGCACATATACGTAAATGCTCACATGCACGCGAACATATTCATGATTGTGCATGCATGGAGCTATTCGTGTTTCTACATCTGTCCATGCAGTCAGCATTACACAGACACAGCGAAGGAATGCAGGGAACTTTATCCCCCAATACGGCTCCCTGGTATCATGAGTGTTTAGAATTAAAGACCCTTAGAGATCAATAGATGCTAGAAGAGACTTTTCCCCTCCCTGCTTAAGGACCAGACAGATCCACTGAGGAGAACAATTGTCCCCCCGCCCACCCAGCTCCTGTCTCTCAATCTTCCACCTCTTCCAAAGCACAGGCTGAGGTTCCCTTATCTGCCTAGAGTCCGGACCTACCAAAGAAGAAGACAAAGACCTCTGGGCCCTTCTCTGAGTTTTCAGTAACTAAACCCATATCACAGGAAGGAAGACAAAGTCGGTCAACGAATCTGGACAGACTTTTGTCACAAATGATTGTCTGCTCTGCAGGCTGAATAGACTTACCATTGGATGTTCTTTGAGCCCATCGAATTCCCCAAAAATTCGGGTTTTTTTGTTTTTTTTTTTTTTTTTGAGACAGTCTTGCTCTGTCTCCCAGGCTGGAGTGCAGTGGCACGATCTCAGCTCACTGCGACCTCTGCCTCCTGGGTTCAAGCGATTCTCCTGCCTCAACCTCCTGAGTAAGTGGGACTACAGGCACGTGCTACCATGCCTGGCTAATTTTTTGTATTTTTAGTAGAGATGGGGTTTCACTGTGTTAGCCAGGATGGTCTTGATCTCCTTACCTTGTGATCCACCCACCTCGGTCTCCCAAAGTACTGGGATTACAGGCGTGAGCCACCGTGCCAGACCCTAAAAATCATTTACTATCCCCTTAAAGTCACCCATGCTTCCCGATATCCCTTTCCCCTAAGAAGTAGGGTATGCAAGCATCTGTATCCCACTGGGATATGGGGCAGTCACTCTGACTCTCCCCATGTGCAATGGAATAATAAATTTATATCCTTTTTTTGTATCAATCTAACTTTTTTTTTTTGAGACGGAGTCTCGCTCTGTTACCCAGGCTGGAGTGCAATGGGGCGATCTTGGCTCACTGCAACCTCCGCCTCCTGGGTTCAAGCGGTTCTCCTGCCTCAGGCTCTTGAATAGCTGGGATTACAGGCGTGCATCACCACACTCGTCTAATTTTTGTATTTCTAGTAGAGGTGGGGTTTCACCATATTGGTCAGACTGGTCTTGAACTCCTGACCTCGTGATCCGCCCACCTCGGCCTCCCAAAGTGCTAGGATTACAGGTGTGAGC
Source organism: Homo sapiens (assembly GCF_000001405.40). Lineage (NCBI taxonomy): Eukaryota > Metazoa > Chordata > Mammalia > Primates > Hominidae > Homo > Homo sapiens. Next base: position 129,563,982 of record NC_000009.12, read on the forward strand.
CACCGCGCCCGGCCTAATCTGACTTTTTGTGAGGTGATTTTTCAGCAAACCTTCAAGGGTGAAGGAGAAGCTTTCCCTTCACCCTTACAACAGTCGTGTCCATTATGGTCACAATGCACATACACTTATATACATACGGAGACGTGTGTGCAACGTGTCCTCATGCTTAGAAAAGCCTAACTAGGCCAGGCACGGTGGCTCACGTCTGTAATCCCAGCACTTTGGGAGGCTGAGGCGGGCGGATCACAAGGTCAGGAGTTCAAGACCAGCCTGGGCAACATAGTGAGACCCCATTTCTTAAAAAAAAAAATATATATATATATATATAAAAGTTAGCCAGGCATGGTGGCACACACCTGTCGTCCCAGCCACTCGGGAGGTTGAATGGGAGGATCCCTTGAGCCGGGCAGATGGAGGTTGCAGTGAGCCGTGATCCAGTCTAGGCAACAGAGATCCTGTCTCAAAAAAAAAAAAGGCTAACGAAAGGTGCACACACGCATTCCTCCAGATACTCACCCAGATATACATGTGTCGCCTTCACTGAAAACTATGAGGGCCAGGGCCATGACCCCCCTAGCTCACAGCTGCGTGTCTGATCCCTGGTACAGAGGTTTGCTAGGCAGAGTACCGGGAATAGTCTAGGAAAAGCCTCAGGGGCAGGAGTATGAGAGGTGAGTGTGAGGAGTGGCCAGGTGTCCCATGTGGCTGGAAATGAGACACAGTTCGGGGGGCAGGGGAGGAAGGGAAAAACAGGACTGAGGATGGGCCTGGTTGGCCATGGCTTTGAGTGTCATGCTAGGGAATGGGTATTCAGGGCCCAGCAGCTCCGTGAAGTTCATCTTCCTCCTACTCTCCTCTTCCTCCTCTCCTTCCCTCCCTGCACTCCTCTGCTCACCCCCATGTGTCATGATGGCAGATGGGATGTCAGATATTGATGAAGGGGGCAAACACAGGGCAGGAGGGAGGTGGGTGCCATGGAAAACACGTGGCTTTGTGGCCTTGTAGCCAGGTAGGCAGGTCTTGTTTGAAATCCTGGCTCTATCTCCACACTGGAAGACCTGGCTGAGTCACTGATTTTCTGTGTGCCTCAGTGTTCCTAGGGCCAGGGAGAAGACCAGATGGTTTTGTGTTTTTTTTGCTGTTGTTATTGTTTTTGAGATGGACTTTCGCTCATCGCCCAAGCTGGAGTGCAGTGGCGCAATCTCAACTCACTGCAACCTCTGCCTCCCAGGTTCAAGGAGTCTCCTGCCTCAGCCTCCCAAGTAGCTGGGATTACAAGCATGCGCCATCATGCCTGGCTAATTTTTTGTATTTTTAGTAGAGGCAGAGTTTCACCATGTGGGCCAGGCTGGTCTTGAACTGACCACATGTGATCTGCCCACCTCAGCCTCCCAAAGTGCTGGGATTACAGGCGTGAACCACCACACCCGTCAACCAGATGGTTGGTATTTTTTGTTGTTTGTTTGTTTTTAAGACAGAGTCTCACTCTATCACCCATGCTGGAGTGCAGTGTTGTGATCTCAGCTCACTGCAACCCCTGCCTCCCGGGTTCAAGCGACTCTCCTTCCTCAGCCTCCCGAGTAGCTGAGATTACAGGTGCCCACCACCACACCCAGCATATTTTTTGTATTTTTAGTAGAGACGGGGTTTCACCATGTTGGCCAGGCTGGTCTCAAACTCCTGACCTCAAGTGATCTGTCCCCCTCAGCCTCCCAAAGTGTTGGGATGACAGGCGTGAGCCACTGCACCCGGCCAACCAGATGGTTTTGATCCTGCGATGCCATGGCTAATTCTCTCTCAGTGGCCCCTGTCAGCAGGTGCATTCTATAGTCACAGGAATCCCAGAAACCAGCCAGGTGTGCTCTTCAGACCTGGGGGAGCTGGAGACAGAGCCCTCTCCAGCGGGTACATGCCTGGGCTCCTTCGGGACCCACTGCAGTCAGGTGAGGGCTCAGTTCCCCCAGGGCCTCACTCTTGTCTTCTGCCAAAGGGGATGTTTGCGCCTACCTCACAGGCTGCGGTCAGCCACCAGCAGCTCAGAGAAGTGGCATTTTTTTTTTGAGACGGAGTCTTGCTCTGTCGCCCAGGCTGGAGTGCAGTGGCGCGATCTCAGCTCATCACAACCTCCGCCTCCTGGGTTCAAGCGATTCTCCTGCCTCAGCCTCCTGAGTAGCTAGGATTACAGGCGTGTGCCACCAGGCCCGGCTAATTTTTATATTTTCAGTAGAGATGGGGTTTCACCTTGTTGGTCAGGCTGGTCTCGAACTCCTGATCTCATGTGATCCGCCCGCCTCAGCCTCCCAAAGTGCTGAGATTACAGGCATGAACCACTGCACCCAGCCCCCAGTGGCACTTTTTGTTGAAGTGTGACACATACACAGAAATGCATCCCAGGTGTTCAGTTCTGTGAATCTTTACAAAGTGAACTCATCTGTAATAACCATGTCCCAATCAAGAATAGAATATAGTGTGGTCCCCAGAAGCCAGGGGAGGACCAATTTTTACAGGACATAAGGCAGCCCCAGTCCCAACAGGCCAGCTTGTCCCTCTGTCATTTTCTGTGTCCCCTTGCAGCGAGCAAGGGGAGTCCAGAGGGGAAGAGGCAGGAACAGTGACCCCCAGCACTGGCCTCCAGCCCTCCCGCCCTGCCTCTCCTCACCATCAGGCCAGCGGAGGGGCTACCCATCGCCTCCCCTGTCACCAAGGAGACCTTGTTCTGGATCCTGAGGACGCCTCTAGAATCCCATCTGGGGAGCCAGGAAAGCTGGGAGAGGGAGAACACAGGGCCCCTTTGAGCCGCTTGTTGGACACCGCCCAAGGACTCACGACTTATAAAGGAAGACTTGAACCCAGGGCTGTCCCCACCAAAACCCACAGCCACTACAGCATTGGAGGCTATTACAGAATAGGAAACTGAGGCTCAGAGAGGCCAAGAACAAAACCAGACCTCCAAAGCAGGACTTCTGCGTGCAACACCCATGGGCGAACAGGAACACGCAGGCTTCCAGCCGAGGGGCCGGACTTGACCCTGTCCCTCCGCGATCGAATACTTTGTGTTCCTCCGCCTTCGGGAAGGGGCGTAACCTCCTTCGCAACACCCAAGCCCACCACGGCCTGGCCCTGCCAGCCTCATCCCCCTCACCTGTCCTCCGGCATTCTCTGCCTCCAGCATACCAGCCTTTCTCTGTTGCTGCAATGCTCAGAGCTCCTTTTGAACTTGGGCCTTGGCTCATGTCGTTTCCCCGCGAAGCCTGCTCTTCCCTGCCCCTGCCACGTCCTACCTTCAAATGTCACTGACTCTGGGAGGCTTCCCCGGTGACCCACCCACCCCAGCGCACATATCCTGTCAGTCCCCTTGAACGCCCCCCAAGGTGTAAGTGCACGGCCATACAATGGTTTGCTTAATACCCATCTTGCTCCGAGAGAGCTGTGACAGGGGCTGTCTTGTCCTCAGCTGTATCTGCTGTGCCCAGCACAGTCCTGGCACACAGTAGATGCTGGATGAAGATGTGCTGAGGGCCGAGCGCAGTGACTCACGCCTGTAATCTTAGCACTTTGGGAGGCTGAGTGGGCGGATTGCCTTAGCTCAGGGGTTCGAGATCAGCCTGGGCAACATGGTAAAACCCCCATCTCTGCTAAAATACAAAAAACATTAGCCAGGCATGGTGGTGCACACCTGTAATCTCAGCTACTCAGGAGGCTGAGGCGGGAAAATCCCTTGAACCCGGGAGGTGGAGGTTGCAGTGAGCTGAGATCATGCCACTGCACTTCAGCCTGGGTGACAGAGTGACTCTTTCTCAAAAAAAAAAAAAAAAAAAAAATGTTCTGAGACTCTGAGATGCATGAGGCTGTGGCTGGCAGGCAGAGGGGAGCCCGAAGGAGCCTTGAGGGACATAGGACCAAATACCATCTTTGTAGGAGGCCTGGGGAGGGGCAGGGCCTTGCTCAAGGTCACACCACCTAGTGGAGCCTCAGGATTGGAACTCACATCCCCTGCTCTCCAGCCTGGCGCCTCCCTTCCAAATGCAGCCTAGTGCTGGGAAAGGAGAGGGTGGCAGGCTGGCTCTGGGCAAAGACACTCCCCTTCTCCTCTTTGCTTCCCTCTCCTTCCTCTGTCCCTCCCCACTCTTCCTCTCCAACCAGGAGGCTGCCGAGCCAATGGCTCAGCGAGGGCTGGGGAGCCCTGACCTCCACCCACGCTCTACGATCTGTCAGCACCACTCTGCTAAGACCTCCCAAACTTCCGCACCCCCGCAGGCTGACAGGGCTGCAGGTGCCAGCGCTGACCTCCCGCTGCTCCTGTTCCTCTCCTTCCGCAGGCACCCCTCGCCCCCCACCGCCACCTCCAGCCGGGTTCTGGGGTCCTCCTGGGCCACCTGCTTACTGTGTGTCCCTGGACACGGCGTCTCCCCTCGCTGAGTTAGTTTCCTCATTTGTAAAACGGGGATATGGCCCGTCTCCTAGAGTGACCGGGAAGATCGGTGGTATCAACGCAAACTACAGCCCGGCAGCTTCCAGGCGAACTCACTTCTCAGGACGCCTCTCCTGCTGTCCTCTCAAAGCGGGGGACGAAGCCACCACCACCCAGTTTACAGATGGGGAAACTGAGGCTCAGGGAGATCTGGAAACCTTCCCGGGCAGCTGGGCTCCGAACCCAGGGCTGCGAGCACAAGGGCTGGCTCCCGCCCCCGGCCCTGGTCCCTCCTTCCCCGGGGCATGGCCCGGCCGTGCCAGGCGCTCGGTGACAGCCCCCGCGGGGGAGGCCGGGCTGGGAAAGGAGAGGGCAGCGGGCGGGGGCGCCTGGCCGCGCGGGGTCGGCCGCGGGTCGATACGGCGGCAGGATGAATGGGAGAGGGGAGCGCGGGCGGGAGGAGGAGGGAGGAGGAGGGGGAGGAGGGAGAGGCCGGAGCAGGGGGAGGGCCCGCCCCCGCCGCCCCCCAGGCCCCCGCCCCGCCCAGCGGGCTTGGCCGGGTCTGCAGCCCTCAGCGCCAAGCGCGGCCCCGCGGCCCCACCGAGGGATCGATAACTAATTTCACCGCGGCAGCCGCCCCAGTTTTTTCCCGATAATTGCGCGCCGGCAGCTGCGAGCAAGGCCCCCAGCCCGGCGCGCAGCCCCGCCCGCGCGCGATCAATTGACACCGCCACCGGGCGGCAGGAAAACTCATTTTTCTCTCCCTCCCCGGCTCCGGGTGGGCGCGGGCTGAGCTCTGCCAAGGGCCGGGGGCTACGCGGGGCCGGGGCCGGGGCCGGGGCCGGGGCCAGGCCAGGGAGGGAGGGCAGGGCCCGAGGAGGGGGCGGGGGCGCGGGCGCGGGTGTGGGAAGGAGGCTTGCAAGGAATCCGAGGAGGCGGGGTGCCTCAGTTTCTTCACTCTACCACAGGGGCGTGGCCGAAGGCGTCAGGGACGTGGGGTGCGGGCGGGGCTGTCCCAGCCCCTCTCAGCTGTTGGCGGACTGGCTGGCTGGTGGGAGGAAGGGCTAAGTCAAGCGCCACGGCCTGAATGCGTGGGTTCGACTCTGGACTCCCACCAGGGACCACTGTGTGAGGTTGCATCCGTTCCTCTGGACTCCCACCAGGGACCACTGTGTGAGGTTGCATCCGTTCCTTCCCTTCGTCTCTTCCTCTCTGAGCCTCAGTTTCCCCATCTTCTGAAAGGGGCCTGGCATATCCTGGGCAGGCAGATGGTGCATCAGAGGCAGTGATGCCCACAAGGAAGTGCTCCCCACAGGTGGCTTGGAGGAAATCCTCCTTCCTCAGCACTCATGGAGGCCCCCTGTGGGCCAGGCACTGTTATAGGCCTTCCGGGTGAGGACCAAGCAGTGACCACAGCTGACAAAACCCCTACCGTTGTGGAAGGAACATTCTACTGAGGCCATGGACGTACAATACCCAAGTAAGCAGTGAGAAGATGCCACTTGCCATGGAGAAAAATGAAGCAAGGTCAGCAGGACAGGGTGTGGGGTGCAAAGGCAATGCAGCCCCCAGGACCCATGGTGGGCCTCACCCTAGGCCCTCCTTGCAAAGCTCAGAGCTGCTCACTCCCAAACTGCCGGTTGTTCAAGGTCATGGGAAACCTGCAGACTTGGCATTTTCCAATGAGGATGGCCAGGAGGAGAGAGACCAAGAGGAAGGAGAAGCCAGGAGGTGGGGTGGGACAGTCTCCCTCTGGAAGAGTCCATAAGAGGGCCAGAGAGAGAGAGAGGGGTGGGGACTGGAGGGCACCAGGGCAAAGGGGGTACAGTCAGAGCTCCAATGGACACAGTGTCCTGGGGGGTCAGGTCAAGAGAGACTTGGGTTTGCTGGCCTGGTCCCAGCTGGGCCAGTGAGGCCCAGGGAAGGGCAGGGGCTCGCCCAGCCACAGTACTTATGGGGGACAGAGATGGGCTCCTAAATCCTGCCACCAGGCACAGAGAAGGGCAAGAGGGGCCAGAGAGGAAAGGAGGAAAGAGACTCATGGAGCGGGGGTGCCATTCTCTGTTTAGAGGGGTCAGGAGCCCCAATTTGCTTCCCAGAGGCCAGCTAAAGCTTCCTGGGAGCACCATGGGTGGTGCTGGGACTTCTACAGGACTCAGCATGACTCAAAGGGCCCTGGGGAATGTGTTCTGTTCCCCAGTCCCCCACCCCCCAGCTACCAGAATGACAGAGGCTCCCCGATGGAGGTGGGTAAGCCGGGCAGGGGTGGCGGCCTAAGGCTGCTGGGGAAGTGGGGTGTTCCAGGACTGAGCAGACCTCCTCCCCCGCCTCGGTTTCTTCATCTTAAAAATGGAGCTGGTGTTGAGGTGCTGAGGTTCTGTCAATCTTTCTTCCCTCCAAATTCCTGGCACGCCCAACCCCACGTCTGGGTTGAGAGTAGTGACTCAGCAGAAAATGAAGGCTACTGCTAGCAACCAAATGAGGTTAGCAGGGGGACTGGCAGGACGCCGTGGGCTGGGATTCGAAACAGCACATAGCTGGGTCTCACCCGCCTGAGGCCCCATCTATCCAACCACCTAACATTTACTCATCATTCAGCAAATATTTAGTGAACACCAACTATGTGTGAGGCACTATGTGGGGGAGTGAGTGTAAGGTCCCCCCGCTTCCCCATCTCCTTCCTCTCCCCGCAACCCCCACGTCTCCACCTTCATTTTCTTTTGGGGTATGGTCAAAGGAGGCCTGGATTGGGAGTCAGGACTAGACTCAGGCCTGCTGGTGACCTAGGCAGGCCCCTTGCCCTCTCTGTGCCTTGGTGGACCAATGGTCATTAGTGGACTCTGTGTCCTTCCTAAGAGAGGAGAGCCCTGGATTAACAGCAGCTGTGGGCTGGGGGCCTCACCCCTGGGTCTCATTCAGTCCCCATGAAGTGAGATGAAGGAACAGAGACCAAGATTCACCCAGGGTCCCAAAGCCAGGAGGGAGAAGAGGGCAGAGCTCAGGTCCGTCTGACACCAGAGCCCTGCCCACTTGTCTGAGCTGGAGGGGAAGGAGTGCCCATCAGGAGAAACTTTTGGATCCTGGATAGAAGCTGGGATGTGGGGTAGGGACTAAGGTGCTCAGAGTCCCCTTGTCCTGCCCCTCAGTTAGTGGCTTTGGCCACCAGCCATCTCAGAAAGGCCTCTGTCGGTCAGAGGAGGAGCTGCCCCAGAAGGCCATGTGGGGTGACCTTGGCCTCCTCGACGTTCCCTGGGCCAGCACAGGCACAGAACGATACTCTTTTTGTAAAGAGACATGTACTCACTGGGTCAGCAGTGAGGCAGGGAAGACAGCCTCACAGCTACAAGCACAGGATTTTTAAGGCTGGTCCCCAACCCAGCTCTGCTGCCCGCTAGCCCTGGGTCCTTGGGCAAGCTGCCTCCTCCTCTGAGCCTCAGGCTTCCCATCTGTAAAATGGGCATAGTGGCAATTCGGTAGACCCACTGTGCCAGATCCTGTGCTGAGCCTTCTCTGTATCTGCACTCTGAGCCCTGTGAGCAGCACCCGCTATTCCACAACCCTCGTTCTTCTCGTCTTCACCTCGGAATCCAGCCATGGCAGTAGTTCTGTGCCACCTGACAGATCTCCATGCCGCCACTGCATCCAGAATGCAGCTCGGAATGCCCCATCTGGAGATGTGGGATCCTGCCAACCTAGGCCCCGGACCTAGGGACACAGTTTATGGTGAGGAAGGATCCCAGTGGGCACATGAGCGTGATGCCCACCGGTCTCACCCTGGAGCCTGGGCCTGATGGAATGTAGGGGCGGCCAGCTTGTGCAGCACCCCAAGCACAGAGCCAACAACCAGTCACAGGTGCCATGTCCCCAGAAGCTGGAACACATGGTCCAGGGACAAGTTGTAGAAATAGGATTGCCCGCCCCCCGACCCCATTCCACCGGGGACCTCCTTGTGGATTTGTGCTTCTTGTCCCTGCAACTTTAGGTGTGTCAGATGAGAGGCCCCAGCTATCTGGGACAGGGGAGAGGGGAGAGAGGGCAGGGGAGAAGGGAAGTAGGGGAGGGCTCCACTGGGCACAGGGTGGATCCCACCGAACTCAAACCTGTGACTGCATCTGTCACACTGGGGCCTTTGTGCCAGGGACCAGGACCAACATGCAAAGAAAGGGGTTCCCACTCAGGTGGGTTCTGAGCTCTTCTCGGTAACCCTCTAGCATGAGCTGTCTGCAGGCACTGCAGATACCAGCACCTCGAAGGGGACTCTGACGGTGGACCCAGCGGGGGGCAGGGGCGGGGCTGAGTGCTACAAGGGGCGGACTGTGTTGAGCAGCTCACCTGAACGCTTCAGACCTCTTGGCTTCACCTCCTAATCCAGGCCCAGCTGCAGTAAACAGACCTCACAGGCCTTGACAAGCTCCATACAGCTGTGAGCTGACAATGGCCCGCCCTAGGCCCCTGTGCTTGCCTCTTGCTTCCAGCCCGGGGCTTTGCTGATGCCACAGTGTGGGATCCCCCCACCTCCGCCCCTCCACAGTAACCCACTCGGCAGTTACACATGCTCAACTGCAAGTGCAAAGGTGTGAACACCCTACAGGCCAACGCTTCCTCAAAGGCAGCAGAGCCCTGGAACCAATGCTCCCTCCTTTCTTCCCCTGGGCGGATGGTTCTGAGATGCATTTTGCAAGGCAGCTCCGATGATCCTGGGGGATCTGGCACCCCAGCTTCCATAATGGTGAACTCAGCAATGCACGTTTGCATTGGCTTTCTTTTTTTTTTTTTGAGACAGAGTCTCGCTCTGTCACCCAGGCTGGAGTGTAGTGGTGCGATCTCAGCTCACTGAAACTTCCACCTCCCAGGTTCAAGCAATTCTCCCACTTCAGCCTCCTGAGTAGCTGGGACTATGGGCGGGCACGTGCCATCATGCATGCTCAGCCTTTCTTTTTTTCTTTTCTTTTTTTTTTTTTTTTTTTTTGAGACAGAGTCTCGCTCTGTCACCCTGGCTGGAGTGCAGTGGCACAACCTTGGCTCACTGCAACCTCCGCCTCCTTGGTTCAAGTGATTCTCCAGCCTCAGCCTCCCAAGTAGCTGGGATTACAGGCACCTGCCACCACACCTGGCTAATTTTTGTATTTTTAGTAGAGACGGGGTTTTGCCGTGTTCGCCAGGCTGGTAATTCTTGTATCTTTAGTAGAGACAGGGTTTTGCCATGTTGGCCAGGCTGGTCTCTAACTCCTGATGCCAAGTGATCCACCCACCTCGGCCTTCCAAAGTGCTGGGATGACAAGCGTGAGCCACCGCGCCTGGCCTTTGCATTGGTTTTCTTGCCGCTCCTGTTTTGCTCTTCCCACTCCCCATCCCTCACTCTTGCCCCTAGGAGTACTCGTCCCAAACAAACTACAAGTACAACAGCCTTTGAGGCCTACTTGCAGGGGAGCCCAAACCAAACCAAAGCAGATGTTACAGGCTGAATTGTGCTCTTCCAAATTCATATGTTGAAGTCCTAACCCCCAGGTCCTCAGAATGTGTCTGTATTTGGGGACAGGGTACTATGGTCTGAATGTTTGCATCCCACCAAAATTCAGGTTGAAACCTAATTTCCAGTGTGATGATATTATGAGGTGGTGGCTTTTGGGAGGTGAGAGCTCTGCCCTTACGAATAAGATTAATGCCTGTATCAGTCCGTCTTCGAATTTCTGTCAAGAAACACCTGAGACCAGCTAATTTATAAAGAAAAGTTTGATTGGCTCATGGGTCTGCAGGCTGTACAGGAAGCATGGTGCTGGCATCTGCTCAGCTTCTGGGGAGGCCTCAGGAAGCTTCCAATCATGACAGAAGGTGAAGGGGGAACAGGTGTCTCACGTGGCCAGAGCGGGAGGAAGAGAGAGTTGAGGGGGAGGTACCACACACTTTTAAACAACCAGCTCCCATGAGAACCCACCACTGTCAGGAAGACAACACCAAGCCATGAGGTATCCACTGCCAAGCAAACACCTCCCACCAGGCCCCATCTCCAACTTTGGGGATTACATTTTTTTTTTTTTTTGAGATGGAGTTTCACTCTTGTTGCCCAGGCTGGAGTGCAGTGGCGTGATCTCAGCTCACTGAAACCTCCACCTCCTGGGTTCAAGCGATTCTCCTGCCTCAGCCCCCCAAGTAGCTGGGATTACTGGCGTCTGCCACTATGCCTGGCTAATTTTTTGTATTTTTAGTAGAGAGGTGGTTTTACCATGTTGGCCAGGCTTGTCTTGAACTCCTGACTTCACGCGATCTACCCACCTCGGCCTCCCAAACTGCTGGGATTACAGGCGTGAGCCACCGTGCCTGGCCAGGGATTACATTTCAACATGAGATTTTGGTGGGACAAATATCCCAACCATATCAATGCCCTTATTAAAGAGGCTCCAGGGGCCAGGTGCGGTGGCTCACGCCTGTAATCCCAGCACTTTGGGAGCCTGAGGCGGGCACATCATGAGGTCAGGAGATCGAGACTATCCTGGCCAACTTGGTGAAACTCTGTCTCTACTAAAAATACAAAAATGAGTTGGGCGTGGTGGCGCATGCCTGTAATCCCAGCTATTCGGGAGGCTGAGGCAGGAGAATTGCTTGAGCCAGGGAGTCGGAGGTTGCGGTGAGCAAAGATTGCGCCACTGCACTCCAGCCTGGTGACAGAGTAAGACTCCGTCTCAAAAAAATAAATAAAAAGAGGCTCCAGGGAGCTTGCTTACTCAGTCCACCACGTAAGGACACAGCAAGAAGGCACCATCTATGAACCAGGAAGCAAAACAGTCCTCATCAGGCACCAATCTGCTGGCACCTTGATCTCGGACTTCCCAGCCTCCAGAACTGTGAGCAATAAATTTGTTGTTTTTAAGCCGCCCAGTCTGTGATGTTTTGTTTTAGCATCCCAGACTAAGTAAGGGTTTAAAAGAGGTGATTAAGTTAAAATGAGGTCATCAGGGTGCACCCCAGTCCGACATAGCTGATGTCCTTATAAGAAGAGGAAATTAGGACACAGACATATGCCATGTGAAGACGCAGGGAGAATGTGACATCTGCAAGCCAAGGAGAGAGGCTGCAGGAGAAACCAGCTCTGCTGACACTTTGATCTCAAGCTCTGGCCACCAGAACTGTGAGCAAATAAGTGTCTGTTGTTTAGGGCACCCTGTCCATGGCACCTTGCTCCGATAGCCCCAGGAAACGAATCCACAGGTATGTTCTCTTATCATCTCCATTTTACAAGCCAAGAAACCCAGGCTCTGAGAGGCAAAGGATTCACCCAGAGTCCCACAGCTAGTAAGAGGCAGAGCCCGTATTCAAACCCGAGTCTTTGGGCAGCAGGGCTCAAGTCCTTGGCGATGGGGCTGCCAGAGGGCCAAGCTGGTCTTCAGACCCTCAGGTCCAGAATTCTCCCAGTCTCCTCCCCTGCGTTTGGTGGCTTCTCCCTCCAGCCACCCGCCTCCTTCCTTCACCTTGTTGGAGGCAGCTCCACGTCCCTGCCTCTGAGTCCCTGCCTCTGAGTCCCTGCCTCTGAGCTGCTGGCTTCAGCATTGCGGGGGAGCAGCCTTTCTCCAGCTCCTTTCCTCCCGGCCCTCCACTGAAGGCTCTTCTGCCAGCTGCACACGTGTACACACACACACACACGCACACACACACACTTGCAAACTCACAAACACACTTGCAAACTCACACACACACACTTGCAAACTCAGTCACTCTCACACTCACTCCTCACACCCTCACACACTCCTTACACACGCACTCCTCGCACACACCTCACATGCACTCACACACACGCACACACTCCTCACACACTCCTCACACACACACTCCTCACACACACGCACTCCTCACACACGCACTCCTCACACACACACTCCTCACACACACTCCTCACACACACACTCACACACATGCACTCCTCACACACGCACTCCTCACACATGCACTCCTCACACTCCTCACACACACGCACTCCACACACACACTCCTCACACACGCACTCCTCACACACACTCCTCACACACACTCCTCTCACACACGCACTCCTCACACACTCACACACTCTTCACACACACACTCCTCACACACGCACTTCTCACACGTACTCCTCACACACACACTCCTCATACACTCATGCACTTCTCACACACACTTCTCACACACTCACACTCCATGCTCACCCCTTTCCAGCAGCCACCCGAGGCTCTCCCTCCTGCCGTCCTGAATGTCTGTTGCCGCACAGTGGCTTTGGGGGCTCCCCTGGGGACCTCCACGCCCCCACCTGACCCTGCCCAGGTGGGTGCCCTCCTCCTGTGCCGTACCAAGGCCTGGAGCGGGGAAGGGTGCTGCTCAAGGAGGCGCCACAGCCCTCGGTGGGGCTGGGATTTGGCCCTGGTCTCGGGGCCAGCCCATCTCCAGGAGTGGCCTAACTCAGAGAATGAGACTGATTCCAAAATGTCGCAGCTAACGCAGGTTCTTCCCTGAGAGCAGACAGCAGTGTGGGGTGGGGGCTGGCATGTGCAGTCGGGGGTCACCCTGCCCTTCCTGCCGCCCTGGGGGCTCCTGTGCGGCTGCCTGGCTCCTCAGGCATCCGGGCGCCCCGCAGAGACCCTCAGAGACTCCCACCACGTGGGGAGGGAACGCGGGCAACCGCACGTGTCATGGGCCAGGCTCCTTGCCGGCTGGAGCCTCGGCGCAGAGAGCCAAGCCAGGCCGGAGTGCGTGGTCTAGCCGAGGAAATACGTGCAATTCTTCACAAGCGGATGTCACTTCCTGCCTGTGACAGATGCTGGGAGAGGCTTAGGCAGTCAATAATGGGGTGATTGGAGCCAGTCTAGGGGGAGGCTGGGGAAGGCTTCCTAGAGGGATTGGCACCAGGGCCTAGATCTGAAGAATGAGTGGGAGTTGCCTGGGTGAAGGAAAAGGGAACAGCATTGCAGCTGGAGGGGAACAGCATGTGCGAAGGGCCTGTGCAGGGAGGGACCCGGGAAGTAAAGGGGCAGAGAAGGCCTGCCAGGTGGAGCCCAGTGACCTGGGGGGAGGTGAGTCTTCCAGATGAGGCTGGAAAGGCTCCCAAGGGCTGGGCCGTGCAAGGCCCTAAGGCCATGATGAAGACGCTTGTCTTTATCCAGCACAGGTTTGTGCTCAGAAGCCCCTACACCAGCTGCTGCGTGATGGAGAACAGGAGTCAAAGCACGGAGGCCGGCAGAAAATCAAGAGGCCGGTCCTGTGCATGGGCAAGAGGCCTCAGGGATATATTAGCTGGTAAGAATATTAAAGAAAAAAAAAGAAAAAAGACCAAAGACTCCAGCACAGCAGTGACTATAACATTCAGTCTTTATTTCAAAACTGGAGGAACCTTGGAGATTCCTGGTTTATGGACTTGTTTTAAGATGAGGAAACCAGAGACCAGAGAGAGGAAGTGCATTGCCCCTCAGTGGGCAAAAAATATTCATTCCACAAATATTATTTATTTATTGTTATTATTATTATTTTGAGACAGAGTTTTGCTCTTGTTGCCCAGACTAGAATACAATGGCACGATCTTGGCTCACCACAACCTCCGCCTCCCGGGTTCAAGAGATTCTCTTGCCTCAGCCTCCCGAGTAGCTGGGATTACAGGCATGCGCCACCACGCCCAGCTAAATTTGTATTTTTAGTAGAGATGGGGTTTCTCCATGTTGGTCAGGCTGGTCTCAAACTCCCAACTTCAGGTGATCCACCCGCCTCGGCCTCCCAAAGTGCTGGGATTACAGGCGTGAGCCACCGGACCCGGCTATTTATTATTTTTGAGGCAAGGTCTCACTTTGTCACCCAGGCTAGAGTGTAGTGGCAAGATCTCAGCTCACTGCAATCTCCGCCTCCCAAGCTCAAGTGATCCTCCCACCTCAGCCTCCCATAGTGTTGGGATTACAGGCGTAAGCCACCATGCCTGGCCCTAATAAACATTTATTGAGCACTGACTAGGTGCCCAGGCACTGTGCCAGGGACAGGGGATATAAAGATGAGTGAGATACCTGTCCTGCCCTACTAGGGGTGCACTAGGAACAAACTGCATGGTCTGAATGCAGGAAGGAGGAGAGGAAGAAAGGCAGGAGGGAGGCGGGAGAGAGGAAAGAGATGATAATGATGATGACAAAATTCTACTTACTGAGCATTTTCCAGTGCCAGATATTGTGTCGAGCCTTCTGTAAGCAGGAGCTTGTTAATTGCTGCAAGACTACTCAGAAGGGCTGCTATGCCATTTTACAGATGTCAGGATTAGGGTCAGGGAGGGGAAGTGACCCGCTCCAGGCCACACAGTCATGGGCTGCCTCACCCCAGGCATGAGTAAGGGGCAGGGCCCGCCGTCTGGGCTCCGAGGCCAGGCCAGGCCCTTATCCCCTCTTCCCCCAGAGCCGCTGCTCTCACCTCCTCCTGGCCTGACCAGGGGCCCAAGGAACGAGCTAAGGGGATGGCGGCTAGAGACACCAGAAGGGCCACTGGGCTGGTGACCCTGGGAAGTTCTGCTCCTTCCCCATCCAGCGGAAGGGCCCAGGCTGGGCAGATGAAAGTCACAGAGAGGTCAGGAAGGGAAGATGAAGCAGAATGTATTGGCACTGCTGGCGTCCACCTCCCCTCTCACCCTCTACTCTCTCCATCCTCCCTCTCCCCCAACAACAAGGCAACCTCAGTAAGTCCACAGTCTCCACAGGGAAAAGGGGTCTGGATGGGGAGTGGGCACCCTGTCCATCCCCCTTTCTCCAGCCCCTCCCCAAGGCACAGCCTTGGCCAAATCTGATATCTCCCCACATCACCTTTGCACACGTGCTGCAGACCCCTTCTGCACTGACAGCCTCCTTGCTCATGCATCCAGATGTGTGCATTCATCCATTCATTCATTCATCCATTCAACAAGTGTTCTAAGCCTCTACTCCGGGCTAGGCCCCATGTTGGGCACTGGAGACAGGGGGCACATGGCCTCAGAGTGAAGAGAGATGTCATGAGTGATTATTGTCGATGTAGTTAGTGCTGAGACCAGGGGAGCAAATGGGGGATGGTGATGCCATGGGTTCAAAGGGGAGGGGCAATCACTCTGGTGGGGTAGCAGTCAGGGAAGGCTACCTGGAGGAGGTGATAAATTCAAAGACTGAGTAGGAGCTAGTCAGGAAGGAGGACTAAGGACAAGTGTTCCAGAAGGAATGGCATGGGTGAAGGCCTGGACTGCCATGAAACATGGCCCGCTTCAGGAATGGATAGGAGGATGGCAGGCCTAGGTCACATGGTACAAACTGGGGAGTTGGGGGGATGAGGCTGAGAGGCTGGCAGGTGCCAGGCCGGGCAGGGTGGTGTTGGCCATGGTGAAGATTTCAACTTCTCCCTGGAGCAATGGGGGGCTCTGAGCAGGGGAGTAACATGGCAAAGGTGAATTTCAGAATGCTCATCCGGGCTGCAGATATACCTGCACACACATACCTCATGTGCCTTCTTGTACACACATGCCTGCAACCTGTACCTGTACACACATACCTGTATACGAGCACTCCTGCATACATGCATACCTGCACACCCAGACACCCACAGGGGTGCACCTGAGCGCCCAGCCCTGAGCTGAGCTCTTCACAAACATGGCATCCCATTGGGTCCTCCAGGTAAGCTCATCCTATTATCTCCATTTTACAGAGGAGGAAGCCGAGGTTGGGAAAGGTGGAGGGACTTGCCCAAGTCACACAAACGACAACTCAGCAGAGCTGAGAATTGGCACCCAGGGCAACTGGAGTCCATCCTGAGCTTGTCACTGCTGGGCTCTGAGACCTCCTGGTGAAGAAGGACAGTGGCAGAGACAGCCCGACCCAGAGAAACCCAGCAACGCTACTTTCTAAGGGCATTTTTCCCTCTCATTTGGAATCCTGAGCCTCCTGCTCGTCCTGTAGGCCACACCCAGCAAACAGGTGGGTTTCATTTCCTGGAGAAACCACAGATGGAAAGTCCCAGCCATGGGCTCCGTGTGACCTGGTGGCCTTAAGAAGCTCCCCCCACCGCCCCTCAGCCCTTTAATCATTTACAAAGCAGGGCCACACAGAGCATCTATTTTCTTTCTGGAACATCAGAGCTGGCTGGGAACTGGGAGAAGAGCTGGAGCAACAGCCTGCATCCATTTCCTCTTGCTGCAATAACAACTGATCACAAGGTCAGTGGCTTAAACAACACAGATTTACTCTCTTACAGTCTGAAGTAAGAGCCAAGATGTCAGCGGGGCCGTGTTGCTTCCAGAGGCCCTAGGGAAATCCATTTCCTTGCACTTCCAGCTTCTAGAGGCCACCTGCGTTCCTTAGCTTGTGGCCTCATCCTCATTCTTCAAAGCCAGGCATGTAGCATCTTCCGGCTCCTCTCTCTCGCTCTGACCTTCCTGCCTCTCTGTTACAAGGATCCACTTTTGTGGCTAAAATGGGTCCATCCTCCCCAGCCTGAATGTGAAGACCCCCTCCTCCACGGCACCCCATTGCCCAGGACAAGGATGGGGCCCATCACTGCTGCCCAGAGGATAGGGAGACCCTCTCCAGGTTTCCTGGGAAGGCATCAAGATGTTCCCAAGGCTCAAAGAAAAAAGAAATGGCTGGGCATGGTGGCTCATGCCTGTGATCCGAGCTCTTTGGGAGACCAAGGCAGGAGAACCACTTGAGCCCAGGAGTTTGAAACCAGCTTGGACAGTGATGGGCAAACCCCATCTCTACAAAAAATAAAAAAGTTAGCTGGATGTGGTGGTGCACACCTGTAGTCCCCAACTATTTTGAAGCGAGATCACTTGAGGCCTTGAGGCTGGGAGGTTAAGGCTGCAGTCAGCCATGACTGCTCCACTGCACTCCAGCCTGGGCAACACCGTGAGCCCTGATCTCAAAAATAAATAAATAAACAAATAAAGATGCTCCCAAGGGTGCTGGGCTCTGTTGGCCCAGGCCTGTAGTCCTGCTCCCTTGCCAGAAGTAAGAGCTGGCCTAAGGGAGAGCTGAAGCTTGCTCTGACGGGGACTCCTAAGTCCCTACAGATTCTGCAGATTCTCCTAGGGATCGGTACCTCCTGGTTTGGGGAATGGTCCCAGGAGCTGATCAGTTGGGCCGCACTAGGCTCTGGACCTCCCTTCTGGGGGGAAGAGGAGGGGACTCCAGGGCCTGGGACCAAGGGCATGTCCAGGGAGCTTGGAGCAGGGAAGCCCTGCCCTGCCCTATACCTGCTGAGCAAGAAGCAAGAGCAGAAGGACTCTTGCTCCCTCTCTGAGCCTCAGGGGTCTGTTAGGAAGGTGGGGATACCCTCAAAGCCTCCCTCCTGGGTCCTGTGGGTCAGTGCAACCTGTTGAGCATGCCCTGCCTATTTAGAAGAGGCAGGGACGCCAGGGACAAATCTTGTGCTAAGCAGACATGGGCCTTCATGGGGCTTCCATGGTACCATGAAGACAGCCATGGCCCTGCCTGGGTCCTGGAGAGAAGGGGATGAGAAGGAGAGCTGCTGCTCGCTTGCAGCTCAGCTGACACCCAACACAAGCAAAAAGATCTTTCTGCTTCCAAGGCACTGAGACACGGAGGTTGTTCATTACCACAGCACAATCCAGCAAGAGGTGACCAACACACTCTCCCCAGCTGCATCTAGTTGCAGCTGGTGCACTCCCTGTAGGCCCTCTTTCTCACTTCTGTCTGCTGTTAGGGACTCTACAGCCCAGGACCCCAGGCTGGAGAAATCAGCAAGCTAGTTGATTTCTCCCTCTCCCTCAATTTCCACAATTCTTCAGTTGCTGGGGTCACACGACTCTGCAGTCCAGAACTCCTCCCCCTTAGCGATCGGCTCTTCCCCAACCCCTCCCCAACCTCTCTTCCCTGCAGCCCGAGAACTCCCTGCTTGCTGGGCATAGTGTCTGCACCCCAATTATGGGAGCAGAACAGAGGTCCCTCACCTGGGGTATGCCATGAGTAGAACTCAGGACATTCATGAACTTGGATGGAGAAAAAAAAAATCCCATCTCCATTTTCTCTAACATCTAACTACAGTGTAGTATTTCCTTCCATGATGATCATACCCAGCAAAGCCAGAAGTCAGTGGTACCTGCGGCACTGTTACCAACAGAAATCACAGCTGTCTTCTGATCACAACAAAGCTGGTGCAGATTTCTCAAAATCTCACTCATCACTCCGTTGCAGACCCGCCGCCACATCTTGTTAATGCTTAGTAAAGAGGCACATTTATTATCACATCACAAATGTGATTTATTTTTTCTTTTCTTTTTTAGATGGAGTCTCACTCTGTCAACCAGGCTGGAGTGCACTGGCGCAATCTCGGCTCACTGCAGTCACCTCCTCTCAGGTTCAAGTGATTCTCCTGCCTCTGCCTCCTGAGTAGCTGGGATTACAGGTGCATGCCACCACGCTCTGCTAATTTTTGTATTTTTAGTAGAGACGGGGTTTCACCGTGTTGGCCAGGCTGGTCTGGAACTCCTGACCTCAGGTGATCCGGCTGCCTCAGCCTCCCAAAGTACTGGGATTACAGGCATGAGCCACCACACCTTGCCACAAATGTGGTTTTTAAATGTGGTTTTTAAAAATATCTTGATAGCCATATTTCCAGTGACTCGGTTTCCTGTGTAATCCTACGTATTTGTTATGCATGTACAAAGAAGACAGGGCATGAAGGTGTCACCAGATGCCACAGCAGCCCACAGCACAGAAAAGGTCACAACCACCTACTTCAGAGAAAGGCACTGGGGACCTTGGCTATGTGGACAAGAACCAGGAGCTTGGGCTTCCCAGGCACAGCAGGGAAGCCTGCAGGGGCCTGACAGGTGGATAACCTAGTGCCCAAGGCAGGGCTGGGTGGAGGAGAGAGTGGCACCCTCTGATTGTCTGAGGTCTCTATCTCTAGAGGACAGTACCACAGATTGGAAGCCAGGTCTTTCCAGAGTCCCTGTGACCTCCTCTTTCTGCATGAAACCCAGATTGAGTAGGAAAATGTCCCCAGGAGGAAGCAGCCACTGCCCAAGGGAGACAGCTAGAGACTCGCTGGGCAGGCTACATCCCTGGGCTTCTCTCGGACCCGACAAGAGCCTGTCCATCCCTTCACCTCCACTAAGATCAGGGCACCCCAGGAGTCTCGGCAGGGCCACCCCAGGCTCTGCTCTGCCCTGGAAAGGTCCTCGTTTCACACTGACTCAGTTTCAGTTTTGGAAGGAGGTCAGAGGTTGCCTCCATGTCCCTTCTCCCCACTGGTTCTCTGGAACCCTCCATCATAGATGTCCCTGCCCTTCCTTCCCTGCTCAGGAGCAAAACCCCCAACCCCCAGGAGCTGGTCTCTCTAAGTCCTCTTGGATCAGGCCAGGCTCAGCCCTGGAGGCCACAGCTCAGGCCCTGAGCCAGCCCAAGGGGCAGGGCGAGGAACCTACATTGTTGTGTGCCCAGCCCCTTTAAGGGGCCCATACGGACAAGAGCAAATTCAGTAGGTTGCGTCATCCACTCTATAGTGATTAAACAGGGATGGTGGAGAAGTAGAGAAGTGTCAGCTCTGGAACCAGGTGGCCCTAGATTGAAATCCTAGCTCTGCTATTTACCAGCCAGGTGGCCTTGGATAGGTGATTTGACCAATACCGTTCCTCCGTTTCCCCACCTTGAGTGTTATTGCAAGGATTAAATGAGTTACTACAAAGTAAAGTACTAAATACATATCAGCTATTATTATTATTACTACTACTATTATTATTATGAGCCAGGAGATGGGGACTGTGACATAGGCTGCTGGTCTCTTCTCTCCTCTTCCATAAGAATAGTTCACCCCATCCTTAGCTGGGTGTATGGCCACCTGGCCCAAAACTACATTTCCCAGCATCCCTTGCTGCTAGATGTGACCATGTGATCAAGTTCTGGCCAATGAGATGCCAGGAGAAGTGGTTTGGCCCACTTCCTGGGAGTTTTCTTTAAAGGACAGGGGCAATGCCTTCTCCTTTTCTTCTCCTTTCTGCTGACCAGAATGTGAGCATGGAGTCTGGAGCAGGAGCAGCTGTTGTGCACTGTGAGGTTGAAGCCGTGTGTTGAGAATAGCAGAGCAACAAAGCAATAGGAGCTGGAGCCCCTAGGGGCCATGAAGCCCCTACCAGCCCTGGACTGCTTAGATTTACTTGAGCAAGAAATAAACCCTTGATTGTTTAAACCGGTGTGATTTGAAGTCTGCCCTGTTGGAAGCACAACCAGATCCTCTTTAACGAGGCACAGCAGAGAGTAACATGCACAGCCCCTGCCCTCTGGGAATCACTGTCTAGTTGGGGAGAGAGACAATAATCATGTAAACAAAGAAGGAAGTCGTGGTGGTTATGAAAAGAGCTATGAACGATGGGCCAGAGAACGTGGTGGGGAGTGGAGGAGGCATGGACCGACCCTGGGAGGACTCTTGAAGAAGGAGGCAGCTAGCTACCATCTAACTGGGAAGAGCAGGGAAGAGTGTCCCTGCAAAGGGAATGAAGGAGCACAGAAGGAGGCCGCTCAGCTCTGTGATTCAGAGCACAGGCCTCAAGAGTCGGGGGTCCTGGGCCCCTGGCCTGGCCCTGCCTCTCCCCCGGTGTGGGACCTGGGCAAGCCACTCCCCTTCCTCTCTCTGAGGCAAAGTGCTCAGCAAGTTCCTGACACATAGTAGATGTTCAACGAGAGATCATGGTTTTGGGTGGGGTGTGGTGGCTCACACCTATAATCCCAGCACTTTGGGAGGCCTAGGCAGGCAGATAGCTTGAGCCCAGGAGTTCAAGACCAGCCTAGGCAACATGACAAAACCCCGTCTCTACAAAAAATACAAAAATTAGCCAGGTGTGGTGGCACAGGCCTGTAATCCAGCTACTCAGGAGGCTGAGGTGGGAGGATCTCTTGAGCCTGGGAGGCAGAGGTTGCAGTGAGCTATGATTGTGCCACTATACTCCAGCCTGGTGACATAGCAAGGAAGGAGAGAAAGAAAGAGAAGAAAGAGTGAGAAGAGGGAAAGAAGGAAGGGAGGGAGGGAGGGAGGGAGGGGAGGGAAGAAGGGGAAAAGAAGGAATAAAGAAAGATTACTGTTTTAGAAGACACAGGTGAAATGTGAATGAAATCAGAGATGGGGTAAAGCCTGGGAGGGTCTGTTAGGTCTTTATAGCAGAGGGAGCATTTAGATTGGGTCCTGAAGGTTGTATAGGAGTTTTACTAAGATAGTGGGAAGAAAGGATATTCTAGGGGAGTGGATCACAGGCCCTTTCTATTCCCCATCCACTTTGGGGCCGGCCCCATCCACCAGGCCTCTTCAGATCCTAGCTTCCAATTTCTGTTTCTGTCTCTGGCCAGTCCATTCAAGGTGGGGTCTGAAATCCAGGTTGAGATGTTCTTCTAACCCCAACTAAGCCCTCCTGCTTTTTTTTTTCGTTTTTTTTTTTTTTTCTGGTGGTGGAGGGAAGGGGACAGAGTCTCACTTTATCTCCCAGGCTGGAGTGCAGTGGCACAATCTCGGCTCACTGCAACCTCTGCCTCCTGGGTTCAAGTGATTCTTCTGTCTCAGCCTCCCGAGTAGCTGGGACTATAGGTGTACACCACCATGCCCAGCCAATTTGTGTATTTTTAGTAGAGACAGGTTTTTGCCATGTTGGCCAGGCTGGTCTAGAACTCCTGACCTCAGGTGATCCGTCCACCTCGGCCTTGCAAAGTGCTGGGATTACAGGCATGAGCCACCGAGTTTGGGCCCTCCTGCTTCTTTGGGTCCCATCCTATGAGTTTCCTCAACTGGGGGATGGGGACACTGTGGTCTGGATTCTATTGGTGCCCAGGTCCTGCAAGACCCCGCTTAACCAGGGCCCTAGCAGACCCCCTGCCACCACTTTACCTCTGCCACATCAAACTGCCCTTCCCTCAACAGCAAGCCCTTCTTCTGTCTCCCCTCATAAAAGCCAGCTCACAGTTCCCACTGCCCCCTACTCTTCCCCTCCCTCCACTCACTCTCCTTAGCCCTAACCTTTGCTTTCAGCTCAACCATGTCACTTCCTCCCAGAAGCCTTCCCCTGATGTCTGTGGCTGGTTTAGGGCCTTTACGCTGAGCTGCCTGTAGTCTCACCATCACAGCACATATTTGTGGGTGTCTTTGATTCATGTCTGTTTCACTATACAGTGAGCCTATGCACAGAGGTATCCACAGCATTAGCACAGGGCTATACATAGTAGGTGCTCAGGAAGGAAGGAGGAGACTTAGTCCAGCCCTCCAGGAAAGATGAGAAAACCAGCTGAGA
This sequence comes from Homo sapiens, assembly GCF_000001405.40. Classification (NCBI taxonomy): domain Eukaryota; kingdom Metazoa; phylum Chordata; class Mammalia; order Primates; family Hominidae; genus Homo; species Homo sapiens. Next base: position 129,586,637 of record NC_000009.12, read on the forward strand.
AGCTGGGCCCAGGTGGGTCAGGTCTCCTGTCTGCTGCCCCCAGGGGGAGCCCCCCATCCGGCCTCCCCTCTCCCCTCTGCCTGCTGAACCTGGCAGTGGAGTTGGGTAGGAGTGGGGGAGTGGGAGTTGGTGGTAGGAGCTGCAGATAGAATCCCCCAGGGAGGCAGAGGCGAGAACGCTGAGCTCCTAGATCTCCAGAAGAGCTACAGCTGGCAGGGAAGGAGGCGGATGAAGCTCACATCTGGTTCCACCCACCCAGGCTGTGGCTCCAGTGGGCAGCACCGCCCTCCCTGCCCCAGGACTAACCCCTGCCCCCCTCTTCCCTCCTCCCCACACTGTCTGCCTTCCTGGGGAGGCACAGCTGCAGATTTAGCCGCAGATTCGTATGTGTGCATACAGCCCAGTTGTAGGTGCTGTGTGCGCATCAGAACACCAACTCCTGAGAGCTGACATTGAACCCCACCTTGAGACCTGAGGCCAATTTGCTATTATGTTAAACGTACTGAGCCCCTGCTCACCCCGGACAAATGGACGGCACCTGGGCCTCTCACCTCCCAGGTGGAATGGAGTTCCAGGTTTGATCTTGTTGGGATAGAAAGATTAAGGAAAGTGGCCGGGCGCAGTGGCTCACACCTGTAATCCCAGCATACTGGGAGGCCAAGGCGGGTGGATCACTTGTCGAGAGTTTGAGACCAGCTTGGCCAACATGGTGAAACCCCATCTCTACTAAATAGAAAAAATTAGCTGGGTGTGGTGGCAGACACCTATAATCCCAGCTGCCAGGGAGGCTGAGGCAGGAGAATCGCTTGAACCCGGGAGGCAGAGGTTGCAGTGAGTCCAGCCTGGGCAACAAGAGTGAAACTCCGTCTCAAAAGAAAAAAAATAAGATAAAGGAAGGAAGAGGGGAGAAGACAGCTGTACAGTGGAGATGGATTTATTGAGAGTAAACCTGAGAAGGGCTCTGGCCGGCATTACAGCCTGAGGCTTTTTAAAGGGCCCGGTGGGGGAAGTGTGCTTTGAGAGAAGATCCTATTGGGAAGGAGTTGGGGAAGGGCTGGCTAGTTATGACGAATGGGGACTTCGTTAGGCTCTGTTGCAGTTAGGGCCTATGCTCTGTTGAAGCTATGGGCGGGGCTGACATTTGCGGACAGTTCTGAGACATGGAAATTTGATACTTTAAGATGGTGGAGACCGGGCGCAGTGGCTCATGCCTGTAATCCCAGCGCTCTGGGAGACCAAGGCGGGCGGACCACCTGAGGTCGGGAGTTCGAGACCCGCCTGACCAACATGGAGAAACCCCGTCTCTACTAAAAATACAAAATTAGCCGGGCATGGTGGCACTTGCCTGTAATCCCAGCTACTTGGGAGGCTGAGACAGGAGAATCACTTGACCCCGGGAGGCGGAGGTTGAGGTGAGCAGAGATTGCGCCACTGCACTCTAGCCTGGGCAACAAGAGTGAAACTCTCTCTCAAAAAAAAAAAAAGAAGATTGTGGAGTCTCGTTAAGATGGCAGCACTCTTGTCCTATCAATCCAGACTCTATGGTTAGATAGGGAGATGGGCTGGCGTGCTTTTTCTGGCTACTTCCTGCTGAAAGGGGGCCGTAAGATTGCTGGTTTTGGATTGACTGGAGGAGTAGCACCGTCTTCAGGTGTTGTTGGGGGGTAGTTTGTGAGATGGCTGTGATCCTGTCGGTAAGGAACATTTAACCAGGAACTGATTTGGTTGGTTTTCTTGTCGCTCCCTCATTCTTTGAGCTCTTTCCTTAAGTTTTGGACGGCATCCCTTACCAAGCCTGGCTGGTTGAGATAGAAGCAGCATTCTTCCCCTAGAGAGAGGCAGGAACCTCCCTTCTCTGTTGTAAGGAGGTCGAGTCCTCTCCGGTTTTGGAGGACTCCTCCGGCTGGGGAGTCTAGCTGGTCTTGGATTCTTACAAGGCCCTTGGCTATATCTTCTGAGGATTCTTGTAGGTCTGTGGAGAGAGACTTAAAATTTGAGAGTGAAGTGGCTAATCCCCCAGCTCTTAAACCAATGCCTGAGCTGATGCCCAGAACAGCCTATAAGGCAATGATTTGGACTGCCCTTGTCTGTTTGACATGCTGAATGGAAGGCACCGGCAGGGCTGGGTTAGGGGGAATTATTCCGAAGCCTGGAGAAAGGGGGCCCAGAGTACAGGTGCCTGTCCAATCGGTTGGGAGGCAGAGGTAAGTGTTGGTGCCAGGCAGGAAAACAGGCCTGCTTCGGAAATGCAGGTAGAGATATGAAGGGAAAAAAGGTGGATTAAGGGCCTTTGGTTGTTTGTGGTGGGTTCCTGGCTCCAAACAGACAGTGTAGATGCAAGGAGGCTCTGATGATGGTGAAGATGTGTTGGGAGTCAACCTTTGAACATTTGATGCGATCTGGAGCAGGACCAGTTATGGATAGCCACGGATAGAGATGTGTGTTGGGGATAGAGCAATTAAAGGAGGTAGCCGTGATGTGGGGGGTGGCTATAAAGCGAACTGGTTGGAGGAGCAACCCACTGGCTTCTGGTGACACTTGATATTCAACCCGGTTAGTTTGATGGTCTGTAGCGTGCTGGATAGAAATGGTTTTGTTACATTCTCCTGGAATGAGGGATCCTATGGGGCACATGCCCTGTGTGGCTGAAAAACAGTGGAGCCCATTGAAGGAGAGGGATATGAAGAGTAAGGGGTCCTTCAATAGAGGGGGCGGGGGGGAGCATATTTTGTGTTTTGTTTTGTTTTTGAGACAGGGTCTCGCTCTGTTGCCCAGGCTGGAGTGCAGTGTTGCCATCTCGGCTCACTGCAACCTCCGCCTCCCAGGTTCAAGCAATTCTCCTGCCTCAGCTCCCCGAGTAGCTGGGATTACAGGTGTGCGCCACTGCGCCCGGCTAAAATTTTGTATTTTTAGTAGTGATGGGGTTTCACCCTGTTGGTCAGGCTGCTCCTGAACTCCCAACCTCAAACCATCTGCGCGCCTTGGCCTCCCAAAGTGTTGGGATTACAGGCATGAGCCACAGCGCCTGGCCGTGGGCATATTTTGTTAGAGAGTTATAATATGTTTGGAACAGTTTATTGGCTTGGTTAGCAAATTGGGTAGGGTAATTGCCAAGTACAGTGTCTGCCCTTTCAAAGCAGGAAGACCGCTTTTGGAGTTTATAAGTCAGGAATGTTTTTTGAGTTAACGTTGTAGGGAGAAGCGCCGATTGGGCTGTATATGCCGACAATGAGGAGAGTGATAGGCACATCCAACAATTATGAGCATAGGAAGGATTAGCTTGCCACAGCAGGGACTGAGTGAGATTCAAAGAAAGTTCCAGATGCTTAGCTTTGAGGAGTGACTTGATGCGGGCTGCGGATCCCATTGTAGTGAGGAAAGGTAAACTTAGGGGAGAGGGAACATCAGGCAGAAGGAAAAGAAAGTTATTTGGGTGGGGGAGAAATCCTAGGAGGTACCTTGAAGCCATAAGTCCAACAGAAGGTTAAAGGTTTGATTAGGGGAAACTAGAGGCTCCTCGTGAGGGGACCAGGTAATGTCTGAGCTAAGGAGTGTGAGGAAGAGGTGAAAATTGTGGGGAGAGGGCAACATAGAAGATTGATAGGCTTTTATTTATTTTTATTTTTATTTTTGAGACGGAGTCTCTCTCTGTCACCAGGCTGGAGTGCAGTGGCACGATCTTGGCTCACTGCAACCTCCAGCTCCCAGGTTCAAGCAATTCTCCTGCCTCAGCCTCCTGAGTAGCTGGGATTACAGGCGCGGACCACCACAACCGGCTAAGTTTTGTATTTTTAGTAGAGACAGGGTTTCACCATGTTGGTCAGGCTGGTCTCAAACTCCTGATCTCGTGATCCACTTGCCTCGGCCTCCCAAAGTGTTGGGATTACAGGCATGAGCCACCGCGCCCGGGTGATAGGCTTTTAATAGAGAGGTTTAGGTGGAAGTTTCTTCTTTGGGAATCCTGGTTAGGCAGACAGATGTAGGCCCCGTGGAAACACAGGAAAAGGTTGAGAGGGTTTTATTCTGAGTTGGTGGGGGGCTGGATGGTTTCTTTGAGGGATGAGGGGTGGAACAAATTAGGAATTCCCTTGAGCTTAGTGGCTGTGGGGTAGCCAGAATAATCTAATAAGGGCCATCCTGCTTGGGCTTAAGAGGGTTGCTGGGGGTTTCTCTTGGGGTTTGGAGAACCTAGTCTCACTGATGGAGAGAGGGGTTGTCTGTGCTTGGGAGTGGTTGGGGTAAGGTGCAGTTCACACATTTCCAAAGGAAACTGCGGACTGCCTGTAGGAGTGGAGTAACAAGGGAATCGGGGAGTGAAGGGGCTTTTTTGAGATGGCGTAAAAGAGGCAAGAGGTCTCCTGTACATGAATTAAATGCACTAATCATTAGGGGTTTGCGAGGGAGAGCCCTAATTTTGAGAAGGGCGAGGGGCAATAAGGTGGTCCAGTCTTTGTGGGTTTGTAAGGAGAATTTTGTGAGAGTATTTTTTAGAATGCAATTCATCCTTTCTACCTTCCCAGAAGATGGAGATCAGTAAGGAATATGGAATTTCCAAGTAATATGAAGGGCTTTTATAAGATTTGGGGAGGACAGGCCTGGTGTCTCATGCCTGTAATCCCAGCACTTTGGGAGGCCAAGGCAGGTGGCTAAAATACTAAAGTATTTTTTCGACTAAAAATACAAAAAATTATCTGGGTGTGATGGTGGGCACCTGTAATCCCAGCTACTCAGGAGGCTGAGGCAGGAGAATCGCTTGAACCCGGGAGGCAGAGGTTGCAGTGAGCTGAGATCGCGCCATTGCACTCCAACCTGGGCAACAAGAGTGAAACTTGGTCTCAAATATATATGTGTGTGTGTGTGTGTATGTGTGTGTGTGTGTGTATATATATATATATACACACACACACACATACACATACACACAGAAAGTAGTTTGGCGGCCACAGTAGAGGCTCTTTTATTGGTGGCAGGGAGGCTTTCAGGGGGCATGAAACCATGTATCTAGCTAAAAATACAAAAAATTTCCAGACGTGGTGGCACACGCCTGTAGTCCCAGCTACTCGGAAGGCTGAGGCAGGAGAATCGCTTGAACCCGGGAGGCAGAGGGTGCAGTGAGCCAAGATCGCCCCACTGCACTCCAGCCTGGGCGACAGAGGACAGAGCGAGACTCCATCTCAAAAAAAAAAAAAAAAGATATTGGGGAATTTCTTGATTTGCTGAGGTCATTCTGGCTCATTTGTCAGCCTTGCGATTTCCTAAGGAAATATGACCCTCATTTGATTGGTGTTCCCTGCAGTGAATTATTGCCACTTTTTGGGAGCAAGGCAGCCTGTAACAAATGGCGAATGAGCTTTCCATTAACAATGGGGGTTCACTTTGTGGTGAGGAAACCGCGTTCACTCCAAATTTGGGCATTGGAATGAATGATGTTCTATGCATATTTGGAGTCAGTGTAAATATTGACCTGTTTTCCTGCTGCTAGGGTTAGGGCCCTGGTTATGGGCCTACCTGCTGGGAGGATGTGCCTGCTGGTAAGAAAGAGGCTTCTATGACTCTTCAGGGAGGGAGGACGGGGGTGTCATCACGGTATCCTTCCATGATAATATACCCTGCTGAGAAAGGAGGAACTCTGGACACACTGCTGTCTAGAAACCAGCCTGGAGCTCCCTTTATAGGTGCGTTGGTTAAATGATGGAACGTGATAAGGGAGTCATCAGTGATATCAGTGCAGGAGTGCAGGGGTGACTCTAAGAGGGGTGTTGAGGGTAAAAGGGTGGCGGTGTTAGGAGGGGAGCATTTACGGAGGGAGAGAAAGGATTGGAGAATGGCTGAGTGCAGGGTCTGGATGCGGGAAGGGGATACTGTTTGAAGTGCCCTGTGGCTGAGCATATCTTGCAAGTCATGTGATGAATAAACTTGCAGGGGTTTATAGAAGATGAAATTTTGTGCCTCTGGGATAATTAAAGAGGCTGTGGCTAAAATGTTTAGGCAAAGAGGCCAACTTTTTTTTTTTTTTTTTTTTTGAGACGGAGTTTCGCTCTTGTTGCCCAGGCTGGAGTGCAATGGCGCGATCTCGGCTCACTGCAACCTCCGCCTCCCAGGTTAAAGCGATTCTCCTGCCTCAGCCTCCCTAGTAGCTGGGATTACAGGCATGTACCACCATGCCCGGCTAATTTTGTATTTTCAGTAGAGATGGGGTTTCTCCATGTTCGTCAGGCTGGTCTCGAACTCCTGACCTCAGGGGATCTGCCCGCCTCGGCCTCCCAAAGTGTGGGGATTACAGGCATGAGCCACCGTGCCCAGCCGTGAGGCCAACTTTTATAGATAAGATCTAGCTGCTTGAAGAAGTATGCAACAGGTTGAAGAGAGTCCCCTGTGGGCTGGGCCAAAAGGCCTAAAGCTCCGTTTTGGGAGCTGTGTAAGTATAAATGGAAAGGTCGGCTGGGGTTAAGGAGACCCAAAGCAGGGGCCCAGGTTAGAGCTTGTTTTAAGCAGGACAAAGCATGATGAAGTTCAGGAGTAGGGGCAATAAGCTCAGCGAGGTTTCCCTTTGAGGCCTCATATAATGGCGTGGCAATCACTACAAAATTGGCAATCCATAGCTGGAAGTACTCCATGAGTCCCAAGAAAGAGAGACAGTCTCTTTTGGTATGAGGGAATAGGATGCTCTGGACCATCTGCTTGTGTGTTGAGGGAATTTCCCAGGTGGCAGGGGTAATCATGAGGCCCAGGTATGAAACCTTGGAGGAGGCTAATTGGGCCTTTTTTTTTTTTTGGACAGCTGGTAGCTGTACTGGGTGAGGGAGTTTAAAAGGGTAACAGTATGCTGAATAGAGAGTTCCTCTGAAGGGGAACAGAGCAGCAGATCATCTACATAGCGAAGGAGGATGGGAGGTGTTAGGCAAAGTTTAGAGAGGTCTGCTTGAAGGGCTTGTCCAAAAAAGTTGGGGGGCTGTGTCTGAAACCCTGGGGGAGGACAGTCCATGTGAGCTGTTGGGAAATGTTGGTATCTGGATCCATCTGGGTAAAAGCAAACAGGTTTTGGGAAGAAGGGTATAGAGGTATAGTGAAAAAGGCATCTTTTTTTTTTTTTTTTGAGACAGAGTCTCGCTCTGTCGCCCAGGCTGGAGTGCAGTGGCGCAATCTCGGCTCACTGCAAGCTCCGCCTCCCGGGTTCATGCCGTTCTCCTGCCTCAGCCTCCTGAGTAGCTGGGACTACAAGCGCCCGCCGCCATGCCAGGCTAATTTTTTGCATTTTTAGTAGAGACGGGGTTTCACCGTGTTAGCCAGGGTGGTCTTGATCTCCCAACCCCGTGATCCGTCCGCCTCAGCCTCCCAAAGTGCTGGGATTACAGGCGAGAGCCACTGTGCCTGGCCTGAAAAAGGCACTTTGAGGTCTAGTACTGAAAAATGACTGGTATGAGGGGGGATTCTGGAGAGGAGTGTATAGGGATTAGGAACGACTGGGTGTGTAGGGATGACAGCAGAATTGATTTGACGAAGGTCCTGGACAAGCCGGTAGGACCCATCCAGCTTCCGGACAGGGACAATAGGGGTGTTATGAGGGGAATGGGTTGGAATGAGGATGTTGGCAGCTAACAGTTGGGAGATGATGGGCTTGAGTCCCCGAAGCCTCTCAGGGCTGACAGAATACTGTTGGACTGTGATCTAATGAGAAGGATCCTTTAATGAAATTTTAATGGGGAGTGGTGGGCCGCCACGACTGCAGAATTTGTGTTGACCAAACAATAGGATTTGTTTGAGTTATAATGCTAAGGTCAGGTGTTGGCTCCTTAACTTCAGGTAGGGAGAATTTGGGTTCCTGGCATAAAAATAAGTAGGGATGGCTTTGGCCAAGAGCCCAAAGGTGGAGGAAGCCACGCAATTTGTGCAGCAGGTCTCTACTTAGAAGAGGCATGGGGCAATGTGGGATTAACAGGAAGCAATGTATGAGGGTGACGTCCCGAAAGGAACAATATAAGGGGAGTGTTTGGAGGGGAGTTTTCTGAATGCCCTTTATGCCAACAACAGAGATTAAGGAGCAAATTAGAGGTGTGGGGAACAATCTTGGCAGAGGGAAGGACGTGAGCAAAGGTAAATGAAGGAACTTCTTGCCATTTGCCATTTCGATAAATGAAGTTATCTAAATCCCTTAAAATTTGGTGGTCGAATGTGCCGTTTTCAGGCCAACGGTTGCCCTTGGCCTGAGGCCAGGCAGTATTGCAAAAGAATATAAGGCACTTTACTTTAATGTCCCCCTTTATACCGAGTTTAGAAAGGTTACAAATCAGGAAACCTAGAGGGGAGGAAGGAGTAATTTGAGATTGATTGGAGCCCATTGAGATTTGGCAAGGAAAGGCCAGGGGTGTCTGCCGTTAGACTAGGCATCCCCAGAAAAAGGGCAGAGACGGGAGATCCTCTCAAGAGGAGGTAGACTGAGGGGAAAGGTCAGGCATCCCTGAACGTCACCCTCCCAAGGTCTCTGATGGTCCTAATGGTCCCCAGGAGACCGGGACTGCGGACCTGAGTCTCCTGGGTAGCACAGGAGAGACAGGTGGGGGCAAACCTTACTAATTAGTGTCTGGTGTTGGATGTTTTAGAAGGAACCAGCAAAGGACCTCTCAAACTGGAGCCGTTGGGGAGAAACAGAAAGTAAATTGCCCAGATCCAGCGGTTGGAGGCAAAATTCTGGGTCCGGGAGTTTTGAGAACCCATCCAGGGGTAGCCCTGGCCACAGCCTCGAAGTCCTCTCCTGTCACTCAATTACCTCATGCAAATCACTTTTAAAAAAGAGGAAGAGTTGAGGGACTAGGCGGGAAGCCAGAGAACCCTCAGGATCCAGGAATTAGCCAGGGATGAGCTGTCGGGGCCCACTGCTTCCTGGGTTGCAAGAGTTCTCAGCCCCAAGACTCATCCCGGGGTTTGGCAGCAAGTATTGGAATAGAAAGATGAAGGAAAGAAGAGGCAAGAAGGCAGTTCTACAGTGGAGATGGATTTATTAAGAGTAAACCTGAGAAGGGCTTCTGGCCAGCAGGCTCAGGAGCAAGCTTCTCATATAGCCTGAGGCTTTTTAAAGGGCCTGGTTGGGGAAGTGTGCTTTTTTTTTTTTTTTTTTGAGACAGAGTTTCACTCCTGTTGCCCAGGCTGGAGTGCAATGGTGGGATCTCAGCTCACTGCAACCTCCGCCTCCCAGGTTCAAGCAATTCTCCTGCCTCAGCCTCCTGAGTAGCTGGGATTACAGGCGCCTGCCACCACACCCAGCTAATTTTTTTGTATTTTTAGTAGAGACCTGGTTTCACCATGTTGGCCAGGCTGGTCTTGAACTCCTGACCTCAGGTTATCTGCCCACCACAGCCTCCCAAAGTGCTGAGATTACAGGCATGAGCCACCGCGCCCAGCCCGGAAGTGTGCTTTGAGGAAAGATTCTATGTGGAGGAGTTGGGGAAGTGCTGGCTGGTTGTGACTGTTGGGGACTTTGTGAGGTTCTGCTGCAGTTACAGCCTTATGCTCTGTTGAAGCTATGGGCAGGGTTGACATTTGCGGACAGTTTTGAGACATGGAAACTTGATACTTTTAAGATGGTGGAGACTTGTGAAGATGGCGGCACTCTTGTCCTATTAGACACAGCCTGTTGGGGGCCCCTCTCTCTTGGCTCCTCAGGGGCCAGCATGGCCACCTCAATCCCACCAGCTTCGAGACCTCAACTTCTCTGTGGGCCTCAGTGTCCTCATCTGCAACTTGGAACAAAAACTCTGTCCTCAGCCAGCAGCCCTGGGGAGCTGGGAGAAACCAGGCAATCAGCCCACTAGGTGGGCAGAGGAGAGGGTTCCAGGAGACAGCTGCAAAGCCTCCTGGGACTCTGAGGACAGAGAACCCTGGGGGTGGGGCTGGAGCTTTCTAGGGGCTGCCAGTGGTTGAACCCAAGGGCCGAGGCGGCAGCTGGGGGCCCTCTGCAGTGAGGAGGAGGTCCCGGCTGGAGGTCGGGAGAGGGGTCACCCAGCTTTGCAATCTGATGGGCAGGGAGGAGAAAGAGGCTATGGTGCGCCTGCATGGGTGCATTGGAAGCTATAAGGCTCCAGTGCGCGGGGCCGATGGGCTCTAGGACCCTGGAATTCTCTCAGCACCCGCCCACACACTGACCAGTCCCCAAGGCTTATTAGTATTGTGATCGCTATTATCGAAGGACCCCCTCTCCCTGTCTCCTGCGCCCACCCACAGCTGTCCAGACTGGGGGATGCGAGGATGCCCTCCAGGTGTCCACAGCTGGGGTTCTGGGCCAGGGATTACCAGAGTCTGAGCAGCCTTGGGGGACGCTGAGGCAGGGGGCCGGGGAGGAGGGCACCCGGGAAGAGGGTAGGGCAGGAGGTTTATGGGAGGCCCCACAGGAAGAGAGGACGCCCTTCCCTCCCATCCCCCGCAGGGAGGAGCTGAGGCTGGAGCCTGGGAGGGGAAGATGGGAAAGGCGCTCCTGGCAGAAGGAACAGCGTGTGCTAAGGCCGGAGTGAGGCAGTAGCTGAGAAGCAGTTCTGTCTGGCCAAGGGGCCAGGAGGGAGGAAGAAACGGGTGGCGCGCAGGGCACCCACGGCAGGGCCTTGAATGCCGGGATAACTCATTCCTCGCTCCTAGCGCGGGGCTGGGCCGCCCTTGGGCCCTGGGGAGGGCGTCAGGCGGGACCCTTTGTCCCTCCCTCCGCCCCCTCCCCTTCACTCTCCCCTTTCTCCCCCTCCCGCCCCTCCCCTCCTCCTCCCCGCTCTCCCCGGCCCTGTCCCGGGAAGGCTGGACCGGCCCGCGGCTTGCCCTTTCAAGTCGGCCTCCCGGAGTCTCCGGAGCCGTCCGAGCGCTGGGGCCGCTGGCGCGGACTTCAAAGCCCGCCGCCCCCAGCCAGATCCGGTTGCGGGTGGGGCGGGCGAGCTGGGAGGGAGGCGGGTTTCGGTGGATTCCCCTTTCATCCCGCGGCTGCAGCCGGGCGCAGACCTCGGGGAGGCCCGGCGCGTCCCCGCTGGGCAAGTCCCTGCAGGGCAGCGACCGGGAACGGAGGGCTGGGGACGCCACGAGGCCGCGCCGCAGGGCGGGGGAGGCCTGAACCCAGACTGGGGGCTTCGGACCCGCCTGCGCTGTGGGACCTCAGGCCAGCGCCTACCTGTCGCTGGGCCTCAGCTTTCCTGAATGCCCTACTCCCTGCCCAGGACTCCTCTGGGGAGGGGCATTCGGGAACATTCAGTGGCCCTTGGACAGCTGAGATAGGAACAGGAAGCTAAGCTGGGAGCCCGGGCTCTCCTTGGGGTACCTGCCCGACCCCACCCATCCCACCGGAGAGGAACCGCTTCCTGCATCAGCCAAGCCCTGCCCGCAGTGTAACCCGTGGTCCAGCCTGGCCCTCTCTGGGCCTCAGCTTCCTGGAAGGCTGAGGGGGTGGCGGCTGAATGCCCTCCCTCCGGGTTGAGGTGTAGCGCATTCCTTCTTGCCGTCCTGTTTCCCGGTCCCTAAAGTAAGGGTGGAGGGAAATGGCTCTCCCTTTCTGGTGTAACCATAAGGAAGTGGCTGCCTGACATTCTGTAGCCGTCCGCGTGCCCCATCCAAGCCCCACAGAGCCCTGTGTGTAGATTAAGAACATCCTTTTTTTAGGTGAACAGCCTGAGGCAGAGGGGGTGTCGCTTGCCCCAGGTCTCAGCTGGCAGGAAAACTGGGACTTGACACAAAGTTACTTGGGCTTTCCTCCACCTTCCTCCCTGCCCGTGGTCCCCACTGATTGCAAAACAGTCATAGGGGAGGTGAGTCCAGGCTGGGAATTTGGAAAGCAGACACTGACATAACGTGGGGTGCAGGCGCAGGAGTAGTATCACCCCCGCTTTACAGACCCAGAAACGGACACCGAGAGGTTGCGAAGCCAGACAAGGGGCAGAGCTGGGTATTGACGCAGATTTTTGGGGCCCCAGAGACTTGAGGTTTAGCCACTGCCTCTGGGGTGAGAGGGGCAGGGCACTTACTGTGTGTCAGGCCCAGGCTGGGAAGCATCTTGATCAACACAAGAACCCCAGCTGGGAGGTGGTGGTGTAGGAAAGGGGTCCAGATCCAGACCCCAAGAGAGGGTTCTTGGATCTCTCGCAAGAAAGAATTCAGGGTGAGTCCATAAAGTAAAAGCAAGTTTATTAAGAAAGTAAAGGAATAGGCCGGGCATGGTGGCTCATGCCTATAATCCCAGCACTTTAGGAGGCCGAGGTGTGCGGATCACGGGGTCAAGAGATCGAGATCATTCTGGCCAACATGGTGAAACCCCATCTCTACTAAAAAATACAAAAATTAGCTGGGCGTAGTGGTGCGCGCCTGTAGTCCCAGCTACTCGGGAGGCTGAGGCTGGAGAACAGCTTAAACCTGGGAGGCGGAGGTTGCGGTGAGCCAAGATCACACCACAGCACTCCAGCCTAGCAACAGAGCGAGACTCCGTCTTAAAGAAGAAGAAGAAAAAAAAAAAAAGTAAAGGAATAGGCCAGGCACGGCGGCTCACCCCTGTAATCCCAGCACTTTGGGACGCTGAGGTGGGCAGATCACCTGAGGTCGGGAGTTTGAGATCAGCCTGGCCAACATGGAGAAATCCCATCTCTACTAAAAATACAAAAATTAGCCAGGCATGGTTGCATGTGCCTGTAATCCCAGCTACTCAGGAGGCTGAGGCAAGAGAATGGCTTGAACCCAGGAGGCGGAGGTTGCAGTGAGCTGAGATCGCACCACTGCACTCCAGCCTGGGCGACAGAGCAAGACTCTGTCTCAAAAGAATGACTACACCATAGAGCAGCGCTGAGGGCTGCTGGTTGCCCATTTTTATGGTTATTTCTTGATGATATGCTAAACAAGGGGTGGATTATTCATGTCTCCCCTTTTTAGACCATATAGGGTAACTTCCTGTCATTGCCATGGCATTTGTAAATTGTCATGGCGCTGGTGGGAGTCTAGCAATGAGGACAACCAGAGGTCACTCTGGTTGCCATCTTGGTTTTGGGGGGTTTGGCCAGCTTCTTAACTGCAACCTGTTTTATCAGCAATGTCTTTATAGCCTGTATTTTGTGCCGACCTCCTATCTCATCCTGTGACTTAGAATGCCTTAACCGTCTGAGAATGCAGCAGCCCAGTAGGTCTTGCCTCATTTTACCCAGCCCCATTCAAGATGGAATTGCCCTGGTTCAGACACCTCTGACAGTGATACGACCATTGCGCAGGCCTGGGACTGAGACACAGAGAAGTGAATGGTGAGGCCAGGCACAGTGGCTCATGCCTGTAATCCCAGCACTTTGGGAGGCCGAGGCGGGTGGATCACCTGATGTCAGCGGTTCGAGACCAGCCTGGGCAACATGGTGAAACCCCATTGCTACTAAGAATACAAAAATTAGGCCAGGTGCAGTGGCTTACGCCTGTAATCCCAGCACTTTGGGAGGCCAAAGCAGGTGAATCACCTGAGGTCAGGAGTTCAAGACCATCCTGGCCAACATGATGAAACCCTGTCTCTAATGAAAATACAAAAATCAGCCACTCGTGGTGGCAGGCACCTGTAATCCCAGCTACTCTGGAAGCTGAGGCAAGAGAATCACTTGAACCGGGGAGGTGGAGGTTGCTGTGAGCCGAGATCGCACCACTGCACTCCAGCCTGGGCGACAGAGCGAGACTCCATCTCAAAACAAACAAACAAAAAAATTAGCTGGGCGTGGTGGCACGCCCCTGTAATCCCAGCTACTCTTGAGGCTGAGGCAGGAGAATCACTTGAACCAGGGAGGTGGCAGTTGCAGTGAGCTGAGATCACACCACTGCACTCCAGCCTGGCGACAGAACGAGACTCCATCTCAAATAAAAAGTAAATGGTGGGCCCCAGTCTCACCAGAAGTGACTGAGTCAGAATTGGAACCCAGTCTGCCTGGCTCCTATGCCCCTGCACTTGATTTAGAGCTTTGCCCAAAGAGAGCTGTACTGCTTACCCACTCGCACCAAACACTGCATGGTTCCAGAGCCCTGGAAGGGTGTCTCTGCGTGGGGCCTAATCTGCCAAGAGGGGGCAGTTTTAACGGGCTTCCAGCATGATGCTGAATGTACCCAGGCTGGTGGGCTGGGACAAGTGCCCAGGTATCTAGCAGATGCCGCCCCAGCCCAGAGATTTAAAATTCCTCCCTGGAAAAATCAGATAATCAAAGAAGTCAAATACCGTGAAATGAATGTGATCCCTGCCAGAAGCCCAGAGGGAACATCTGAGAAACACTGCATTGCAAGTGCAGGCACGGGACCCTCCCCCTTGCCGTATAGGCAGGGAAACTGAGGCACGGTATGTGGCAGGGAGATGTTCACAGATAGGATCCCCATCCCTTTGCGCAGCGTTCATTCAGGGCCTTCTCTGTGGCAGGCTCTGTGTTAGGGACCTGTCCAGTCTCTGCATTCTTGGAGCTCAGGGGCTACTGAGTATGGTCCATGTGTGCCAGCAATGCCACCACTGTTCCGTCCTGATTGTGGTAAGTGCCACACAAGGAGAACTGTGGGGAGCTGGTTTCATTTGGAAGAGCTTCCCTGAGGAGGTGACATCTGAGATCTGATGTTAAGTGGGAACCCGTGAAGCTGGTAGGAGAGCATTCTGGGTAGAGAGGAGGGCATGTGCAAAGGCCCTGGGGTGTGAAGGAGTTTGGCTCAGGAGCTAAAGGAGAAGCCAGAGGCCTACTGCAGAGTGTGAGGGGAAGCACAGAGGGGGAAGAAGGAGAGAGGAGGGAGGAGGCAGAGGGGCCGGGGCCTTGGGGCTCAGAGGAGTCCCCAGGACTTCAGTGCTGGGGTGCCGGGGGGAGGGACAAGCAGGGGGAGTCAAGGCTGGCAACCAGGAATCCTGCCGGACGGACGTGCTCAGGGACACCCCAGGACTGCAAACCCCAGGAGAGTCCTGACTGGGAACAGGAGAGCAGAGGGAGCGGTCTCCAGTCTTGCTCTAAAGCCGGCTCTGTTCTCTCCTAAAAGAAAAAGGAGATCAAAAGGAAAATTTGCAAGTTAGATTTACCCTCAATTCTATTAAACCACCAAAAACTGTCGATAAATAATATTAAGGTCTTTTTTTCTTTTTGAGACGGAGTCTTTGTCACCCAGGCTGGAGTGCAGTGGCATGATTTCGGCTTACTGCAACCTCCGCCTCCTGGGTTCAAGCAATTCTCCTGCCTCAGCCTCCCAAGTAGCTGGGATTACAGGCATGAGCCACCCTGCCCGGCCCATAATATTAGGGTCTTAACTCCACAAACGCTAGAAATTTCAGCCTGGAAGGCCCATGGAGGCCATTCCCTGTCCTCCCAGCATTGGGGATGCGGGAGGGGAGCCAAGAGGCTCTGGGTGGGAAGGTCTGGCCGGGTCTGTTCAGCCAGTGGGCCCCTCCCCATCCTTCTTGGGCAGGCCCCCAGGTAGACCCAGGGGTGTCCCCAGGTGTGGTCTGGTCCTTCTCAGAAGTGCAGTGTTTACAGGGATGGGCTGTTCCTCTGGTAGGATGGACAGCTGCTTGGAGGAGGGTGGTGAACACCTTTTTTTTTTTTTGAGAGGGAGTCTTGCTCAGTTGCCCAGGCTGCAGTGCAATGGCGAAATCTCAGTTCATTGCAACCTCTGCGTCCCGGGTTCAAGCGACCCTGTCACCTCAGCCTCCCGAGTAGCTGGGATTACAGGCACGCGCCACCACGCTTGGCTAATTTAAAACATATATTTTTAGTAGACATGGGGTTTCACCATGTTGGCCAGGCTGGTCTGGAACTCCTGAGCTCAAGTGATCTGCCCGCCTCGGTCTCCCAAAGTGCTGGGATTACAGGCGTGAGCCACTGAGCTGGCCAGGGGTGAGCAACTCTTATTCCTTGTCTGGAGAAGGAGGGAAAGAGAGTGGAGGGAGAGGAAGGACAGGGAGGAGGAGGGAGTCAGAAGAGAAGAAAGCGGGAAGGAGGAGGAGAGAGAGAGGGAAAAACAGAGAGAAGAAGGGGAGAGAGGAGGCAAGCAGCAGGGAGGGAGAGAAGGAAGAGAGGAAGGGGGAAAGGAAAACAGACAGGAAGGAGGGAGGGAGGAAGGAGGGAGGGAGACATGAGGGAGTTAAGGGGGAGGGAGGGAACAAGTGGAGAAAGCAAAGGAGAGAGAAGGGAGGGAGGAAGGAGGGGTAAGAAGGGAGGAAGAAGAAAATTAGGGGGTAGAAGGAAGGGGGCAAGAATGTGGAGGGAGGGGAGAGATGAGGGAGGAAAAGGGAGGAGAGAGGAAAGGAGAGAGGAGGAGGGGGAGAATGAGGGAGGGGAGGAGAGGAGAGGGGAGAGGAAGAGGGAAGGGGGAGGAGGCTGTGCCGAGTGGCAGTCACTGGGGAGGGGTGTCCCCACTGTCTGTCACTTCCCTCATAATGGTATCAGCTCCTCCCCGCTGCTGGCCTTGGGCCAGGGATCTCCGGGTGGTGCCCACCTAATCCTCACAAAAGGACTCGACCTCAGTCACCCAGCTCACCAGACCCCAAGCCTGGGCAGTTCACCTGAGGTCTTCCACCCCAGGCCCTCCCTGGGCCTAACCCACGGGTTGACTCAGGAGCCAGGTGCCATGCGTGTCCATGCGTTCATGCGTGTGCTGTGTGTGTGTGCGCGTGTGTGTGGTTAGGAGTGCAGACCTGGGCAGGACTGACTGGGTCTGGATCCTGGCTTTGCCACTTCCTGGCTGTGTGACCTTGGGTGAGTGACCCAACTTCTCTGTGCCTCAAGTGTGAGGAGTAAATGAGTAAATCAGAGAAATCCCACAGCACAGTGCCTGAAATAGAGTTAGTGTTCAACTTTATCTACTATGATTATTATTCCAAAAAGGCTGACCATGAGATTTCTTTAGGAACGGGCTCTAAACTGGAGGAAAGGGTTTGTGGATGGGTCTCAGAAGGTCCTAGAAGGGCCTAGAACTGGTTGTAAAGTTTTTGTGGTTGAGTGGGGTGTTTTTCTGGACAAAGCAGGTCCTCAGCTTACAGTGTTCTCATGACCCCTCAGGTTGTGTCCCTTGCACCAGGGTGGTGGCACCTCCAGTACTTTGGAGGTTTCATCCCACACAACTTTTTATTGATTGATTTAGTTTTAATTAATGAGTTTATTTTTTAAAGAGATGGGGGGGGGTCTCACTTTGTTGATCAGACTGGTCTCAAATTCCTGGCTTCAAAGCCATCTTCCTGCTTAGCCTCCCGAAGTGCTGGGGTTACAGGTGTGAGCCACACACAGCTTTTGAGGGGCTGTTGTCACCTGCCCCCGGCTAGTCAGGACAGGACCCAAGTTGTCCTGCAGACCTGCCATAGTCGCCCACACATGAGGCCACACATGCTCAGGGAAAGTGAGCCCCTTCACTCAAGAATTCTTTAAAGGCTGAGACAGCAACGCACTTTGTAACTAAACCAGCGCCCTTCTCCAGGATGGGGAGGCGCAAAAGCAGATTTCAAAGGCGAGCTTTGGATAAACAAACACAATAAAAATAATGCTTTGAACCCAAATGCTGAACTGAGCAGCAATCCCAGGCACATTCAGCCAGCTGATGCCAGTCCTCCCTGGCGACCAGACAGGCCCAGGGGGCGTTCCAGGAGCCTCAGTGGTACAGCTGGAGCCTAGGAGACCAAGCACCCACATCAGCCCGGTCCCCCTAGTGAGCCACCTGGCCCCACCCCACCCTCCAGGCCTAGCTGGGACTCCCGCCAGCTCCATCCTGTGGCTCCGTCAGGCTGAGAGGGTCTATTACCCAAACCTCACCTGCTGAAGCTGGGGGCTTCCCCATCTGGTATCAGGGAGATTGTAAGTCTGTGGTGAGGGGCAGTGCCCACCTGGGGAACATGAGCCTGTTCCTGGGGGGCCACTGCAGCTTGGTGAGTTCCAATCCTGGTTCTGCTGTGTGGCCTCAGGACAGTGGCTGCACCTCTCTGAGCCTCATGTGGAACTGGGGATCATCACAGTACCTCCTTGGCTCCCTCCTTGGCAGCCCTTGCAATTAGGGCAGGAGAGAAGCTGTGGGGAGGCCGAGGGGGGGTTGGCGAGCACGCAGAAGGACATGGATTCCACTGCGCCAAGGCCAGGCTCTGCGCCTGGACCACCAGAACACCCACACTTGCTGTGTGACACTCTGGGCTCCGGTTTCTCCATCTATACAATTCAGTGGCCTTGAGAGAGCCTTTTATGATTTCCTGCTTGGACTGTGAAGTGAGAAGCTAAGTGCAGAAGAGTGTGTACAATACAGAATGTATGTGAAATCCACACGAAAATTTGAAAACCACGCAGGCACACGCCTCCTTGTATGTGCACAGAATACCTCTGGGAGGTACACAGGAAACTGGGTTTCCCAGTGGGAGGGACCAGGGCTAGGTGAGAGGCCGGGGGGAGGGGCTTTCTTCCCACTGGTTTCTTGTTTGTGCCTTCCAAATGCTGTACACAAGCATGTTATCTACTCAATACACAGGTGTTTTTTGTTGTTTTTTTTTTGAGGTGGAGTCTCGCTCTGTTGCCCAGGCTGGAGCGTAGTGGCGCAATCTCGGCTCACTGCAACCTCTGCCTCCCGGGTTCACCCCATTCTCCTGCCTCAGCCTCCCGAGTAGCTGGGACTATAGGCGCCTGCCACCATGCCCAGCTAATTTTTTGTATTTTTAGTAGAGACGGGGGTTTCACCGTGTTAGCCAGGATGGTCTCGATCTCCTGACCTTGTGAACTGCCCGCCTCAGCCTCCCAAAGTGCTGGGATTACAGGCATGAGCCACAGCGCCCGGCAGTGTAGGGGTATTTTTAAAGGCCTCTCTGGTTGGGCGCAGTGGCTCACGCCTGTAATCCCAGCACTTTGGGAGGCCGAGGCAGGTGGATCACTTGAAGTCAGGAGTTCAAGACCAGCCTGGCCAACATGGTGAAACCCTGTCTCTACTAAAAATACAAAAATTTCCAGACGTGGTGGCACACACCTGTAATCCCAGCTACTTGGGAGGCTGAGACAGGAGAATCGCTTGAACCCGGAAGGCGGAGGATGCAGTGAGCTGAGATTGCATCACTGCACTCTAGCCTGGGCAACAGTGTGAGACTCCACCTCAAAAAATAACAAGAAACACCTGTCTCAAAAATAAAAATAAAAGTCCTCTCAGAGCTTTGCTGCTCCTGACCTGCCTGATGCTGGCCTAGCTCCCAGGGAGCTGCCCTGAGGGGTCCTGGGGAGCCACGGCAGGGTTTTGGGGTCAGGCAGGACAAAGCTCACTCCTGACTATCATCTCCAGGGAGCTGCCCATCTGACCAGCCTCGCTCCAGCCCCTCGGCCTCTCTGTCTGGCCGATTCTTCCAGGAGACCCTCTGCGACCCTCTCACCAGCCCTCCGCCCAGCCGCAGCTCAGCATCGCCATAATTTAGTGTCTGTGTATGGGGTAGCTACAGTCTGTGGGGCCCAGGGTAAAATGAAAAGCAGGACCCCTCGTGCCTCATGTATTGCAAATTTCAAGATGGCAACCACATAGCATGAAGCCTGTGCAGGGCCCTTCTAAGCCTGGGGCCCTGTGCGCCTGCAGGGGTCACACATCTGTGCAGCTGGCCCCATCTATATCTCCCCAATCCAGACACTGGCTCCCCAGGACAGAGTTTGCCAGGATAGCCAGCCTGGACGCACTGGCTATGGCCCTGCTGGGCTAGTGGAAATCTAGGCCAGCTTCCTGGAGGAAGAAACCTCAGCCTCAGAGGAGGCAGCTGCTCTGTGCTCCCCTGCACAGCTGCCTGAACCTCCCTTTCTTATATGATTTCTTATCTGGAGCTCAGCTGTGTGACCCTGGTCAAGTTACTTAACCTCTCTGTGGGCTGGTTTCTTGATCTGCAGGGATTGGGCCTACTCCCCAGAGATGTGCCCTCCTTCAAGGGGAGGTAAGCTTTAAGCACGGACGTGTTAGAGCAGCATCTGCAAATAGCACTTGCTCGATAGCTTTCGTCCTGATTCCTCTGCGATTTCCTGCTGGACTCTGAGCTTCATGAGGTCAGGGCCCGGGTTCATCTTGCTCTCACGGATTCCTGGCTGCCCTGATTAACATGGCCAGATAATCCACATGACCAGAACAGCTGTGGGCTGTGTTAGAAGTTACTAGAAGTTACTTGTGGCCGGCCTGGGGAGGTGACGTCCCCCAGAGAACATGCTTCGGGTCACTGAGATGGCTGCAAAGTGTATGGACCAGGACGTTCCTGTTGGAAGATTCTTTTGAGGTTTGCTGCGCTCTTCAGCCATCAGAGAAGTCTTCCCAGAGCCAGGCAGGGGGGCTCCCTGGGAGTTTGGGGGCATCACTGAAGCCCCCTCAGCTGCCAGGTGCAGTAAATAAGCCAGGGAAACATTGGTGGGTGAGTCTTTAAGGGTGCCCGGGCTCCATGATGGCAGAGGCAGAGGAGCTGCTCCCGGCTGCCGTGCTTGGGGTCCGAGTCTGACTGGGAGAATTCCAGAGCCCTAGAGACACCTGGCCCAGCCTGGTGAGTCCAATCCCTGCTTCTGGCCTAGACACCATCCAGCATCCAAAGCTGGCTCCGATGGGTCGAAACAGCAGTGAGCATCCCCCTTCTTGGTGCTGTTCATAGGGGAATGTTGAGGCTTGTGGGGCTGCCCGGAGGTGGTGTCACATGTCCCCATGGAAGGGTTTCACTGCCTCCAACAGGAAGGGGCAGACCATCTGTCACTTAGGGTGTATTTGGGAGGGAAGACAGAAGGACCCAGAGAGGCAGAAATGATGGGAAAGGGTGAGGGTGGGCAGGTGGTGGGGGTGGGGTCGAACAAATGGCCCCGATAAAGGCAGAGCAGCTGGAATGAGTGCTGGGCAGCCCCACACGGCTGGGAGCCAGGGTGTGTGGTGTGTGGTGTGGTGTGTGTGTGTGTGTGTGTGTGTGTGTGTGTGTGTGTGTCTATCTTGGCTAGGCGAACACCAGCCCTTCCCTCTGCCTGCTCAACAGCCCTCCCATGTCTGTTTCCTCCCCTGGTCCATGCTGAGAATTGCATCACCAGCCTTCCTGTGGGACCGGAAAGGCAGTAGCAGTCACTTGCCTTTCCCTGTGTGCCTCTGTGTTCTGACCACGCCCCCACCTGGCTGCCGTCAGAAAGCCCAGGTGTCCACCCCATGCCCTGCACAGAGGATTGAGGCCCTACTCTCTGCTCCCAAGGCCTCCCATCCCAGCACTTGTCACTGCATCCTGGAACTGCTCAATTTGAGCAATGCTCCCCATGACTCTAGGCTCCAGGGGCGGGGCTGCCCAGGCAGTTACCCACTCAGGGCCCAGCACGGGTGTGGTACTTGGCTGAGTCTCTTTGGGCTGCTTAACAGATGACCAGAGCCTAGGCAGCTCCGAAGCAATAGAGTGTATTCCTCCCAGGCTGCAGGCTGGCAGTCCGAGATCAGGGTGCTGGCATGGTCAGGTTCCCGTGAGGGCCCTCCTCCGGGTTGCACACTGCTGGCCTCTTGCGGTATCCGCACAAGGAGGAAGGGGCAAGGCCTTTCTGGGACCTCTTTTTCTTTTATTTTATTTCTTTTTTTTTTTTTTTTAGACAAAATCTTGCTCTGTTGCCCAGGCTGGAGTGCAGTGGCATGATCTCGGCTCACTGCAACCTCCGCATCTTGGGTTCAAGTTATTCTCCTGCTTCAGCCTCCCCAGTAGCTAGGATTGCAGGTGCCCACCACCATGCCCAGCTAATTTTTGTATTTTTAGTAGAGATGGGTTTCGCCATGTTGGCCAGGCTGGTCTCAAACTCCTGACCTCAGGTGATCCACCCACCTCGGCCTCCCAAAGTGCTGGGATTACGGGCGTGAGTCACAGCGCCCGGCCTCGGGCCTCTTTTATAAGGGCAGGAATCCCACTTGTGAGGGCTCCACCCTCATGACCTGATCACCCCTCAACGGCCCCACCTCCTCAAACCATCACATCAGACCTGGGGTTCCAGCATATGAATTTTGGGGGGACACGTTCAGTCCATAACAGAGCTGAATGAGCCGCCTGCAGAATGGCAATCGGCCCGTGGGGCAGCTGCCATCCCTGGAGCCCCACTTGGGGCTGGCTTCCCTTGGCCCTGCATCTACAGGGCTCCCTAGCTCCTGGCTCCCTCCTCTCCCTCCCACCAGGCTCCTGCCTGGAGCCAGCGCCCTCTTCCCCACTCCAGTCGTGGGTCCTGCCCACCAGCCTTGAGGCTTCCAGCTCCTTCCGGACCCTGTGCACCTGCCCAGTTCCACCCTCTCCAAATAAACGCCTCTCCTTCCTTGACCTTGCCCTGATCCTCCCTGCTCCGAGGTGCCCCATGTGCGGCAGGAAGAAGCAGCCTCCACAGGACTGCGCTCAGCGGGAGACGGGGCTTCCCCGTGAAGAGGTGCTGAGTGCGAATGCCCACTCCAACACCTGGTCACTGTGTGATCTTGAGAAAGAGTTGAGCCTCTCTGGGCCCTGGCTTCCCCAACAACCAAAGGCTGTACAGAGAGCGGCTTAGGAGAGAGCTCCTGTGTGCGCCGCCGAGGGCTCTGCTGGCTCAGGACATCTGTAGGACCAGTTCCAGCTCCAGTGGGCACCGCCAGCACGCCCAGGTGAGACCGCCTGAGCCCTCAGGGTTTCAGTGTCCTTATCAGCAAACGGGCTAAGGAGCCAGCTTGCAGGGGTGCAGAGGCGTGGGGAGGTGGGGACACCTAGAAAGGGGCAGTGACCTCCTGCCTCTCCCAGCTCTGCCTTCTGCCTTGGGTCAGAGTCATTCCTCCCCCTCCCCCCAACTAGACCGGGCTGCCACTCTCCCCTGCCCTGGCTGGGCACAGGACTGTCCATGACCAATGGCAGGCGTGGGGTTGGAGGGTGCGCCTGCCTTGATCCCAGCTGCTCAGATGGGTCTGAGTTGGGGGGAGCAGAGCTTTCCTGGCCTCCCTGACATGCTGCTTCCTGAAGCCCAGGAGGGGCAGCCCCCCCACCCCAAACCCCACCCCACCCCCGCCAGCCCTGAGTGGAAATGCCCCACGGAAAAGGGCCCTGTTGGGGCCCCTGGGGAGGCCCCCAATCTGGGGTCTCTGCCAAAGAGGGTGAGAGATAGGCCCCCGGAGGGCCCCCGGGGAAGAGCTGGGGTTGGGTCCATCCCCTGAATGCCTCGCTCCCTCTTCCTCATCCCCTGTTCATGGTGGGGGACATGCTGGTGGACAGACAAGTGGCTACAGAGGGCCAGGGGGAGGCGTCTGGGCCTCCAGGGCAGCAGATGACCCCGAATGTGGGGGCTGCGGCCCTGGGAGACCCCGTGAGAGGCCGTGTATGTGTGAGGTCGGCCTGTGTTCACCGGCTGTTTGTAGGGCAGGAGTCCGGGTATGTGTGTGGTGTGTGTGTCTGAAGGGGGTGTCTGTGGGGCGTTGTTTTGTCTGTGTACCGTGTGGGTGTGGCCCTGTGGTGTGCCTGTGTGTGTCTCGGGGTGCGTATCTCGGTGGTGGGTGTGAGTGCCGAAAGCGGCGGGACTGAGGCTTCCGTCCTCCATCTGTGGTCTGCGGGGAGGGAGTGGACAGCGCAGGGAGCGGACAGGAGCGCTGCGGGATCCCGGGGCCTTGCGGGCCGAGCCACAGGGGAGGGGGGAGGAGGGGGGGAGGAGGGAGGGGGAGGGGAAAGGGGGAGGGAGAGGGGAAAGGGGGGAAGGGGAGGGGTAAGCGGTAGGCGGGGGCCAGGTCTCCCTGCAGGCCCCGCCCCCCCCCCACCGGCGTGGTGCCCCCGGCGCGAGCAAGGGCGTGGAGTCCGGGGTCGCGGGGGCGCCGAGACCCGCCCCGGGGGCTCCACGCGGACTCCGGCTTCAGTGCTCGGCGCTGCCGCACGGCTGCAAGCCTAGCAATTTTGGGCTGAACAACAAAAGCGAGAGAGAGGGAAGTTGGGGGGCGGGGGCGGCGCGTTTCCCCCCACCCGCCAGGGCCGGTCGTGGGCTCGGAGCAGGTGCCAGGAGGTCGCGCGGCCGGAGCGGGGCTGTGCGGAGCCAGCAGCGCGGAGGCGGAGGCGGGCGGGCGCGAGCGCCGCGCGAGGGGAAAAGTTTCCGACCCTGGAGCGAGAGGCTGAGAAGTTTCGGCCGCGCCAGGCGGCGCCAAAGCCAGGCCAACACTGCCCCCGCGTGGGCGCGCCGCGGTGCTGCAGCCGGCGCAGGGGCCGGGGCCCGCCGCGACCCTTGGGGTAAACTGAGGCTCAGAGAGGGCGACGTGGGCTGCGCAAGGCCACCTGGAGGAGGGGCCGTAGAATCAGGCCTGCTGAGACGGGGGACGGGGCGTGAATGTCCAGAAAGGGAGACAGAAGGGAGGGGACGTCCCAGGGACTGAATCCCACTCCTCGTCCTAGATGTGTCTCCACCCCCTTCCTTCCAGTTACCTCCAGAGTCCAGCAATCAGGTACCCGGTGGAGGGGCGGTGGCAGTGCTGTCTTCTTCCCATCCCTGCAGAGTTTGTCTAAACTAACCCTAGCTCTATTGCCCTTCTTCTGGAGTTAGGGCGCCTCTCCCAAAAGGCGTCCCCCATCCACAACCCATCCCGGCCCTAAGGACCCCCACCAGCCACCGCCCAGGCCAGTCCCACCGTTTGCAGCCCATTCCTTTGCCATTAAACAAGGCGCCAGGGTGTGGATTCCCTGCTGTTTCCTCAGCGGCCAGGAGGTGGCGAGAAAGACCCGGATCCTGGGCAATGGCGCGGGTCTGGGGGCCACTGACAGCTTCAGGGAAAGAGGCGGCGGCTCAAACTTTCTCCAGGGGGCTGGAACGCAGGTGTGGCAGGGGCAAACCTGGTGGGCAGGGTCTGCCACCTTGTCTTTCGCCACCTCCTGATGCAGATTTGAACATCCACCCCCTCATCCCCAGACTAGGAGAGAAACCGTGGGCCCCAGCCCGTCCCACACAGGTGCTTTGCCTTCTGGGACCAGAGGGTGCCAACCCTTCCGGGGAAACGCATGAGACCAACACAGGGCTCTCTTCCCTCGGCTGGAGTCTGGACGCCCTCACTCCATTGTGGATGTCAGATGGAGGCTTGGTGGGGGAGGACAGAGGCTTGGGGTGGGGGTTCTCCACCCCTAGGCTGAGTTTCCAGCAGGTGCCTGCTTCAGGTGTGGGCTGATCTAGGTCAACAGAGGCTTGGTCCCAAGTTTTTTGGGTTTCGTTGTTGTTGTTGTTTGTTTGCTTGTTTTTTGAGACAAGGTCTTACTCTCTCGCCCAGGCTGGAGTGCAGTGGCGGGATCACAGCTCACTGCAGCCTCAACCACCTGGGCTCAAGCAATCTGCCCGCCTCAGCCTCCCAAGTACCTGGGGCTAGAGGCGTGGAGCACCACGCCCAGCTATTTTTTTTTCTTTTTTTAAGAGACAGGGTCTATGTTGCTCAGGCTGGTCTCAAACTCCTGGGCTCAAGCCATCCTCCCACCTCAGCCTTCCAAAGTTCTGGGATTACAGGCATGGACCATTGTGCCCAGCATGTTCCCAGGTTTCAGGTATGTGGCAGGGTCTCCCACCTTCCAGAAGAGGGGTTCACTACAAGTCCTGAACCCCAGGGATGCCCTGTCCCCACCCCTCAGCCTCATCCTGGCTGTGTCTCCATCCCCTTCCTTCCAGGAACCCCCAGAGACCAGCAACCAGGTACCCAGAAAGGCTTGTGGTGTGACACCTACTGGCAGGTCCCAGCCACCTGGGATGTGCCTTTATTTGTGGGGCAAGGAAGGACGCTCCTCATTGCCTGGCCCATGTGTGCCCCTGGCCTTGGGTTCGCGAGTGTTCACCTCTTATCTGGCTGCAGTGTTGCGGAGGCCAGGAGGAGATGGTACCCCTTAGGGCAGCCTTGCTTCAGGACCGACTGCAGCACCCGGTTGGGCAGGAGGGACTCCTAGAGTGAGACAGAGGACCAGCTGGCTGCTACCAGGACCTCGGGGCAGGGGACTGGGCTCCCAGTGGGATTCTGTGCTGAAGCCCTGTTGGGCAGGTAGTGCTGTCAGCCCCATTTTAAAAGATGAGGAAACAAATGCAAGGTCAAGCACGGTGGCTCTCGCCTGTAATCCCAGCAGTTTGGGAGGCCAAGGCGGACAGATCACCTGAGGTCAGGAGTTCAAGACCAGCCTGGCCAGCATAGTGAAACCCTGTCTCTACCGAAAATACAAAAATTAGCTGGGTGTGGTGGTGGGTGTCCCCATTGCAGAGGTTGCAGTGAGCCAAGATTGCACCACTGCACTCCAGCCTGGGCGACAGAGCAACACTCTGTCTCAAAAAAGCAAAGAGAGGAGAGGGGAGGGGAGGGGAGATGCAGAAAGGAACTGTGATCGGAACCCAGGCACCTGGCTTAGAGCCACCCCTTGACAGCTGCCCTTTGAGGGAGATGCAGGAACACAGGGCGTGGCCACTGCAAGCCCCCACGGTGACTTGGCTCTCAGGGAGGGTCCACTCCCAGCCCCAGCCACTCCACCAAACAGGGCTGCTCCCGGAGCCAGCTGCCAGCAGGGGCTCACCAGCTTCTAGGTCCAGGAGCAAGACCATTTGCCCACCTGCTCCAGGTTTCTGTGCGGGTCCAAGAAGGCTCGGAGGCTGCTTCGCGGCCTCTGAGCAGCGGCCTTCTTCCATGAACAGAAGGGCAGGCTGCTGTTCATGGAGGTGTCCTCAGAAAGGTAGCCCTGTGTCTTCTGGGTGGACCTGGGGGAGACAGGACCCCATGAGCTTCCTGGACTCTGAGTCCCCGGCCCACCCATGGCTGGCAGGGCCCTTGAGGACCCACACTGGCAACCCGCCTGCTGCTGGGTGGGGAGGTCTGTAGGCAAGGGGGGTGGAGGGCCCTGGCAATGTCCACGAGTCCCATCCGCTTCCCTGGAGCCTCACAGGCCAGCGCAGTCCCAACACGAGGAGCTGGCCAGGGTCTCCTCCTTGGCCCCAGGGTACAGGGCTTTGGGCAAACTCTCCAGCCGTTTTCCGACACTCCCAAACACCCGCTCGGACGCCACTGGCAGGGCGGCCTTCTGGTTCACAATGACGCTCTGTTGGACTGCAGGAAAGAGGGCAGGGTGAGATCTCTGCCCAGGAGGAGGGCACTGGTGCCCCCACCCTCTTTTCCTCCCTCTGGCAGGCAGGGCCGGTCAGAGCCCTGTCTCCATGGCAACCCCAGGCTCCCCAGCGCCTTCTGGCTGCCTCCAGAGAAGCCTTGGGTTTTAAAACCACCTTGCGTGACCATTTCTGTTATACCCAAGCTGTGCCCCTGCGCACCCCCACTCACGCTGCAGCCGGAAGCGTGCCCCCTTTCTCGCAGTGGGGAGACCACTTACCCCATCATAGAAATCCCAGAAACCATGCTGAGAGCGTTGAGGGCTTCAGGGAGGGCTGTCTCAGGGATGGGGGCTCTTCCTGTCCAACAGCAGCCATGCGAGGTGGTCCAAGGACCCTGAGTTCCCCAATGGCTGCCCCAGGATGGAAAGGGCTGGGAAGCAGCAGGCTGGCCCCCACGTCTCCTGGGCACCCTGCTGCCCGGGACACCATGATAGCTCCTTATGGCCAGTGGCTGACACGGAATCATCTCCTGTATGCACCAACTGCCATTCACATGAAATTGTTTCTCTTGGGCTTGTCCTGGCCTTGGATTCCCAAGAGGGGCCCGGGGTCACTCTGGCTTCTATATGTGGCTCTGCGTCACCCACACAAGCCCATCCTGCTTCTGGGGCCTTGGTTTCCCCACCAAACAAACAGAAGTTGGGCAAAAATCACAGCTTCTAACTCCAGCTTCCTGTCACGCTAAGGAGGCTGCGTCAGATCCCTCCCAAATCAGCGAAGGTCCTAGGTTTGCAGGGCATCGCCCACAGCTAGACCTTGAGGCAGACATTTCCTGAAACTGCACATAGTGGGTGCTCAATAAACAGCTAGAGGACATTGACTGTTGGGGACCCTGGGGGCTGCTGGATCCTGAGAAGAGGCTGGGCACACAGAAAAAGGTGGAGCTTAGTCAAGGTTATACCAGAGTAAGAACAGGGACTTCTCGCCTGCTTCTCGAGACACACTTCAGAAAATTCACTGGGAATGGCCAGGCGCGGTGGCTCATGCCTGTAATCCCAGCACTTTGGGAGGCAGAGGCAGGTGGATCCCTGAGGTCAGGAGTTCGAGACCACCCTGGTCAACATGGAGAAACCCCGTCTCTACTAAAAATACAAAATTAGCCAGGGGCGGTGGCGCATGCCTGTAATCCCAGGTACTCAGGAGGCTGAGGCAGGAGAATGGCATGAACCCGGGAGGTGGAGCTTGCAGCGAGCCGAGATCGCGCCACTGCACTCCAGCCTGGGCGACAGAGTGAGACTCCGTATCAGAAAAAAAAAAAGAAAAAGAAAACTCACTGGGAACTGCAAAACAGACACCATTACATCCAGGGTCTGGTGGCTCTTAGCTTCCTTGCTGGACCTGGCAGTGCCAACTGTCTCCAGGAGAGAGAAAGTTTCCGCTTCGCGGCTTTTCTGGGCACCTCCTCAGGCAGGCTTCGAGGTCTGCCTTCATGGATGTCAAAGGAAGATGCTTCCAATGGCATCTGGACCTCCTCCAGCCCCTGTAGGCTGTGGGGACTGCGGAGGGGAGCAAGTGTGGGCTCTGGAGGCTCCGGCTACGGGTCTCAAGGTGGGCAGATACAGCATATGGGAACCCCTTGGCAGCGAGCAGTCCAAGGTGCTGCCTGCGTTGGAACACCTCCACTGGACTCTGGACCCTCTACTTGGTCTTCGAAGGTCAACCTGACATCCTCCAAGGAGGCCAGTTCAGGCACATCCTCTGCAGGATCACTGATCTCTTGGCCTTTGCAAAGCCAGTCCCTCACTCTAGGGGCCCGGAGCTACAGCCTCTCTGCCCTCCTGGCTAGAACTTTCGGGAGTCTCGAGGCTCCCCATCCTGTCTGCTTACCTGAGCGTCTGCGCTCCCAGTAGCGGAGCGTTGTGTCCTGCAGGGTCTCGTCAGCGAATCGCACCCGGAAAGGGCAACGCTGCCTGCAGGGCCTAGAGCCTTCCCCCGAGGGGTTGTGGGTCAGCGCAGCCTTGAGCCTGGGGACCTGTGCACCGTGGGGCCTGCTGAGAGAGGGGAGAGGGGCCTGTGCTCGAAGCCCCCCACCGTACCCCAGCACACACGCACCAGCCCCAGACTCGCTGTGAGATCCTGGACAAGTGCCCTACACTGGTCTTGAAGAATGGATAACGCCAATCACAGCAGCCGGCCTTAACGGAGCACTTCCTACCTGCCAGGCAGGCTCAAGCACGCACATACACCAACCCACCAAATGCACACAGTCCCCATGAAACGCTGTTATCATTCTCATTTTATAGTTGAGGAAACAGAGGCACAGAGACTATTCCAAGGCGATGCAGCTGTCAGGCATGGAGCCAAGACCTGCATCCTGGTTCCAGAGCTGGCGCCCTCGCACGTAAAGCAATTTAGCAGAGAGAATAAGAATGCCAGCCCAGGAGTCATGCAGTCCTGGGTTTCATTCCTGACCCTTTTGAGCCTCAGTTTTCTTGTCTGTAAAATGGGAATCATTGTGCCCACCCTACAGGGTTGTGAAGAAAGGAAATGGGCCGTACAAGCATCCAGCCCAGGGTCTGCAGGACCCAGAGGAAACATCACTAACAGGGAGCTGTTTTTTGTTTTTGTTTTGTTTTTGAGACAGATTCTCGCTCTGTGGCTCAGGCTGGAGTGCAGTGGTGCCATCTCGGCTCATTGCAAGCTCCGCCTCCCGGGTTCACGCCATTCTCCTGCCTCAGCCTCCCGAGTAGCTGGGACTACAGGCGTGTGCCACCACGCCCGGCTAATTTTTGTATTTTTAGTAGAAACGGGGTTTCACCTTATTGGCCAGGGTGGTCCCGAACGCCTGACCTCAAGTGATCCACCCCCCTTCGCCTTCCTAAGTGCTGGGATCACAGGCATGAGCCACCGCCCGCCCGCCTGCCTGAGCTGTTCTTATTGTAACTGTCTATCTCAATCATGCCCCATCCCAGCCACGTGGCCTTTGGTAGACTGTCTCCAAGTCTCCATTCTGCAGGTTTTTTTCCCTTTAAATTATAGGCACAATAATACCATCCTCCTGGGTTTGGTGAGTATCAAATGATTTACATGAGGCATGTAGGACGTGGCCTGGCACAGGGTTTGGCCTTAATCAAGGGTATCTGTTATATGTATATTTCATAGATAACATTGTTCCATTTATTGTTATTAATTTCAGCCTCAACCCGGTGTGGTGGCTCACGCCTGTAATCCCAGCACTTTGGGAGGCAGGCAGATCAAAAGGTCAAGAGATCCAGACCATCCTGGCCAACATGGTGAAACCCCCGTCTCTACCAAAAATACAAAAAAATTAGCTGGGCACGGTGGCGTGCGCCTGTAGTTCCAGTTACTCGAGAGGTTGAGAATCACTTGAACCCAGGAGGTAGAGGTTGCAGTGAGCCGAGATCGTGCCACTGCACTCCAGCCTAGGGACGGAGTGAGACTTCGTCTCAAAAAAAAAGAAAAAAAAAATCAGCCTCAAGGGCAAGGCTGCGGGAAGGCCTGCTTGACCCACCTATAACTCTGTTATGGAGGAAGGTCATGGCTGACCGTTAGTATGCACATAGTTATATGTCTGCATCCATTCATCTGACCACATCTGTATGTCTGTGTAGATGCAGAGGGAATGCTTTTCATCAGCCTCCAAAGAGCCAAGCAGTTGGGAGGTGTCAGGACAGTGCCTGGCTACATGCCTTGGGACCTAGTCATCTAACAGTTGTCTGCTCAGGAACCCCTGCTCTCTGCTGGCTGCTGGGCCAGGCAAAGGCATAACCCAGCTCTGCCCACCTGCCTGAAATCTCAGCATCTTCACTCGAGGGCCACTGGAGCCTGTTCTGAGGCACCACAGTGTCCCCTGCAGGGCCTACCAGGGAATCTCACACACAGTAAGGTGCTCAAGTATTTGCTCTTGAATGTGAAAGTCTGTAACTGTGTTTGTCTCTGCTTTTGCTCACATTTGAGAGAATGAATTCCATACTTTTATTTATTTGTATCTTGTGAGAAGTCATGTGTATATTTGGCCTGATTGGTTGAACGTTCTGAGGTTGGTAAATGTGTTTCACTGTTTTTGTTTGTTTGTTTGTTTTTTGAGACAGGGTCTTGCTCTGTCACCCAGGCTGGAGTGCAGTGGCACGATCTTGGCTCACTGCAGCCTCAACCTCCCAGGCTCAAGCAATCCTCCCACCTCAGCCTCCCGAGTAGCTGGAACCACAGGCATGCACCACCACGCCCAGCTAATTTTTGTAATTTTTGTAGAGACAGGGTTTCACCATGTTACCAAGGCTGGTCTCAAACTCCTGGGCTCAAGCGATCCTCCTGCCTCAGCCTCCCAAAGCACTGGGATTATAGGCATGAGCCACCATGCTTGGCCATGTGTTCCATTTCTAGTTCCTACCCTGATCCATCAGGAGTATCTACCTAGAGTACTGTGTGAGGAATGGTTCTGAGGCTCAGTGGGGAAATATGATCCATTAGTTTTGTCTGCTGTGGGTATGAGATGAGGAAGAATGATATGTTTGTGATGTATTTACTCTCCCTGGTCTTTAAACTCATGGGCAGTGCCATTCACCCTTCACCCCTGCTTAAGCCTGGAGGAATTTTAACCTGGAGGAACTGTTTCTGTCTTCTTTTCCTCCTCTGTTAAAACTATGGTGTCTAGGCCCAGGTAGGTTCCAATTCCTAGGCTCTTCTCTTACCTCCATCCCTTAGTTTTCTCCCAATATTCAACATATAGTAAAACCTAATAAAAGTTAGAGTAAGAAATGGACAAATGATGGTGGGATGGGTAAAATGATGGAAGACTGGGTGGGTGGGTTGATGGGTGGATGGACTGATGGGTGAGTTAATGAAAGGGTCTGAATAGAACTGAACTATGAATGTATGGGTAGATGGACAGATGCGTGGCTGGATGATTATGTAGATGGGTATGTAGGTTTGTGGATGGCTTTATGACTAGATTAGCGATGGACAGTGTCCTGGGTTTACAAGTGGATGGAAGGATTTGTAGATGGTTGGTCATTGGATCAATGGATGGATGGATAGAAGTGTGGGAGTTTTATTTTTTATTTATTTTATTTTATTTTATTTCATTTTTATTTGAGATGGAGTCTCACTCTGTCACCCAGGCTGGAGTGCAATGGCACAATCTCAGCTCACTGCAAGCTCCGCCTCCCGGGTTCACACCATTCTCTCGCCTCAGCCTCCCGAGTAGCTGGGACTACAGGCGCCCGCCACCACGCCCGGCTAATTTTTTGTGTTTTTTTTTTTTTTTTTGTATATTTTTAGTAGAGACGGGGTTTCACCGTGTTATCCAGGGTGGTCTCAATCTCCTAACCTCGTGATCCGCCCACCTCAGCCTCCCAAAGTGCTGGGATTACAGGTGTGAGCCACCGTGCCCTGCCGAAGTGTGGGAGTTTTAGATGGATGACTGGCTAGCTGGTTGGCCAGGTAGATGAATGGATCCACAGGACACCTGATTCATGGGTGGGTGGGTGAGTGAATGTATGGATGGATGGAGTCATGGGTCCATGATAGATTAATGGGTGGACAGAAGGATGGATGGATAGATGGAGAGATTCATGAACGGGTTGTAGAAGACTTGGTTCATGGATGAGATGGATGCAAAGATGGATGGGTGAATGGGAAAATGAATATATGAATAGATTCATGGATGAATTATGTGTTGGTAGAAGACCTCATTAATGGATGGGTTGATTCATTGATGAACTGGCGAATGAATCTTGAATGGGTTGGTAGAAGATCTGATTCACGGACAGCCATATGTAAGGATGGATGAATGGGTAGATAGGTGGATAAATGAATACATTCATGGGCGAAAGAGGAAAGAAAGAAGGAAAGAAATGCCCCTTTCCTCCACTACCCTACCCTTATCCCGCCCATCACTCACTGGTTGGCCTTTCTGACAGTGGTGAATTGTGAGTGATCACCCTTCAGGGGCCCCAGAATAGGTGTCTGCTGGAGCGAAATCTTCGTAAGACTATCCTGGAGGTGCGATGACTGGCCCCTTAAAGACAAACAGGCCACATCTGGCATGAGTGGCCAGGCTGTCCCGCCCTGGAAACATCGATGGCAACCCCGTCCCCACCAAGAAGCGGACTGACGCTTACCACAGGTCTGGGAGGAATGAACAGTTGGGACACCGCGGAGACCCTGGGCAGTGCTCTAATACACCCCTTTGATGTTGCGGTGCTGGGGATGCTGGAGCCAGGAGGAAACAGTTGTGAGCCTTGGCTGGGGGACGGTCCTTTCTAGTCATGTGGCCTCGGGGTGATGGCAGACCAGCCCTCAAGGACGGGTTGCGAGGGCTCTGAGATACTCAGCTAACATTAGCATCCTTCTAGCCTGGGTGGTGGGGTGGTGGGTGCGGGGACACAAGGGACCACCCCCCACCGGAAATGACTCGGGCCCGCCCCCCGGGCCCCGCGGGGCCTCACTCAGTGGCTCCGGCTCCTCGGCGCACTTCTCCTGGAGCTGGTGCAGGAACTCACGGAACCTGCTGGGGAGGAGCTCTCCTAGGAAGGCGCCCAAGAAGTCGGGGTCCTCCCTGGCCACGCGCCTCCGGGGGCGCTCGCGCTCTCCAGGCCCTGGCTGCCTGGGCGCCGATTCCCGGGACGCGCCGGCCGACAGCAGGGGAGGCGGCAGCAGGGACCGCAGCAGCCCCCGCTTCCGCACGGCCCGCCGGGTCGCGGTGAGCAAGGCGGGCAGGCGCGGCGGGAGGCGTCCGA
Source organism: Homo sapiens (assembly GCF_000001405.40). Taxonomy (NCBI): domain Eukaryota; kingdom Metazoa; phylum Chordata; class Mammalia; order Primates; family Hominidae; genus Homo; species Homo sapiens. The sequence goes on from NC_000009.12 coordinate 129,620,358, forward strand.
CGCCCACCCCGGGCTTGGCGTCCCCTTCCGGCCACCACGCGGCGCCGCCCCCCGGGATCCTCCAGTCCCCGGAGCCCCGCGCGCCCAGAGCCGCTCGGAGCGCGGGCGGGGTCAGCTTGGGCAGCCGCGGGTCGCTGCTGCGTCGGAAGTCTCCGTCGCCAGGGAGCCCCTTGGGCGCCAGGTCCTGGGCCCCTGGGCGAAGTCGACGCCAGAACATGCTTGGCCCCGCACTCAGCTCACCGCACCCTCAGCGCGCGTGGGTGGGGGGCGCCGGCTGAGGTGGGGAGGGCATAGTCCAGCCCCAGGCCATAGTGCCCCGGGCGGGGCAGCGCGGTGCGGGGTGAACGCCACCGGCCCGGCGGACAGCGAGTGGCTTCAGGCGAGAGCTCCCAGAGCCTCTGTTTCCTCACCTGAAAAATGGTGACAGCAAGAGTAGCCAACTTTGGGGGTTGCTGTGACGTTTAAATGAGCAAGTACATGCCAGTCTTAGAACAGCAAGCTCGGTACAGTGCCAGGCACGCTGGCCAAGCTTACACATAGACTAGCTGCCATTCTTAGTATTTCAAAGTTATTATTATTTAGGATTTAGTCCCAGCTCCACCACTTATTAGCTTTGTAACCTTGGCCAAGCCAATTAACTTCCCTCTGCCTTCCCTGGGGGCTCTGGTCTGCAGAATGGGGATAATAGCAGCACCTGCCTCTCTGCAGCCGTGAAACGGCATCACCGCATCACCGCTGGTAGAGAGAGCACTTAGCCTGCCTTGCAGTGTTCAAAGCGTGGAACTGTTACCGTCATTAGCGCTCTACTGGGAATTAGGAAACCTGGAACCAGCTTGAGGGAAGAGAGACCTGACCAGCAGCCTCCCAGCCCTGGTGCTGCCTCAGAGACCCCTGGGTGGGGAGCCTGTTGAAAATACAGATGACTTACCCCCAGCCCCCATTCTGATTCAGTACGTCTCTGCTGGAGCCAAGACAGTTTGTTGTTCTTGTTGTTGTTGTTAAAGAGATGGGGTCTTGCTAAGACGGGGTCCTGCTGTCACCCAGGCTGGAGTGCAATGGCACCATCATAGCTCACTGCAGCCTCAAATTCTTGGGCTCAAGTGATCCTCCTGCCTCAGCCTCCTGAGTAGCTGGGACTACAGGCACACACCACCACAGTTGGCTAATTTTTGTATATTTTGTAGAAATGGGGTAGAATTTTTTTGTATTTATGTTGCACGGGCTGGTCTTGAACTCCTGGGCTCAAGTGATCCACTTGCCTTGGCCTCCCAAAGTGCTGGGATCACAGGCGTGAGTCCCCACTTCTGGCCAAGACACAGACTTTTAACAAACTCCCCCTTTGGGAGGCAGAGCCCCAGTCTTACTCCCAGCTCTGACACTGAGGGGTTTCTAAGCCTGCTTCCTCCCAACCACACCCCACTCCCAGATTGTTGTCAGCTCTGAGCTGACTCCTGGGCAGTGTCACACTCACCCTGGTGGGCTTCTGGGTGGGGCCCTAGAAGGTCCTGTGAGTTTAGAGCTCTCTACAGGCAGGCTGTAGAGCCCATCATCCCTGCCTGGTGCCTCTCCCAGCCCCTCCCGGCTGCCTCTGGGCCGCTTCAGGGTCATTGTGATCCGCCCCTCACCCCTGGGCATCTGAGTAGCAGTGGGCACTGAGGCCTGGGGACTAAGGGTGGGGCTATTGTGCCCTGGATGCCCTGGCCGCAGCCACCTGGGGCACTGGGACTCTGACCAGGGCAGCCAGGCCTACCCTTTCCAGATCTGGGAGGCTTAGGCTGGGTGGCTCTGGAAGTAGAACTTCCACCCCAAGACCAGGCAGTCAGAATACAATGGACCTAGAAATGAACAGACCCTGCGGGGCACGGTGTCTCACGCCTGTAATCCCAGCACTTTGGGAGGCCGAGGCGGGCGGATCACCTGAGGTCAGAAGTTCAATACCAGCCTGGCCAACATGGTGAAACCTCGTCTCTACAAAAAATACCAAAATTTGCCATGCATGGTGTTGTGCACCTATAATCCCAGCTACTTGGGAGGCTGAGACAGGAGAATCGCTTGACCCTGGGAGGCGGAGGTTGCAGTGAGCTGAGATCATGCCACTGCACTCCAGCCTGGGTGACAAAGCGAGACTCCATCTCAAAAATAATAATAATAATAATCCAAGGTCTGGGTGCTAGGTGTGCTTCTTGCTATTGAGATGTCATTTCTTTCAGGCAGTCTCAGCTGACAAAGAAATGTGTGTGTATACTATGAAACACACACATATCTATAAATATTTCTATAGGTAACCATCTGTACTTATATTAAGCTAAACATGAGCTCATGCTGACATCTCCAACTCTAATCCGTTACACAGATCATTTGAGACTCTGTCTCACAAAAAAAAAAGAGGCCAGGTTCCAGTGGCTCATACCTGTAATCCTAACACTTTGGGAGACCGAGGCAGGTGGATTGCCTGAGCTCAGGAGTTCGCAATCAGCCTGGGCCACATGGTGAAACCCCGTCTCTACTAAAATACAAAAAAATTAGCCGGGCGTGACAGCGTGTGCCTGTAGTCCCAGCTACTTGGGGGGCTGAGGTAGGAGAATTGCTTGAACCCGGGAGGCGGAGGTTGCAGTGAGCCGAGATCACGCCACTGCACTCCAGCCTGGGCAACAGAGTGAGACTCCATCTCCATAAAAAAAAAAAGAAAGAAAGAGCCGGGCACGGTGGCTCACGCCTGTAATCCCAGCACTTTGAGAGGACAAGGCGGGTGGATCATGAGGTCAGGAGATCGAGACCATCCTGGCTAACACGGTGAAACCCTGTCTCTACTAAAAATACAAAAAATTAGCTGGTTGTGGTGACGGGTACCTGTAATCCCAGCTACGCGGGAGGCTGAGGCAGGAGAATGGCGTGAACCCAGGAGGCGGAGCTTGCAGTGAGCGGAGATCGCGCCACTGCACTCCAGCCTGGGCGACAGAGCAAGATTCCATCTCAAAAAAAAAAAAAGAAGGAAGGAAGGAAGGAAGGAAGAAAAGAAATTAACAGACCCACTTTCAAGTCCATGGTCTGCTGTTTTGCTGTGTGATCCTGGAGAAGTGTCTTCTTTCTCAGGACTCCCTGGGCCTTATCTCTGAGTCTTGGCTGGGAGAGGGCCGAGAGGAAGCTCATAGTATTGTGAAGCTGGGGTGGGAGACAGAGGTCATTTACATGAGTATTTCACTGGCGTGGCATAGTTTCATAATTTGAAAATGAAGAAACGACTTTGTAATTCAAATAACAGAGTGACTCACTAGAGAACGCGTCGCCAAAGATATATTCTATTTTCTGTCAATGCTTCTCACCAGGGATGGAGGGACATACTTTCCTGGAGAGCTACAATATTGAGTGGGGGAGGGAGATATTTTTGTATTTATTTAAAGGGTATGTGTCTTTTTTAATGGCTGCGAAACACCAGATTAACTAGACGGTTTCTTTTTTTCTTTTCTTTTCTTTTTTTTTTTTTTGGAGACGGAGTCGCGATCTCAGCTCACTGCAAGCTCCGCATCCTGGGTTCACCCCATTCTCCTGCCTCAGCCTCCCGAGTAGCTGGGATTACAGGTGCCCACCACCACGCCCGGCTAATTTTTTTGTATTTTTAGTAGAGACGGGGTTTCACCGTGTTAGCCAGGATGGTCTCGATCTCCTGCCCTTGTGATCCACCTGCCTCGGCCTCCCAAAGTGCTGAGATTACAGGCGTGAGCCACTGCGCCTGGCCTAACTAGATGGTTTCTAAGGAGCCCTCCAGCCCTTGCACTCTGCAAATATTTATCAAGGAACTACTATGTGCTAGGCTTGGGAATTCAGAGATGCCAGAGGCTTTGAGGTCAGGGAGCCGGCCAGTCCTGGGAAGGCCTTGGAGCGTGGCTGTGGGGAAGGGGCTTGCTCTTCTGTTGACAGGAAATAAGACAGGGCTGGATTTTTAGGCATACAGAGAGCTTGGATCAGAGCTGCCCCCTGGCGGAGGATTCCGGACACCCCCACCGATTGAAATTGCCCAGGATCAATCCCTTTGCTTAAAGACACAGAAAATGAAGCTTGGGAGAGGGGCTCAGACCAGGGGTAGCAGTTGTGACCTAGAATAGTCTAGAGGGTATGCCAAATAAGATGCACATACACACATCCTGCGGACTCAATGCAGAAGGGGCTTTTTAGCATCCCCTTTCTACCGTAGCTTTCAACACATTTAGAGCAAACACACTTTAAGCACCTTCTGTGTGCGTCGCCCAGAGGAAGGAACACCAGGATAGTATTATTATTATTTTATTTTTGAGACAGAGTTTCGTTCTTGTCACCCAGGCTGGAAAGCAATGGCGCGATCTAGGCTCATTGCAACTTCTGCCTCCTAGGTTCAGGCTATTCTCCTGCCTCAGCCTCAGAGTAGCTGGGACTACAGGCATGCACCACCATCCCTGGCTAATTTTGTATTTTTAGTAGAGACGGGGTTTTGCCATGTTGGCCAGGCTGGTCTCAAATTCCTGACCTCAGGTGATCCGCCTGCCTTGGCCTCCCAAAATGCTGGGATTAGAGTCGTGCACCACCGTGCCCTGCCAACACAAGGATATTATTAATAGTATAGGAAAAATGAACTTAAGATGGATATTGTCATTATAACAGCTTCCATTTCCTGAGAACCCACTGCAGGTGCTGAGCTGAAGGTCTGACGTGCAATGTCCCACAAGTTTAACCCTCTCAGAGCATCAGAAGTTGAGTAATTATTACGTTGCTCAACTTCCTCTTCTGACAGGAGACTGAAGCTCGGAAATGTTAACAGGCTCTACCCACCTGCAAGCTCCCGTTTCCATCACCGCTGCCTCGGAGATAGCTCCAGAATTTCTTTGCATGGGAGGAGCCTAGGGAAGGGCCACGCTTTTGGAATGGAAACGTCATGGGCTTGTTTTGCTCATTTCAGTGGGAATCCCATGGCACTGCCGAGAGTATTTCTTTTTATTTTATTTATTTTGGGGGGTCGGTATTATTTTAAGATGCTAATGGAGATGGGTGGATTTGAGGACCAATGGCTTTTTTTTCCCTTTTTACTCAAAGCCCGCACAACACACTCGTTTTTAGAAGTCCAGCCTGCAGCCTCCAAACGAACTGTTGTACGTGCTGGGGACGGGGAGAGGGCGACGCTGCGGCTCTTTTCCGTTCGGGAGGTCCTTCTAGATTCCCAAAAGTCAATTTAGTCAAGTTTTGAGCTGTAACCTGTGTTGGGCGCGGTGGCTCACGCATGTAATCCCAGCAGTCTGGAAGGCCGAGGTGGAAGCCTCGCTTGAGGCCAGGAGTTCAAGATCAGCCTGAGCAACAGGGTGAGACCCCGTCTCTAATTTTTTTTTTTTAAAGAAGTCAAATTAGGCCAGGTGCGGTGGCTCACGCCTATAATCCCAACACTTCGGAAGGCAGAGGCGGGCGGATCACTTGAAGTCAGGAGTTCGAGACCAGCCTGGCCAACATGGTGAAAACCCGTCTCTACTAAAAATACAAAAATTAGCTGGGTGTGGTAGCTCACGCCTGTAGTCCCAGGTACTCTGGAGGCTGACGCAGGAGAATCGCTGGAACCTGGGAGGCAGAGGTTGCGGTGAGCCGAGATCGCGCCACTGCACTCCAGCCTGCTTGACAGAGCAAGATTCTATCTCAAAAAAAAAAAAAAAAAAATTTAAATTATTTTTCAAAAGAAGTTAAGTTAAATCCGGAGCCCGCGCGGGGGAGGGGCGAGCTGAGCGAGGGGGTGGAGCCAGCCATGGGCCCGCCCCTAAACGCCCGGAAGTGACGTTGGCGGACAAAGGCAGCGCGCGCCGCGAGCTGTCGCGTCTGGTCGTGGTCTGGCGGAGCTGCGGTTGGCTTGTGGCGTCTCCGCCGCCGCCGCCCTCCCTTCCTCTTCCCCATCTTCTTCTCTCGGTCCCGGGAGCCCCCGCCCGGAGTGAGTAGCGCGAGGCGGTGCGAAGGGTAGGCAGCCGCTGGGAGAGGGGAGGCTGCGACCCCTAACTGTTTCGGCGCCCTGAGGTCCCGGGTCCCCGGCTCGTCACGTGACCCGGCGCGTGCGCGCGGGCCGGCACAGGCCTCACGTGCGCGTCCCCAAGAGGTCTACGGGCCGGACCTGGGCAGGGACTACGGAGCAGTCCATGGGTCGGGGTACAGGAGGAAAGTCAAGGCACTCAAAGCCCAGGCAGGGCACTCCCCCACCCCGGTCCCCAGACCGCAGCAAATCCCTTTCTCTGAGCCTGTTTCCCTTCCGAGAAACAGGGATATGGAGAGCGCCCACTTGGAGGATGGATGGGAGGAATCGGTAAAATCGGTAAAATGCCCAGTTCAGAGCCTGGCACAGTTAAGTGCCCGCTGCACAGAAGTTGCTGTCGTATTTAACCTTGGGTGCCACCCGAGCGCCAGCCCGACACAGGTGCAGCTCAAAAAAGACAGCCCGAGAGCCCTTGCGGCCAAGGTCAGCCTGTCTGCAGGGAGGCTGCCATATCGAAAAGCCCAGACTTTGCTGCGCACCAACTGTGTGATCTCTCCCTCTGGACTTTGGTTTCTCCTCTGTACTATAAGTGATTGCCACAACTGGTGTCAGAGGCCCTGACAGCGGGGAGGGACAGTGTAACCGGTGGTTGTGGTGTGTAGAATGATTGCCCAGTGAGATGGGATGAGCCTCTGGGAGGAACCAGGGCTGGTATAAGGAGCCTGGATTCCCTCCTTAATTCTGTTCTCGGCTTCCTGTTTGTATGTTTAAAGACACGTCACTTCCTTTAGTGTGCTGGTTTTTCTCTATGTAAACTGAGGACTGTGCGGGGGTTGGAAGGATGCATGGAGCGTTTTGGTGGAGGCCGGAAGCCCTAGGATCACAAGGATGGCATCTAAAAAATCTCGGTGGGGGTTCTGTGCTTATAGGCAGAGGAAGCTCACTCCCCACTCTGGCTGATTTGCAGAGCTGTTTGAGTCTGCTGGCTTGGCCGCCCAGCATACCAGTAACAGTCCCCTAGGTGTGTCCAATACAGCTTCTGTGGCATTCTAAGGCAGTTTTCCCATTTGATCCTCATAGTGGGCAGAGTTGACAAGAATCTCATTTGACAGAGATTTCTAAGCTCAAGAGAGAATATGTGCCCGGCACTGTGCAAAGCACTTTAAGCTTTTCATATGCACTTTTAATCACAGCCTTTCTGTAAAGTCGGTATTACTGTTCCATTTTATAGGTGAACTGAGGAATGGTGAGGTTTAATGTCTTGTCTGTGCTTACACAGCAGGTGTGCAGAGCCAAGATTCAGATCTGGTTCATCTGGCTCCATCAGAGCCTTTGTTAGTTTTTAAATGTATCCCCTGTTTTGTCTTCTTCCCTCCCTTTCTCACTTCCTTCTTTTTCTTAGAGCACTCTGCCGTTTGCATGTGGCCTGCTGCTGTCCACAAAGATCCAGGGAGGATGGACTCTGTCCACTAGGCTGCTAGAGGGTGGAGGTAACTTTTAGGCAGGCTTTTCCGTAGAGACTTACGTGAGGAGGATGAGATGACTGCAAAAGTCTGCCGGTGACAGTTTCAGCACTGTTTTCTTCCATGGGTCGTGGGAGAAGAGATGCAGTACCTTGGGTCTGAACACCTTGGCGGGGAGGAGGAGGCAGCAGCCAGGTGACTGTGAAGGATGTAGGATCACATTTACTGGCTGAGCAGCCATTTACCAGGCATGAGGGGTTTGTCTTCCTCTCTGAGCTAGCCTAGAGTGCACACAAAGCCCGTGTGCTCCTGGCCCCCTCCCAGGCCCTTCAGCCACATACGGCATCTGTGCTCTGGAGCAGAGTGTAGCAGGACCACCTGCTGTTGGCTGACTGACCTTGCTGTTCCCTCAGACTCTTAGGGACCTCCTCCTGCCCCACTCCAATCTGGACACCACGAGGCAAAATGTAGCCAGGACCCCAGGAATCCCGTTTATTAATGAATCAGCTGTTAGGGCAGATGTCAAAGTCAGGCTTGCTATTTCCCGGCCAGGATGTGCCTCCCCTGGCTTGTTCCCAGAATTTGCGTGTAAGTGGAATTCTTGTAAATTAGATTATTCAGGGGACCCTGACATTTAAAGGAATCATGTTACAAGGCTTTTGGTAAAGCACAGAATTATATTGTCGGTAGCAGCCTTCAGGCCTTCAGTATTTACCAGTTCTGAATGGTTGGACTTTTGTCTGTAGGATTTTCTTAGAGTGGAAAATGGCTATAGCTGCACAAAGCCCATTCTTGCATTATTTGGCAACCAGTTAGTCAATGCCCACCTGGTATCAGGCACTGGGCTAATGGTGTACAAGGTAATGTCTCTACCCCCAGGAAGCTGCATGCTGGGAGAGGAGACGGATGGAGTCCAGCCTGGTATGTGTTTGCCCCCAGATTTATTCTGTTCATTTGATCAGAGGTGAACTTTCTGTTGAATATTTGTGTTTCATGGGATGCAAGAGAAGCATGGTGATAAATCTCAAATGTTGCCACTGCTCTCAGGAGCTCCCCGGCCAGGCGAGAGAGAGAACTGAATACAAAACCTTCAGTTTGCCAAGTTGGGCGGTGAGAGGGAGACAGGCTTGCTCTCGCCATGGTCCAGTCTGAATGGGAGTTGTGCCAGCATGGTGTGGAAGAGTAGTAGTTCGTTTTTTAACCTTTGTCTTTAATTTTCCCAGCCACCAAGTGTTTTTTGTTTTTTGAGACAGGGTCTCGCTCTGTTGTCCAGGCTGGACTCAAACTCCTGGGCTCAAGCAGTCTTCCCACCTCAGCCTCCCAAAGGGCTCAGGTTATAGGTTATAGGTTATAGAGTAGTTTTGAATGCCGTCCTCTCTTGAGTGACTGATGGAGGGCTGTGACATGGTTGCTCCGGTACCTGCTGGCAGAGGGGCAGGCAGCCCACCTAACCTGGTCCTTACGCCATCAGACCATAGCAGCCACCAAACCCAGCTACATGGTGACATTCAGATTGGTGGCCCTTTTTCCTGTCAGCTACCCGGGCACATCTAGCAGTCTTGAGGATTGGCAGGTCTGGTGGGAAGAAGAATTCATTCTTCTTCTTCTTTTTTTGACACAATGTCTCACTCTGTTGCCCAGGCTGGAATGCAGAGGCAGGATCATGGCTCACTGCAGCCTTGACCTCCCAGGCTCAAGTGATCCTCCCACCTCAGTCTCCCTAGTAGCTACTAGAATGTGTGTATTTTTGACAGAGATGGGGTTTCTGAGCCGTGGGCTTCTTTCTCCTTCCGGCAGTGTTGTTCCCAGTGCTGGGACACCAGTGTGGGAGCTTTGTGGTCAGCTTGCGGGGAGGGTGTTATGTGCAATATTTAGAACTAAGGTCCTCCCCAGCCTGTTACCCCAAAGGGCTCCCTGATTGGTGAAGTGACTGCTGCCTTTCTTCATTGTGGCTGAAACCCTTGTGCGTGAACAGTAAAGTGAGGGGTCAGTCTGCGAGCGGATTCAAGAATCTGAAGAGGGAAGCCAGGTGCAGTGGCGTGCGCCTGTAATCTCAGCTACTTGGGAGGCTGAGCAGGGAGGATGGCTTGAGCCCAGGAGTTTGGGGCCAGCCTGGGCCACATAGTAAGACCCCATCTCAAAAAAACAAGAATCTGAAGAGAAGTTTAAGCAGGCTTCTCTCTAGGCACAGCCAAAGGATTCTGCTAAGGGTGAGAAGACCCAATCACGGATCTAAGAAGAACCCCGTTGCATCTGTTAGAAGTATTCTTGAGCTGGCTGGGCGGGGTGGGCCTACTGCTTCTGGAAAGTTCCTTCTCTTTCAGGACAGGTTCAGAATATAGTAGTGCAGAATATAGTTCTGGGGCCAGTAACAAATTTGACCAATGAAAAATCTTGGCTGGGTGCAGTGGTTTCTGCCTGTAATCCCAACACCTTGGGAGGCTGAGGCAGGTGGATTGCTTGCAGCCAGGTGTTTGAGACCAGCCTGGGCAACGTGGCAAAACTCCATATCTACAGAAAATACAAAAGTTAGCCAGGTGTGGCGGTATGTGCCTGCAGTCCCAGCTACCCTGGAGGCTGAGATGGGAGGATCACCTGAGCTGTACTCAAGTCTGGCGACAGTGAGACCCTTTCTAAAAAAAAAGAAGAAAAAATTCTCCAGCTTGTCTTGTGTTTAGTTTCCCTTCTCTTTCCTCATAGTTGCTTCCCAAAGGCCTCGTGCTCCTTCTCAGGGCATTTTCCCGTTTCCCTCTGACCACTTCTCTTGAAGCCCCTAGAGTGTTCCTGGGTCTTAAGCTTTGAGTTGTGTTTGAGGACTGTACCCGAGTTCCATATGTGGACTCTTCCGTGTTGACCCTGTAGCTCCAGGAGTCAGGCAGACGGTCTTGGACCTACGATTTGTCAACTTTGGCGACAGGCATTTGCTAGAAGCCCCCTGCTCTCCTCGTGTGGAGGCAGCACGTGCGAGGCGGTGAGCTGCAGCTCCCAGTCAGCTGCGCGTTTTCCACCGAGGGTATTTTCCCTTTACCATGGGTTTATCAGGATGTAGCAGCTGCTGCTGCTGGGATTCCTACCACCCACTGTTGCTGTGTGTCCTCAGCACGGCCACTGCCATTCTCACTCTGCCTCCTTTAGGTTAGGCCTTGGCAGTGTGGGAAACACATCAGCCGAGAGTTGGTGCCCAGCATGCACTCGAGGCCACCCTCATCCAGGCCCCGTCTGCCTTTCCGAGCTCACCTTCCACAGTCTTCCCCCGCTCCACTCTCCGCCCTCTGATGGCCCATGCTGTCCCACGGCTGCTCCCTCTGTCTGCCCCACCCCCTCCAGCACTCCCTGTGCTTGGCTGCCCAGCTCGGGCTGCCTCCTCCAGGCGGCTGCCCCTATCTGCTGTTGGGAGGAGATTCCTCTGCCCTTTGAGTGTCCTCGACACTTTGTGGGTCCATGAGAATCCTTATTTTTCTGCTGTGTATTTTCTTTCCCTTTGTTCTTTGTCCTCCTGGACTAGAGCTCTCTGAGGTCTTGGCAAGCCTCACAGCAACTAGAACAGCCCCTAAGCGTGGTGTGCCTTGGTGACAGCACTGTGCCTTGGGAAGCTTATGGCAGAATGGCCACCCGTGGAGCACGGAGCCGCCCAACTGTCATCGCTGTCCTGAAGGGTGAGGTGGGCCTGGGCTCTGCTGCCAGGACCCAGCTGAGGCTTTCTAGTTCTCTCTCCTTCTACCGTGGCAACCGTCTCCTCATCCCCCTGCCATCTCCACCGCCGCCAGCAGTCTTCAGAAGCATCGGTCTTCCCGGGCCACTCTCTGTTGGGCCTCAGGGTGGTTGACTCATTGCTCTGTAGGATGCAGTCGAAACTGCTAGAGTTGACTGTGAGACCAGGAACTGGCAGCCGCGAGGGCTGTCTGTCCTTCCCTCCAGGAGCAGTGCCGTCGCCCTCCACCTACTGCGCTTATTCTTGCCCATCCATCGGTTTCAGCTTACGCGTCCCCTCCTCAGGGATGCCTTCCCTGGTCCCCGCACCCGACTCCACTTCCTCCCTCCGTGCTCTGCTGGCACTGGCGCTTCTCCTCTGCAGCCCTCCCTGCAGGTGTGGTTGTGTCTGTAGAATTGTTTTCTGCCTGGCTGGCTGCCTGGTTCACAGCCCGGTGCCTGGCACAGAGTCCCCACTCCTTGTTAACGGAGGACTGGACCCCACCGTGAGTTGTTGCTGTGCTCTGAGCCAGAGGAAGGGAGGCGTGGAAGCTTCCCTGGCCCTCCAGGGTCTGCTGGTGCTCTCGGCTTTGCGGTCGTTTCTCTTTATTGATCAGGGTTTTCTGTGCCCTGAAGCCACTGAGTCAGGTGTCATATAGAGCATATCAAGAACTTGAAGCCAGGCCAGGCACATGGGCTCACACCCGTAATCCCAGCACTTTGGGAGGCCAAGGTGGGAGAATCTCTTGAGGTCAGGACTTCAAGACCAACCTTTGTAACATAGTGAGACCCCATCTCTACAAAAAATAATTAGCCAGGCATGGTGGCACACAACTGTAGTCCTAGCTGCTCCGGAGGGTGAGGTGGGAGGGTCTCTTGAGCTCGGGAGTTGGAGGCTGCATTGAGCTATGATCACACCACTGCACTCCAGAAAAAATAAAAATGTAAAAGAACTTGAAGCCAGGACTTGGGGCGGGTGCTCTGAGTGCAAAAGACAGAAGATGCTGTTATCCAAGGGGTAGAAGCAGATTTGGGGACCCTGGACTTCTCTCTGCACTCAGCAGGATGTGTGACTTGTGAAGCCTGGTGTGAGACTGGCCCTCTGCCCTGGGGGCCTTTCTGCCAGGTCCCTGGCCCGCTGACTCACGCCCCCTTCCTTACCCAGGAGAGTCGCGGTTGCTGATCGTGGTGCTTGAGTAGAGCCGTGGTTGGTGACAGCATGACGAGCGAGGTGATAGAAGACGAGAAGCAATTCTATTCCAAGGCCAAGACCTACTGGAAACAAATCCCACCCACGGTGGACGGCATGCTTGGGGGGTATGGCCACATCTCCAGCATCGACATCAACAGCTCCCGGAAGTTTCTGCAGAGGTTTTTGAGGGTAGGCAGGTCTGGCGTGCTCTCCAGGAGAGGCTGTGGCTCTGGTGGCACTGCCGAGTCCATGTGGGGTGCCACCTTTTACACATGTAACACTGCAGGATTGTTGGCTATCTCTTGGTACCTACCCCAAAGCCTTGAGGAGCTGGGCTGGGTGGGCACAGTGGGGTAACTTCTAGATTGTGGACTTAGCCTCAGGGTTACCAGACAGGAGCTGGCTGTTAGGCAGAATTGAGGTGCCTGAATTGGGCAAACCTCTCTTCAACTGTTGGGTTTTGCCAGGGACGAAACCCTTGCTCTCCTGCCATGTCCACGGGTGTTTGGACTGAGGGTGTTGGCTATTCTGGACGAAGACTCCTAGTTATGTGCCATGGTTTCCACCCTCTGCTCCACCCCCAGCCTTTTCTGTACCAGGCTGGGACCCCCAGTCCTGGAGCCCCCCACCTTCTTGTCTCATGGCTGGCACTGGAGGCTGCTGTTGGCCACCTGCTCCATCCAGCGCCTCCCCTCCCTCCATGTTCCCTCTCTGCACCCTTGTTCACCTGTTGCCCCGCTTCCATTCTCCCCATTCCTCTCTGCCGTTGTTTACCTGGAGACTCAGGAGAGATTAGTGCACCTGTTCAAGTTATCACCTTTAAGTGGAAATTAGCTTTCATTTAGAAATGTGTGGCCCAGGGCAGGGGCAGTGGCTCACTCCTGTCATCCCAGCCCCTTGGGATGCCAAGGTGAGAGGATTGCTTGAGCCCAGGAGTTTGAGACCAGCCTGGGCAACAGACCGAGGCCCCGTCTCTACAAAAAATACAAAAAAAAAAAAATGAGTTGGGCATGGTGGCGCATGCCTGTAGTCCCAGCTACTTGGGAGGCTGAGGTGGGAAGATGGAGGATGGCTTGAGCCCAGGAGTTCGAGGCTACAGTGAGCCATGATCCCACCACTGCATTCCAACCTGAACAGAATGCAGAATGCAACCTGAACTTTCAAAGATAAAGGAATGTGTGGCCCAGCAGTGTGTCCTCCCATGCTCATCCCCTCGACTCCGTACAAGCTGGCAGCCAGCACAGACCTCCCCACCAGTGCTCAGCTTGTGCGGAGTCCTGGAATCCTGACTTGAGTCTAAGTCCTAGGGCTCGTGAGGAAGGGCCGCACGTGCGGTGACAGGGTCCCTCTGATAGGTTATATGCCTCTGCTTTTCAGGAAGGCCCGAACAAGACAGGAACGTCCTGTGCCCTGGACTGTGGAGCTGGCATTGGGAGGATCACCAAGCGGCTGCTCCTGCCGCTGTTCAGAGAGGTGGATATGGTCGACATAACGGAGGACTTCCTGGTTCAAGCCAAGACCTACCTGGGGGAGGAGGGCAAGAGGGTGAGGAACTACTTCTGTTGTGGGCTCCAGGACTTCACCCCGGAGCCGGACTCTTACGACGTGATCTGGATCCAGTGGGTGATAGGTGAGGGTTCCACCGCCCTTCCCTGCTCACCTGTATGTCTCCTGCCACTCGCGTTCCCCATAAGGTGTCAGGACCAGGGCTTTGCACTCCTGCAGCAAGTGGGCCAGTGAGGATTCCCCACCCCGCCCAGGCCCACCCCCACCCCGTACTTCCCAGGACTGAGGGACAGGCTCGGCCTAAAAGGTAGATTTCTTCCTTCTAGGTTTTGTTTCAGTTGAATACCTGCTACCATCCATTTGGGTGCAGTTTTTTGTTGAAAAAATTTTAATGGCCAATAACTTACTGCATTCAAAGTGAGGAGTTTTATAAGGGTTTTATTTTTAATAAGATGAATAGTTTAAGCTTCGTGTCTAGCCCTGCACCCTCTTAGCCTAACAGCACACCTCGAGCGCTGTGCCCTGGGCTGCTGACGTGGCGGCAGGCCGCTAGCAGCAGTCGGCCACCTCCTGAGGCGGGCAGCACAGGCCTGCTGTGGACACTCTAGGTCTGGCCTTGTATTTTGTGGTCTCAGAAGCCTTTGTGGGGACTTCTAGTGTAGGGAAGGCAGTCTCTCTGGGAGCTCCTGCAATGCCAAACTCTTAGCCCAGGTTCACTCCTCCGATCCAAGCCTGGCAGGGGTGGGGCATCATGGTGTGTAGGTATCAGGCAGGACTTGTAAGCCATCCCGTCAAGTCAAATTCTGGCTTAATGTGTCTTTAGGTAGATGACCTCTGAGCCACAGTTTCCTATTCTATGAATTGGGGTTTAGTAAATCTCTCGGGACTGAGAGCCAATGAGGCCATGTGTGCACACAAAATGCTGGGCACAAATGAGGGGCTCAGCGGGGCTGAGAAGTACATCCCATCCAGTGCCGACATCCGCTTGCATGGTGCCCTGGTAACCTTGCCTCTGCCCTCCCCAGGCCACCTCACCGATCAGCACCTGGCCGAGTTCCTGCGGCGCTGCAAGGGCAGCCTCCGCCCCAACGGCATCATCGTCATCAAAGACAACATGGCCCAGGAGGGCGTGATTCTGGACGACGTGGACAGCAGCGTGTGCCGGGACCTTGACGTGGTCCGCAGGATCATCTGCAGTGCAGGCCTCAGCCTCCTGGCCGAGGAGAGGCAGGAGAACCTCCCCGATGAGATCTACCATGTCTATAGCTTTGCCCTGAGATGAGCCGGGGCTGGCAGGAGAAACTGAGGAACCACAGTCCTGGTGGGGGGAGCTGGCAGCTGGGCAAGATCCAGGCGCCACGCTGGCGGTTCGTGAGTGTCGAGGCACCACTAAATATAGCTGTCTGCCGTCCACTCATTATGCGGGCTCTTCTTCAAAAGGCAAGGTGGGACCCGGCGGGGAGGGTGCTGCTGAACCAGCGGTGAGGCAGGAGCCCAGACCCTGCTCTCCTGCGAGATGGGATTGGGTGGAAGGGGCTCCAGGGCTCCTGGTGCTCCCCATGTGGGAATAGGGTGGCCACATCAGTAACCGATTCCCTGGGCCTCCAGCCCGGCCTTCCAGCCATGGGCCTGGCTGCCTGAAGAGGAAGGAAACCACCCCCAACTTGGTTGCTGGGGACTTGAAGACTTCAGTGTGATCTTTACCTAGGGGAGGGACAGAGCTGGGCTGGTGGAGCCCATGGGTGCTGCCTGATGGTGCTGTGGGGTGGGTGCTCATGTGCCAAGTCCTGCTTGGCAGTGGAGACCTGGGGCCCTTAAAGTGTTACAACAGCCTGCAGCAAGGGAAGTTCCCCGTAGCCTCAGTCTTCTCTGGGCTTGAGGCTGCTCCTTGGCAGGCATTTAAAGTAAAAAATAAAATGGGGCTGGGCGCGGTGGCTCACGCCTGTAATCCCAGCACTTTGGGAGGCCGAGGCGGGCAGATCACGAGGTCAGGAGATTGAGACCATCCTGGCTAACAGGTGAAACCCCGTCTCTACTTAAAATACAAAAAAAAAAAAAATTAGCCAGGCGTGATGGCGGGCGCCTGTAGTCCCAGCTACTCAGGAGGCTGAGGCAGGAGAATGGGGTGAGCCCGGGAGGCAGAGCTTGCAGTGAGGTGAGATTGCGCCACTGCACTCCAGCCTAGGTGACAGAGCGAGACTCTGTCTCAAAATAAAACTAAAATAAAATGGGGGCCGGGCACAGTGGCTCATGTCTGTAATCCCAGCACTTTGAAAGGCCGAGGCAGGCGAATCACCTGAGGTCAGGAGTTTGAGACCAGCCTGACCAACATGGCGAAACCCCGTCTCTACTAAAAATACAAAAATCAGCCAGGCATGGTGGTGGGCACCTATAATGCCAGCTACTCAGGAGGCTGAGGCAGGAGAACTGCTTGAACCTGGGAGGCAGAGGTCGCAGTGAGCCGAGATTGCACCATTGCACTCCAGCCTGGGTGACAGAGTGTCTCGAAAAAAAAAAATAATAAAATGGGACCTCCACACTGTGGAGGCCCTTGCCAGTCTAGAGTGGTGCTTCTTTGCAGGGACTTGGAAACAACCCCCCAAACACAGCATCCCCTCACACCTGCCACCCACTTCCTTACCGGCTGCTGTGGGAGCCTCTATCCTGAACTATGGAGGGGCGGGGTGGAAATTTTATATAAGGACCTTGTTAAGGCCAAGAAAGTCAGTTTAATCTTATAATATAAATATATCATTTAGTCACCTCAGCTTATCCCCAGAGGTGTTTACACAATTCCCAATGACCAGTGCAGCTTGGAAGGGACTGAGGCTCGCAAGTGGGTGGCACAGTCGGCTCTTCAGTGGCTCCAAAGTGAGCCCCTCACAACAGGAGACACTTCAGAGAGGTCTGTCCCCAGCCACGCACTCATGATTGCTTTTTAGCAGAAGTCATGGTCGCTGAGGCCCTGGGTTTGGCAAAAGCACAGCTGCCAGCAGAGCACAGTTCTGGTAGGTGGGGCCACGGCTGACCTGGCCCCAGAGCTACAGGAACAGGCAGGGGCCAGCTTGGCTTGCAACACCATGAAACAAGCCTGTGGGGCCCTTAGTGTCTTCTCCCGCAGAGCCCACCAGAAACACTTCTGTGAGTAACAGAACCTGGAAGGAAAAGGGGCAGGGGTGGGGCCTTGGTGGCACCGCACAGGACGTGCCCCAGGCTTCCTCTCCAGCTGCACTGCCACGTGCGGCCAACAAGAGCCCCGCAGCCCTGGGGTGCTGAGGCTTGGTCCTTCCCAGCTTCTGCAAATGCCCTGGCACTGCCCTCCAATTCAGAGGGTATAAACATCAATCCAAGCCCTGTTCCTCTTTCCAACATGGGGGGGACTTGGAGTGCCGCTGGAGGGAAGGGGGCAGTCTCTCTGGAAGAACCAGAGCTGCACCCTTCACCACTGGAGTGATCACAGCTTCAGGCTCTACCTGGCTGGCTTTTCTCATGAAGGATCCCGTCTCATCTCCCAGATCAAAAAGACCCTCTTCTAATGCTGTCCCAGCATCTACCAACAGGCTGACCTGAGCTGCCCGTGTCCCCCGTTCCTGTAGCCTGAGACCTATCAGATGTCATCTTCCACGGAGCCACTGTGCTCGCTAAGGAGGTACCACTTCAGCCTGTCGGGCAGAGGCAGGGCTTTGACCTTCACATCCACAGGCCACGGCTGAAGGTAGAGCCGGATGGCCACACGGCACAGGTGCTTGAGGGGCGGGGGATAGCTCTCCAGCTGCCTCAAGGAGAAGTGGAGGGCCTGGATCTTTTCCGCCAGGCTGCCCACAGGGTGGATATCGAAGTTTTCGGGCAGCTGGAGTTTCTGAGAGTTGGTCACCATGAGATCCAGGACAGTCTCAGCTTTGCGCAGGAGGTCCGCATGGCTCTCGTCTTCCGTGCAGCCTGGGTGGGAACAGAGCCTCTCAAAGATGATGTGAAAGCCAGACCAGCAGGACGCACCGTGCAGGGAGCAGTTGTAGGCGGCTCCGGACTCCAGGAGGAAGCGCAGGAGAGGGAAGTGCAGTTTAAAGCTCTTCAGGCAGATGTGGGTGAGGGACTCGTGGGCTGGGCACTCGCTGGGGTCGGCCCCGTGTGCCAGCAGCAGCCGTGTGACTTGGAAGCAGAAGCGGTTGATCATCTGGGCCTCCTCTTTGTCCCCTCCCACGGTCTCACCAAGCAGGAAGATGATGCAGGTGAACACTGTGTCCCCATCTTTGGTGGTGGCCTTGACGTCTGCCCCTAGAAGAGCCATAGAACAAGAGATGCTGGGAGAAGGCCTTCAACCCTGGCAAAGCAACAGCACACATCGAAGGGGCGGGTGAGAGGACGAGGCCTAGGAGCGCGCCAGCCTCACCTCCTTCCAGTAAGAGACGAATGTTCTCAGTATTGTGGATCTGCACCCCGTCGCTGCTGGCCAGAGCATGGAGCAGAGCAGTTTTTCCTAGGGAGGGAGGGAGAGCAAGGAGGAGCAGGAGGCCAGGAAGCCCAGGTCAGGGCAACCCAGAGGAGGTGGCAGAAATCCAGACACTCAGAGGATCAGAAGATGAACTTTCAGAGACAACTCTCAGCTCAGGTGAGGGCTGAGGGTGACAGGCTTCTGGCCATTCCCTTTCCACCCAGAGAAGTGGGAGCGGAAAGGCCAGGAAAGGTAGGATTTTTCTGGACCCCAAGATGCTACCTGAGATGTTGGCTGGGCCTCTCCCAATGGGAAGCCATTGTTTCTTGGAAACTAAGTGCACACATGCCCTATTTCTTCCTATAGAAGGCCCTTGAGGGCCAGCACAGGGACAATGACTGCACTGCCTCTCTGAAGCCTCTGAGCTCAGCAAGTCAGCAGAATCCCTGTGTGCCCAGCCATGCTGTGCCACCAGCCAGGGCCAGCATCCAGTCTGCCCACCTAGCTGTTGTCCTGGGGCACCCTGGGTGTCCCCCACAAGGTGCCTGGGGGCCCAGCTGTCCTGCTTTCCTGCAGGAGGCACCCACCATGCTTGTCAGCGGCATTGACATCAGCTCCAAGGTCCAGGAGGCGCTGCAGGCAGGGCAGGCGCTCAGGCTCCTCGCTGGCCAGGTCCAAGGGGCTACTCTCGTGGATCTGAGCCAAGGAAGCACAGCCAGGTTGGCTTGGGAAGCTGCTCAGGCCCCTGCCCAACCCTGCTTCAAAGCAAGCTGGACCTGGCACTTACCCGGTCCCTCCGATTAACGTCGGCCCCGTGATGCACCAGCAGCTCCACCATGTCCGGCTGGTTCCGCAGGACGGCGATGTGCAAGGCCGTGTAGTAGGTGACTGGGTCTGAAGGTGCAGACACAGCTCATGTGGGTCCTATCTGTCCGCATTCTTATGGGGCCCCCGGACCCAGAGCCCAGCCCCAAACTCCCACCTAAAGTGTCCAGAAGCACAGGCCCAGCCTCCTGTCACCATCAAGGGTTAGGACAGAGCTGTCCTCACCAGATACTAGAGGGCCCTCGGGGTGTTCTAGTGGGCACGCTACTGAAGCTGTTGGGGGCTTTAGTTTCCTCTTCTGTAAGAAGGGACCATAAAACGGGGCGCACCCTCTCAGAATGGCTGGGAGGCCGCGCTACACAGCAGCTCTGGCGGCTCTGCTTTGTAGGCCTGGTGGTAACAGCCAGGTTCTCCAAGCTGGTCTCCAAGTCACTGGCTTCAGAACCGGCCCTCCCGTCTCAGCTCCTTGACCCTCCAGGAGCCCAGCAGACTCCAAGCCCGTCTTCGGATGGGGAAAGGAGACGTGCCTGGCTGTCTCAGGCCCCTATTAGGTCACAAGGCAGCCCTGCCTGTCTGCCGACTAACCCTGCCCTCCCTGGGCTGAAAAACACAGAGAAAGGAGCTCGGCTCCATCTCCATCCCTGGCACTCAGGAGCCAGGAGCCAGGGTGTCCTGTGGTGATTTATGCCTAATGCAGCCTGTTTTCCCCTCTCCCTACGGCATGAGAAAAAAAAAAACAAATTGGCTCAGAGTAAGTAGCAGAAAATTACCTTCCCTTAGCTCTGGGCACAGTGCCAGCAGCCGCATTTTTGCATTAATGGAAGTGGGGATTAATCTGGGAGCTGGGGAAAGTTTGCTAATCAATCACATGGTAGAAGCAGCAACACTCGCTCTTGGAACAGAGGTGGGAAGAGCCATGTGAAAACCCGCAGGGGGTGGGAGGCCACCCAATGGGAGTTTCCTTAGTTGCAGCCACCCAGGAAATAAAGGGGGGGAAGTCACTCCTCAGAGGATGGTAGAAGCCAAGGCTGGGGACATGGGCGCCCACCCAGCGTCGGGCCGCGTTTAAGCCACCTGCCCACCCCCGGGGCTCTCGCTGACCTTCAAAGTTGAGATTGGCCCCATGCCGCAAGAGAACGTCGGCCGCCCGCGTCAGCCCCAGCTCAGCCATCTTGAGCAGGGCGTTGCTCACGCCTTCCTGGTAAAAGGGAGAGTGGGCTTTCCTCTCCAGCAGCTCAGTGAGAACAAGGATTCGGCTCTCCTCGCTGGCGACATAACTGGGCCTGGGACAGGAGAGAGGCTGAGGGTAGGCACAGCTGTGGGACCGGGTGACCGCGCAGCCTGTGGGTTGGTGGGCTTTAGTCCTGCTATCATCATCAGCAAGCAGGGCCCTGGCTCTGTGGGTCACAGGGGCTTGGGGGAAGCTCTGAAGTAGAGAGAGGGCCACGCTGCATCTCTTAATACGGGAGCAGACTGGGATTTGCGGAGAATGGGCTGGGTCTGTCTGCGCTCTCCTCCCGCGTTGCCCAGAGTCCGGTCGCAGACTTAGGTACAAAGCCTCACACACCTGGGCTGCTGGGACTGAAGGGACCACCAGCCTGGAGGCCAAGAGCCCAAGCCCGACTTTGATGCTTCTTCCTCAGAAAGCCCTTCCATCCTCAAACCCGCAGGACCCCAGCCCCGGCAACACCTGCAGCCAGGACAGCAACACAGCCTCCTCCCTCCCCTCACATTGAGACCTTCAGCTGATATTGATGAAGAAAGCCTACGTTTCCACCAGAGTCCCTGGATGGCGAGACTCATCATTACCACGTGTTGGAAATACCAACTGACAACCCCCTCAACACCTGAGCCGAGCCCCTTCCTTCTGCTCTCCCCTCCCTTCCACCTCGCGTGCCGCCGTACAATTACTTGTCAGTCTCTCCTCTGGAGCACATGCGCCAAGAAGGCGGGGGTTTTGCTGAGCCACTGATGGACCCCAGGTGCCTAGTACCATGGGCAGTGAATGCAGATTCGCTCCCGACCCCTTTCCTGCAGGTCCACGACAGACCAGCTCTTGTCTATAAAAACGCAAACTCTGCTACAAAAGCCCACCTTCACACTGCTCTGGGGTAACATCTGAGGCCTCACGGATTCCACCCTGCTCCTCTGCCACGCCGGGGGGTGGCACAGGACAGGCAGGCGACAGGGTGGGGCTGAGGCGCAGGCCCTGCGACAACCCGCGGGCCTCCGCCCTCGGGCCCTCCCCGCCCTTCGTCTCCGCCATGCAAGGGGCAGGAGTGGGATCCGCGCGGGGCAGCGCGCACTCCGAGCCACGCAACCCCGGCTTCCGCCCGTCCCTTCCTCTGTCAAGGGGGACGCATCCACCCCGCCCGGCTTGTGGTGATAAAGTGGGACGCTGCGGGGTCGGAGCGGCCTCGGCCAGCTCACGGGAGGGGGTGAGTTACCGGTCCAGAGACTCCTGCCGCTCGGGGTCCTGGATCCCCAGGGAGCCCAGAATCGCATCCACCAGCGGCTGGTACTCGAAGATGATCCTCCGGAAGCCGTGCAGGAACGGCATCGCCGCGGGCCCCGCGCAGCAGGGCCGTCGCGCTTTCTGCCGAGGCCGAGATGCCCAGACGCCGACCGGAACGCTCCGGCGGCCGCGGACCCCACCTGCTCCGCCAGTCCAGCCCCTGCGCCCGGCCGGGTCCGCTCCTCAGTCCAAGCCGCGCCCCCGCCGGAAGTGACCCTCGTACTTCCTGCCCGCGCCGACTCAGGGTGGGCCATATGGCGACAGCGCCCCCTGCGGGCTCGGAGGACCTCGGCGCGTCCTGGGGCACGACCGCCAGGCCGACTCGGGCGATGTCCAGTGGGCGGCCCCAGCGGAGTGGGAGAGTGGAGGATCGAGCCAAGCCAGATCCGAGACTCAGGCGGGTCCGCCCCTTCCTGCCAGGGCCCGGCCCGGCTCGGCTTCGCCCTGCGATCCCGCCCGCGACCGCTGGGCGCCGTCCGAGTTCCGCCGGTCGTGCTCTCGGCCCTGCCGCTGCCCCACTGGCCCTGGGCGCCCCTGAGAGCTGTGGTCATCAGACACTGCCCCTTCCGGTTCGGGCTGGCCCTCGCCTTCCCTGAAGAGGGGCTGGGCCACCTCTGTCACCACCCGGCCCGCTGACTGGAATGATGAGGACCAGGGTACTCGCACGTCCCCTCCTCAGTTTCTTATTCTCTGTCCCGGGGAGCACCTGGCCAGGACGGCTGCTAGCCCTCTCCACCTCTGCCTTGATGGACTCAGTGAATCTTGTTTTTTGTTGTTGTTGTTTTTGTTTTTTTGGGGGACGTAGTCTCGCTCTGTTGCCCAGGCTGGAGTGCAATGGCACGATCTCGGCTCACTGCAACCTCCGCCTCCCGGGTTCAAGCGATTCTCCTGCCTCAGCCTCCCGAGTAGCTGGGATTACAGGCGCTGGCCACCACGCCCAGCTTATTCTTGTATTTTTAGTAGAGACAGGGTTTCACCATATTGGCCAGGCTGGTCTCGAACTCCTGACCTCGTGATCCTCCCACCTCGGCCTCCCAAAGTGCTGGGATTACAGGCATGAGCCACGGTGCCCAGCCCGAATCTTGTGTATTTTTTAGAGACAGGGTCTCACTCTGTCTCCCAGGCTGGAGTGTAGTGTAGTGATCATGACTCACTGCAGCTTTGAACCCCTGGGCTCAGGTGATCCTCCCGCCTCAGCCTCCCGAGAAGCTGGGAACACAGGAGTGTGCTACCGCCTGTCTCTGAACTTGGATTTCCTCATCTGTAAAATGGGTAGAATCCCCAGCACTTTGAGAGGCCGAGGCAGGTGGATCACCTGAGGTCAGAAGTTCGAAGCTGCAGACCGGCCTGGCCAATATGATGAAACCCTGTCTCTACTAAAAATACAAAAATTACCCGGGCGTGGTGGCAGGCGCCTGTAATCCCAGCTACTTGGGAGGCTGAGGCAGGAGAATTGCTTGAACCCGGGAGGCGGAGGTTGCAGTGAGTGGAGATCGCACCATCACACTCCAGCCTGGGCAATAAGAACGAAACTCTGTCTCAAAAAGAAAAAAAAAAAGTATAATCACACTCACCTGAGATGCTGGAGCCAGCGCACTGTAATTGTTGGTGGAAGTGGAATTCAGTGGGAAGGAGCCAAAACCCTCTGGTTCAGGAAGAAGGGGCGGAGTGGGCAGCCGGGTTTAAGCCCCTTTAGGGCAACACCAGCTTGGGCTTCCTAGAAGCAGCTCCAGGCCGCAGAGTCCACAGCTGCCAGCACGTTTCTGCCTTGGTTCTCGCTGTAGGAAAGAAATTTCTCCCTGGGTGAAATCGGGAAATTCTGCTCACATGGAAATGGACATTTCCAGCTTGCCTTGGAAAAACCACTTTTCTGGAGTCGAGGCACCTCCCCTTGGGCCATGCATTTGAGCCTCCTCTCCCACCTGGAGTCTGCGTGGGGGGGCCTTGATGCCTTCTTGCTTCTGGGAAGCTGATGATGAAGAGGGGTTTCCCGCCCCAGCAGTCCACATCACAGCGTTGGCCTCCTGGGCCTTGCTCTGCCAAGTTGGGCCCCTCTCCCTGGAACCTGCCAGACAGCGAGAGTTGCCCAGCCCAGGAAAAAAACATTTAAAGGCGCATTTCAAGACAATCCGATGGGTCTTAGAGTAAACATTTTTATATTTATTTATTTATTATTATTATTATTATTATTTTTCAGACGGAGTCTCACTCTGTTGCCTAAGCTGGAGTGCAGTGGCAGGATCTCGGCTCACTGCAACCTCCAACCCCTGGGTTCAAGCCTACCAGGTAGCTGGAATTACAGGCATGCGCTACCACGCCAGGCTAATTTTTGTATTTTTAGTAGAGACGGGGTTTCACCATGTTGGCCAGGCTATTCTCGAACTCCTGACCTCAGGTGATCCACCCGCCTCAGCCTCCCAAAGTACTGGGCTTACAGACGTGAGCCCACCACGCCCAGCCAGATGAAACATTTTTAAATGGGCAGAGTAAGGCCCTCTACCATGTGCAAAACAAACTGTACAAGAAAACCCAAAGCAACGAGCCTCAACCGGCAAGGTTGAGGGTGTGGCAGCAGCGGCTGGTAACTGCTGGCTCTGGTTGTTAAAGCTGTTGTCAGATCCAATGACAGGCTCTCGGAAAACCACCTCCGACGCCAGGCATTCAGAGTGCCTCAGTTTGCTTCCTCTTCCATTACCTAAAGGAGTAGGAAGGAGGGGTGGGGGTGGGCAGCTGGGTTCAAGACCCTTTAAGGCAACACTAGCTTGGGCGTCCCAGAAGCAACTGCAGACTACGAGGGCCCACGGCTCCCCACACATGTCTGCCTTGATTCTTGCTGAGGGAAAGAAGTATCTTCCTGAGGGAAATCGGGACATTTTGCTCCCAGGGAAATGGAGATTTTCCAACTTGCCTTGTAAAAATCAGAAGGGCCCAGATTCTTACCAGACAGCGATTTGCATCCAGATGGGGTGCTTGCCCTGGGTGCACCTGCCTGGGCATGACTCTGAGCGTTTGGAAGTGTCTGCCCCTGCTTGAAGGGTCCCCCTCAATGGATCGCGAGGCCCTGAACGGTACAGCCGCTCTCAGGCGACCCAGGTCTTCACAGCCCCTCTCTCGTTTGATCACACAACACATTTGATCACGTGACACCATGCCCGTGTTGAGTCAGGCCTCGGTCTCCTCACCTATGTGATGGCCTTTGGCCCTCAACCCTCAGGAGACGGAGGCCTGACTTACCCAAGGGCGCATGGTGAGTAACTGCGGGAGGTGCAGTCCCGTGGGGTCCCGGTGGAGCTGGGTGGGCTGACTTCGTCTGAGCCCTGCTTTTGCCCTAGGGCTGCTATAACAAGGTGCTGCAGACCTGATGGCTTAAAACAACAGAAATTCACTCCTTTACAGTTCTGGAGGCGGAAAGGTCAAATTCAAGGTGTGGGCAGGGCCACGCTCCCTCCAAAGACTCCAGAGAAGGTCCCTTTCTTGCCTCTCCCACTCCTGGTGACCACAGGGGTACCTCGGCTTGGGACAGCAGCACCCCAGTGTCCACCTTCCTCTGTCTCCACACAGCCTTCTTCCTGCTGTCTATGCCACTGTCCAAATCCCCCGCTCCCTTCTTTTTCTTTTTCTTTTTTGTTTTGTGTTTTGAGACAGAGTCTCGCACTGTCGCCAGGCTGGAGTGCAGTGGTGCGCGTGTGCCACCACCCTCAGCTAATTTTTTTTTGTATTTTTAGTAGAGACAGGGTTTCACCATGTTGGCCAGGATGGTCTCGATCTCTTGACCTTGTCATCCGCCCGCCTCTGTCTCCCAAAGTGCTGGGATTATAGGCGTGAGCCACCGTGCCCAGCCTTCCCCCTCCTTTCTAAATGGGCATGGGTCACTGGATTTATAGGGCGCACCCAAATCCATTATGGCCACATCTTAATTTGATTACATCTGCAAAACCCCTTTTTCTGAACGAGGTCACGTTCCAGGCACCAGGACTAGGACTGGAACATATCTTTTTGGGGAGCACACATAAACCCACTGTCACGAGTGACCCTAGGCATGGCCCTTCTGGTCTCTGGGCCTCAGTTTCCTCACCTATAACCTGAGGGCCCTCCCAGCTCTGACAGTCTTGGAGCCAATGACGAACTCCTTGACGTGGCTGGTGGGCTCCGCCGACAGAGAAGGAGTGAGGAGGGGGCCATTATAATAACAACAACACGAGCCCACTTGTATTTACGGAGACCCTTGTACATGCCAGGCACTAGATATGCTGAATGTTTGGTGCACTGATCTCCCTAAATCCTGTTAAGTAGGTGATATTATTACCCCATTTTACAAAGAAACGGGCTCAGAGAGGTTTGGGCGCTTGTCCCAGGCTGCACTGTGAGGTTGGGCCTCCAGCCCCGGTCGGTGCAACTTTTCCACGCTTCCTGCCTCCGAGACTCGAGTGTCCTCAGCTCCTCCAGCTCTGGGCTCACGAGTCTGGACATGCAGGAGGGGGAGCTAACCCCCGCCCTCTCACAGCCCTGGGGCACCACCCTGTGGGGCTGGCCCTGCTGCCTGCCCGCCGCCCAGGCTCCTAACTTTAGAGGGCTTTGTGCCCCCTGACCTCCCTCCTGTCAGCAAGGGCAGACTTGTTTCCTCCATCTGCCTCCCATTAGGGCTCTGTCACTCAGAGCCCCTGGTTCCAGCTCTCCGCTTCTCTCTCTTTTCCTTGTCACTGCCACTCACCGCCTGGCCAGCCCAGCCCCTTCCTGCCACCCACCTCCAGAGATCTTCAGCAGGATGGGGGTCCTGGGGACAAGGACCCAGAGCTCAGCCCTGTCCCTGCCTCCTAGTCCTCGGGGAGTTTGGGAGTCACTCCGACTCGTCAATGTACAGAGGGGGATGACCTTAATATATAAAGAGCTGCTAAAAATCAACAACAAGAAGGCAAAAACACCAATAAAAACATGGGCAAAGGACATGCACAGGCAAGTCACGAAGGATGAAAAATGGTCAAAAAACAGGGATAGACACTCAGCCTCTCCTGCGGTCCAACAATGATGGTAGCTGGTAACACGTGGGGTCCTTCTCTATAACAATCCAACAGAGCCCATTACAGAATAGCAGGTACCATATGGTCCCATTTAGGAAAATGTGTGTGTGCACGTGTGTGTGTGTGTGTGTGTGCAGGAATCATTCTTGAACGCCCCATGCTGAGATGTTAATGGTGGTTGTTTTGGGTGTTGGGATCTGGGAATTTTTACTCTTCTTTGTATGTGGATATATTTCCTCTTTTTTCTCCAATGAGTGTGTCTTACCTGAGACTTATTAATAAAACATTATGTAAGCCCAGGGCAGAGAATCAGGCCCTGACACCCCTCCTGGGGTTGAAGGCAGGCCCTGAACACCAGCAGGGGGTCCAGGCCTGTCCATAAAGCCTTCTCCCTCTCCCAGCCCATGGACTGACAGCCTCCTCCTCAGCACGCAGGCCACTCACCCTTGAGGTCCCCTCAACCTGGACTAGCGCTTCGCTCACTTTCCTCCCGAGTGGCCGTGAGTCCACCCGCCCACCCGCCCAGGCTGGCTGTAGGAATGGCCAATCGGCAGCAACTGTGGTCTCTGCTCGAGTGTGTCCTACTCCCATGCATTCAGTAAGAAGCTCAACAAGTCTCATCAGTTCATCGCGACACCCCAGGAAGTGACCCCAGGACTCTGGTGTCAGAGTCTAGGAGAGATGGCTGACCAAGCCAAGGTCAGTGAGTGAGGGGCCCAGGGAGGGGGCTTCACACCCAGGGCCTGG
Source organism: Homo sapiens (assembly GCF_000001405.40). Classification (NCBI taxonomy): domain Eukaryota; kingdom Metazoa; phylum Chordata; class Mammalia; order Primates; family Hominidae; genus Homo; species Homo sapiens. Next base: position 129,647,720 of record NC_000009.12, read on the forward strand.
CTTCCAACCCCTACTGGAGCCCCACAAAGCGCGTACTCACACTTGCACACACACCACTCAAATACACTCCCACACGCTCACATGCACCCCACACACCACTCACACACACACCACTCAAATACACGCACACACGCTCACACGCACCACACACACCACCCACACACCACACACACACACCACTGAAATACACTCACACACGCTCACACGCACCACACACACACACCACTCACACACACCACTCACACACGCCACTCACACACGCCACTCACACACATACACACCACTCACACACACACCACTCACACACACACACCACTCACACACATACACACCACTCACACACACACCACTCACACACACACCACTCACACACACACCACTCACACACAACCACTCACGCACACACATCACTCATGCACACTAGCACACACACCACTCACTCATACGCACCACTCACACTCACATACCACTTACACACCACTCACCCATACACACACCAACATACACCACTCATACACCACTGTAACACACACTACTCACACATACGCCACTCACACCACACACATACACCACTCTCACACACACGTGCCAGGCTGGGCAGCTCCAGGGAGGAGTGGTCTGGCCCCATCCCAGCACCTTCGCCCTCCACGGTGCCTGCTGTCTCCCCAGGAGGGGCTGTCGGCTGCCAGGCCTGTCCCTTAGAAGGCCCTGGAGGGGGAGAATTAGGGAACCCCTGCCTTTTATTTCTTCTCTTTTTTTGATTGGCGGCATTTCCATAAAGTGAGATATTTAGAAACATACACATCACCACAAGGACCATTTCAGAGCCTCCAACTTCAGCCCCCGGGCAAGTCCCCAGGGCACCGGGACAGACGAGGGCCCGGCATATTTCTGAAGTGTGGTCATGGAAGTGCCGCCCTCCGCTTCCCCCCCTTCTGCCCTTCTTCTCCTGCCTGGCTCCCCGCTCCTTTCCTTTCCTCCTCCCCCCACACCCTGACCCCACCCTGACCCCCGACCCTCATGACCCAAGAGTGTCCCTGCAGGAGGCCCAGCCTGCCTGTTCCTGCCACAGTCCTCAGGCTGGAGGGGCAGGGCCTGGATTCCTGGGTTCCCAGAGGCCTAAGAGTCTGTCTGCTCAGGGGAGAAACTGAGGTAGCAGGGGCTGGAGCAGGGGCCGTGCGGTGGGGCCGTGTGGCAGGACAGTGGCCGGGCCAGCGAAGGGCTTTTTCTGTCCCCTCCCTTATTCTGTTTACTGTCCTAAGAAGCACCAAGGAGCATTTCGGGGGCCCCAACCCCCAGGGCGACAAGCCCCAGAGACCTCTGTGCTTCTGATGGCCGGGCTTGCTTTCCCCTCCCTACCCGCCCCCACCAGGAAGCCCTCCCTGCCGGCCAGAGCCCCCTACTCCGGCACAGACACTGCCAGGTGGTTCCTGGTGCTTGGTCCAAGGGCGGGGCCTGTGACAGCCAGGTAAGGGTGGGGCCAGGCCCCAGTGAAGCCCCCAGGTGGGCAGCCCAGAGCCTGGGACGGGATGCCGCAGGACCCCTCTTTCTCTACTGTTCCCCCATGCCCACATGGAAGGCCCTGCCTGGTCCCCGCCTCTCCCAGGTGAGGTAAGTCAGCAGCCCAGAGCAGGGTGGGAAGGTGCTGAGCGCCCCGGGGGTCTCGCCCTGCGTCTGGAGGGAGGCTGGGGCCTGGACTTTGGCCTGGGCCTCTCTCAGCCTCACTGCCCATCTGCACACGAAGGGGTGGGCCCAGGGTTCCCCTAAATTTCTTTCTACCCCAGAAGTCAAGGGTCCTACTGAGAGCCTAGCAGGCAAGGATTCTGCCCATGGCGATTCTTCCCATGGAGGAAGCCTTCCAAGAAAGGCTTCTTCACCTCGGCCTGTCTCGGGGGCAGATCCTCGCCTACTAAACTCGGGTCAGCCTGCCCCCGCTTCTCCCAAGCCCGGCGAGGAGATCCCAGCTCGGGCTCGCCTTCTCTAAACCTTGCTCATTCTGCCCAGTGGAGGCCGGGGAGGGCGCCCAGTAGGTCTGAGCCTGCCCCAGCTCTGGCTGGTAAATGGGCCCAGAGTCCTGATCCCAAAGATTCCCCCATCTCACCCTGGCTGGCACCCACTTGGCATCAGTCGCTGGCAGGCCAGCCCCAAGGTCAGAGCTCTGGGGTGGGGGCCGCTGGGGCCCCTCCAGCCACTGCAGTCTGACCCAGGGTGGGTTCAGGAGCACTCAGACCCCTTTGGAAGTGGCAAGGGCAGAGGCAGGGGGCCAGAGTCCTTTGTGCTCCCTGGGAAGCCCCCCACTCCACCCCCACTGGCCCAGCTTGGCAGCGCCGACGGCAGGAAGAATCCGGTCGGCCATCCGTCAGGGAGACGGAGTGAACCCGAACAAGGGCTGTTCGAGGAGGAGAGCTGGGGAAATTTGATCATTAAGAAACCCTCCTGGCTGTCTGGGGGAATTTAATTAAATTGCTGGAGAGGGCTGAGAGAGAGGGCCACATCTGGAACCAATATGTGGGCTTTGATTTTTTTTCCCCCTTCTCTTTCTCTCTCTCTCCCTCTTCCCATCTCACTGCTGTAAAAGGGAATGTAGTCGAGCCTTGGAGTATTGGTTCCTCTGGGACAGAATTCCAGGCAGATTGAGAGGGAGAGAGACAAGGCAGACAGAAACCAAAAAATGAAGACAGTGAAATCGTGATGGACACAGAGAGAGACAGAAAAACCGATCAAGAAGGACCGAGAGAGGCAGAGGCAGGAAGGAGGGGGAGGTGGGCCAGGCTGGGCTTTGGGATGTGGTTATGAAGGTGTAAGCGATGACAAGGGTTAAAGACCCATTTTACAGACAAACAAAGGAAGTCAAGTCCCAGAGAATTGCAGAAACCAACATACCAGGCCAAGCATCCCTTGGGTGGCCAGCATTGATCAAGCCCCTAAGTCGCTTGGTACATGCCTCGTGGGGTGAACCCTCCCGACACACCTAGGTCATAGATACTGTCATTATTCCTGTTTGCAGATGACAGGGGATGTGACTAGCCCAAGATGACAAGGTACAGGAGTGGCAGTGCCGGGATCTGGTCCTCAGTCTGTCTGGGTACTGTCTAGACATGCTGCATGGGTCACTTGGGTTGTGATGATGTCATTTGGCAGCTGTGGAGTTTGTGCTTGCTGGTGCCAAGCACTGGGCTAGGCTCTAGGGAGGCAGCAGTGTGGTTGTTGGGCCTGAAGCTCCCAGCAAGCCTGGGGCGTGCTAGGTGCCGAGTGCTAGCGGGAGCCAGGGCCAGGTGGCCTCGCCTGGGCAGTCAGTGGTGGTTGAAGTGGGCCCTCCACCTGGGCAGGAGTGAACTGAGAGAGGAGGTGGGGGCAGAGGCAATGGGGCCTCTCTCTCTGCCCCTCTGGAGGAGGAACCCTCCCGGCCCCAGGTCCCAGCACCGGGCTGGTCCAGGGTGGGTGTTCATGGCCTGGGAATGGCGGATGGTTTTCTCACCTTGACCCCCAAGGCCGAGCTATCTGACACTGGCCTGGTCCCCTCTTTCAGACAGTTTCCAGCATATGACATGAGCCATCTGTCCCCGGTCTCCAAGCTTACTGGTTCCTCCCAGGTTCCAGAGCGCCCAGGCCCACACGAGTCTCCCAAAGGCCTTTCAGCCATGCCTGCAGGCGGAGAACATGGCCTCTGGCCTGGGCAAGCAACCTCTGGGGTAACCCTCTCCCCTCTAAGACTCAACACCGGCTCCTAAAACCCAACTCCAGCCCCTTGCTACCTGCTTCAAAGCTGGCTTCAGCCCCTGCAGAGACTTCCCCCTAGAGGAGCCCTCGTCCCCAGACAGCCAGGGGCCCCTTCCCTACTCCCATCCTGCCAGGGTGACTGATGTCCAATCCTGCTTCTGCCGTGGCACCTGCATTCTCCTCCACTGCGTGAGTGGAACGGCCGACTTCAGTCTTCCTCTCTTGGCTGTGGCCCCAAGGGCAGAGGCCACTCTACCTGGTCCCCAGTGTCCAGCCCAGGGTGAGCAGAGGAAAGAGCTTGGTACATTTTTAGTAGAGATGAGGTCTTGCTGTGTTGCTCAGGCTGGTCTCCAACTCCTAAGCTCAAGCAATCCTCCTACCTCGGCCTCCCAAAGTACTGGGATTACAGGCGTGAGCCACCGTGCCCAGCCGAGCCCATTCTTGCAGGTGCAGCCGCATTCAGGAGATGTAGGGGGGCCAGGTCTACAGATGGCCAGGCACCTATGGATGTCCCATAACCTTGGTGCATACAGAGTTTAAAAATATAACTTGAGGCCGGGCGTGGTGGCTCATGCCTGTAATCCCAGCACTTTGGGGGGCTGAGGCAGGCAGATCACCTGAGGTCAGGAGTTCGAGACCAGCCTGGCCAACATGGTGAAACCCTGTCTCTACTACAACAACAAAAATTAGCGGGTCATGGTGGTGCGCACCTGTAGTCCCAGCTATTCGGGAGGCTGAGGCAAGAGAATCACTTGAACCCGGGAGGCAGAGGTTGCAGTGAGCCAAGATCATGCCACTGCACTCCAGACTGGGCGACAGAGTGAGATTCTGTCTCAAAAAATATATATAGGCCGGGCGTGGTGGCGGATGCCTGTAGTCCCAGCTACTCCGGAGGCTGAGGCAGGAGAATGGCGTGAACCCGGGAGGTGGAGCCTGCAGTGAGCCGAGATCGCGCCACTGCACTCCAGCCTGGGCCACAGAGTGAGATTCTGTCTCAAAAAAAAAAAAAAAAAAAAAATATATATATATATATATGTAAATATATATACTTATATATTTTTATATAAAATTTATATATATAATTTTTATATAAAATAGAAATTTATATATTTTATATATATATATATATAAAACTTGAGCTCTTGGGCATGCAGGGGAAAGTGAGGCACAGTGATACCAAAAATGCTACTGTGAGTTGCAGCCCCCGGGAGCAGGTAAAGCCAGGTGCTCTGAGGATCCTTTGCACGTGCTAGGTCTCCTGCCTGGCCACATCTAGACCTGGCCCTCCTACACCTACTGAATGCAGCTCCACCTGCAAGAGTGGGCTCAGCTGGGCACGGTGGCTCACACCTGTAATCCCAGCACTTTGGGAGGCTGAGATGGGAGAATTGCTTGAGCTTAGGAGTTGGAGACCAGCCTGAGCAACACAGCAAGACCTCATCTCTACTAAAAATAAAAAATAAAAAAATTAGCCAGGTGTGGTGGTGTGTGTCTGTAGTCCCAGCCACTAGGGAGGCTGCGGTGGGAGGATCGCTTGAGCCCGGGAGATTGAGGTTGCAGTGAGCTGTGATTGCACCGCTGCACTCCAGTCTGGGTAACTGAGTGAGACCCTGTCTCAAAAAAAAAAAAAAAAAAAAGAAAAGAAAGAAAAGAAAAGGAAAAACAGGCCGAATGCAGTGGCTGACGCCTGTAATTCCAGCACTTTGGGAGGCCAAGGTGGACGGCTCACCTGATGTCGGGAGTTCGAGACCAACCTGGCCAACATGGTGAAACCCCGTCTCTACTAAAAATACAAAAATTAGTTGGGCATGGTGGTGCATGTCTGTAATCCCAGCTACTTGGGAGGCTGAAGCACAAGAATCACTTGAACCTGGGAGGTGGAGGTTGCAGTGAGCCAAGATTGTGCCACTGCATTTTAGTCTGGGTGACAGAGTGAGACTCTGTCTCAAAAAACAAACAAACAAACAAAAACAGTGGGCTGAATGCCTCTTCCTCAGGGAAGCCCTCCCTGATACCCCTCTCTCCCCCTCCCTTATGGTCCCTGATCTTCTTGCTCCTACATTCGCTATCAATATTGGCTCAGTGACTTCCCTGCATTTCTGGGCCATCTGATCACAGCTTTATCCCCAGTGCCCCTCCCCAGTCCCGGATGGTGGCCGCTGCTGTTTAGTGGACCCCAGGCTTGTTGTCAAGACACGAAGGTTTGAGGAAACTGGGGGCTGGCTCAGTGAGTGGGCTGGTGAGAGGCAGAGCTGGGACTCGAACTCAGATCTGTGTGGGGCGGAGTCACTGGCATCACCACTGGGCGCTATTTCCTCCTGGGGCAAAGGAGGGAGGCCTCCAGGAATCTGAGGATTCAGGGCTGAGCAGCGGGAGGCAGGTGGGGTGTGGGTGGGAGGGTGGAGGACCCGAGGCCAGGATCCGAGGCCAAATTTGCTGTACTGAGATCTGGGTGATTTGATGGGGCAGGGTATGGTGGGGCATAAAATACGGCTACCTGCACTGAACTCCCCGGGAGGGAGAGGGAGAGGGAAGACCAGTGGCCGGGAGAGCAAGCCAGACTGCAGGGCCATTCACACGTCCCGCTAATCTGAAACAAACCAACGGGGAGGCTCAGGGTCCCGCTTGGAGGCCCTGACAGGGTGATGATATACAGATTTTTAAATAAATGTATCTCATTAGGGACGCGTTGTCTGGTGAGAGAAAAATGATGTCCTTCCCTGCCCTGCCTCCTATTTCCAAAAAGAAAAAAAAAAATCCAATGCTACAGCTAAAAAGGAAATTGCATTAATACAGATTGTTTTATTTAAAAAACCTTGACCTCGACTTCAAAAAAAGTCATTAGACATTCTCTTTCTCAAAGGCTGCCGGAGTGATTACGGGGAGGCCTGCTCCTTTCTCAATGACTTACTGTTCCTGCACTGCTCAGGGAAATGTGTGAGGGATCGGGGAGTAATTTAAGGCTGCCTGCAGAAAGGTGTGTAAATCTTTGCACGTTTAAAGAAACTTTACCAGACCACTAACTCAGAGGAAAAGAAAACTGGAAGAGTCCGCACCCCCTCCTCCTTTTTTCCGTTTCTTTCCTTTGGAACTCTGATCTCTTTGATCGTAAACATGATCATATTTCACTCCCAAAATATCAGCAATCAGCGGACTAAGGAAGTGGGAGCCCACGGGGAGTTTCGCCGCCGATTAGGCCCTTGGTTTAATTATTTAACGCCTGCCTGGATCGTGCAGGCTGTGAATACACCCTCCTGGCGCGGGTTCAAGAGTAAGTTATAAATAATAATAACTATTATATCCCCAATTAAGCCCGTGAGCTGAGAGCCTGGTCCCAATCCTCAGCCCCGCCTGGTCGTCAGCCACTGTGCTCCCCATCCTCACATGCCCCCCCACGCTGTGTGCAGTGGACAGCCTCACACAGCTCCACCGCACCGCAGGGGAATCGCAGCAAGATGTAGGGCCCGGGGAGGGAGGAAGGCAGGCCCTGAGGGCTCCAGAAGGCTCTGGGAAGTCTCAGGGCCCCCCAGGCCTCAGCCTGTGCCCCTCGCCTCAGGCATCCTTCCCACGACTCCCAGGGAAGGAACGACAGGGGAGAGTGGGGAAAGTTTGCCAGGAGACAATTTGGAGAGCAGTAGTGGGAGTTGGGTCCCAGATTCGCGGTTAGTCCTTTCTTCTCCGAGCCTCAGTTTCCCCATTTGTAACTGAAGGGAGTTCTCCAGCAAGGGTCATCCTGGGAGCTGTGTCTGTCCCAGAAACCCAAAGCCCACAGTTTGGAAGACGTCTTTGTTGGAAGAGTGGTCAAGCCTGTCCGAGTTCAGTCTGCAGTAACCAGGCTGCCACAGCTGGACCGTAGCATCTCCTCAAGAGGCCCACTGGGGTTCACGGCCCGGTGCACACCCGGGATGCCTCAGTGTATAGTAGGTGCTCAATAAATCATGGTGGTGTGAATCATTCAGGATTGTTTCCCATTGGGCTCCCTGTGAAGCCTGCAGTCCCTGAGGGGTGGCAAGGGGGTTGCCTGGCCTACAGCCCTGCTCTCCTGGAGCCCTGCGCCAAGTAGGCACCCAAAAGTAGCTTGTCATTTGTTTCCACACCCAGATCTGGGCCTGTCCTTGCTCTGCTGGGTCCTCAGGATTCCAACCTACCTAACAGCCCCCACAGGATTGGCCAAAGTACAGTCCACCACCCTGGTGCCGGTCATTTCCTGCCAGGTGGGCAGTGGAGACCCTGACCACCAGCATTCCACCAGATGCTCACTCTTGGGCTCGCCGTGTAGGGAGCCCTGCTATGTGCCAGCTGCCCCCGCCTCCTGTAGCAGTTTCTCCTGTGTAAGGCTTTGGGGACTTCATGGTGAAAAGGACACACAAAGTCTTTGGACTCTCATCTACAGCGTCAAGAGGGCACAGCAAACAGCTTACAGTGAGGAAGCTGAGGCTCAGAGAGGGAAGTGAGTTGCCTAAAGTCACACGCAAGCCCACAGTGGGACCGGCCTTGAACCCAGCAGGATCTTCCCACTTAGGACAGGTTCTCTCTCTATGTTGGCTTTCTCGAAGCCTTTCTTCCCATCCATAGGTGATGTTCACTGAATATTTTCAACATATGGGCTCCTGCTAGGCTTTTTATTATACATGGATCTTTTCATTTGATTCTCAGAACCCTAGCAGGGAGGTGCTATTATTACCTATGGCTTCACAAGGATGGAAACTGAAACCCAGAGAGGTGAAGTGACCCAATCAATGTCCGGCAGCTGGAGAGTGTCGAATGTGGGGCCAGCACCTATAAAAGATTTAAAACAAAAACAGGAAAACAAAGAACCATGTGGGAGGAGAAGAAAAGGGGGGCTAATACACTGACTTGCCACCTGGACAGATAGAGCTACTGTGATTACATCATAACACTAGCTCTGGGTTTCCTGGTAGCCAAGGCAAAAAGGGGAATACAGCAGGTTGCCCAGGTTTCATTATTTGTTTTTTTGTTTGTTTGTTTGTTGTTTTTTTAAAGGAGAGACTATAATTCTTCAAGGAAAAAAAGATAACTTCCTGGCCCTTAATTCTCATGGAACAACTTGGCGTGATGATTGAGAGGCTGACAAACTTACTGGGACACAGAGCTTAAGATCTCTGAGCCTCAGTTTCCCTTCCTTGCATGAGAGTCGTAAGGAGGCTTTGAGACAATACGGTTTAGTATTAATACATTGCCTGGCTTACAGTAAGGCTCCTTAAGTGGGACCCTGCTATTGTGGAGCTCATCTTTATCTTTGAATTTGCAAGTAGGTCAGAACCTTTTTCAAAGGGGTGTACGATTTCAACCCTCACCAAGAGCTGAGCACCAGTCACTTACTTCAGCAGGGTATCCCAGTCAGGAGATCCTCAGGAAGGAAACCAAGGCTAGGAAATGTTGAGCAGCGAGCCAAGAGAGATAGCCAGATATTCTACCCCCCCGAGCTCAGCCTCCACTTCCCAGGGGATAGACTGGGGTCTGGGATGAGCAGGGAGCTCCACTGTAATCTCAGCCTGACACAATATTTACAGAACGCTGTGGTCTGTCACGGTCACACCTAGTCATGTCTGAGTCACATCAGCCTGCGGTGTTTATGATTCCCCAGACACACAGCAGTGAGCACAACTTCGCCTGTGTGCCTCTGTGTCCCCTCCCTGTTCAATTGCCTTCTTCAGAACAGGCTCTTGGGTCTGTGGCTGCAGGGGCTGATCAACTGAACCAGAAGGGCTGCAGGATTCCATCTTGTCCTTGGTCTCTGTTTCCCCATCTGTGAAACGGGCCTAGTCCTTGAGTCATTGACGATCAAGTGTCTTGCAGAGGTTGTGATGGTTTAAAAATGACACTAGGCCGGGCATGGTGGCTCACGCCAGTAATCCCACCACTTTGGGAGGCCGAGGTGGGCGGATCATGAGGTCAGGAGATCAAGACCATCCTGGCTAACACAGTGAAACCCCATCTCTACTAAACATATAAAAAATTAGCCGGGCTTGGTGGCGGGCGCCTGTAGTCCCAGCTACTTGGGATGCTGAGGCAGGAGAATGGCGTGAACCAGGGAGGCAGAGCTTGCAGCGAGCCCAGATGGCACCACTGCACTCCAGCCTGGGTGACAGAGCAAGACTCCGTCTCAAAAAAAAAAAAAAAAAAAAAAAAAAAAGAATGACACTAATGTAACTCAGTAAGAAATAGAGAACTGTTCCAGTGGAAAATCAGTCGTGAGGCCGGGTGCGGTGTCTCACACCTGTAATCCCAGCACTTTGGGAGGCCAAGGCAGATGGATCACTTGAGGTCAGGAGTTCAAGACCAGCCTGGCCAACACGGCGAAACCCTGTCTGCCTGTAATCCCAGCTACTCAGGAGGCTGAGACACAATAGTCGCTTGAACCTGGGAGGTAGAGGTTTCAGTGAGCTGAGATTTCCCTTCTGCCTTCCAGCCTGGGTAACAGAGTGAGACTCCATCTCAATAAAATAAAATAAAATGGGTAGTGAATATAAACAGACATTTCACAAGTAAGAAACGCAAGTGGCCATTAAATATCAGACACTTACCTTTAGCAATAACTCCAGATATGCAGATTGAAACAGAGAAATACCTTTTGAAATTTAAAGTAAATTATAGTAGTTTGTGCTAGCAAGGATACAGAGAAGCTGCCAGGAGTAGAAGTTGATACAACCTTTCTGAAGACAAAGTGGTAATATTATCAAAAGTCTTCAATCTGTGTAGAATCTTTGACCCAGTGTGTTAGTTTTTTGTTGTTGTTGCTGTTTAGAGACAGAGTCTTGCTCCGTCGCCAGGCTGGAGTGCAGTGGCGCAATCTTGCTCACTGCAACCTCCTCCTCCCAGGTTCAAGCAATTCTCCTGCCTCAGCCTCCTGAGTAGCTGGGACTACAGGTGCATGCCGCCACGCCTGGCTAATTTTTTGTATTTTTAGTAGAGACAGGGTTTCACCATGTTGCCCAGGCTGGTCTCGAACTCCTGAGCTCAGGGAATCCACCCGCCTCAGCCTCACAAAGTGCTGAGATTACAGGCGTGAGCCACCACGTCCAGCCCAGTATGTTAGTTTTCTATTTGTTGTTACAACTCATCACAGGCTGGTGAGGTGGCTCACACCTGTAATCTCAGCACTTTGGGAGGCCGAGGTGGGTGCATTACTTGAGACCAGGAGCTTGAGATCAGCCTGGGCAATGTGGTGAAATCCCATCCCTACAAAAAATTAGTCGGGTGTGGTGGCCTGCACCTTAGTCCCAGCTACTCCGGAGGCTGAGGTGGGAGGATGGCCTGAGCCCGGGAAGTCAAGGCTGCAGTGAGCTATGATCACACCACTGCACTCCAGCCTGAGCAATGGAATGAGACTTTGTCTCAAAAACACAAAACAAAACAACAACTTATCACAAACCTATGATTTTAAAAACACAAATTGGGCCAGGCGTGGTGGCTCAAGCCTGTAGTCCCAGCACTTTGGGAGGCTGAGGTGGATGGATCACTTGAGGTCAGGAGTTCAAGACCAGCCTGGTCAACATGGTGAAACCCCGTCTCTACTAAAAATACAAAAATTAGCCAGGCATGGTGGCGCACACCTGTAATCCCAGCTACTGAGGAGGCTGAGGCACAAGAATCGCGCGAACCCAGGAGGTGGAGGTTACAGTGAGCTGAGATGGTGCCACTGCACTCCAGCCTGGGCAACAGAGTGCTCGCTCTGTCTCAAAAATAAATAAATAAATAAATAAAACACAAATTGATTATCTTAGCTTTCTTGGAGTCAGAAGTCCCGGGCTACAATCCAGGGGCTGGCGGGGCTGTATTTCCTTCTGGATTCTGTTTCCTGCTTTTTCCAGCTCCTGGAGGCTACCTGCGTTCCTTGGCTTGTGGCTGCCTTCCTCCATCTTCAAAGCCAGCAACAGCCAATAGAGTCTTTCTCACATCACATCACTCCGACAGCAACTCTGCTGCCTCCCTTTTCCACTTGTGATTACTATATGGGGCCCAGCCAGATAATCCAGAACAATTCTCCAGTGTTAAAGTCAGCCGATAGGCAGGCTTAATTCCATCTGTTACCTTAATTCCCCTTTAACACATTCATGGGTCCCAGGGATTATGATATAAACACCTTTGGAAGGTCATTATTTGCCCACCACAGCCTATTCTAGGTATTTATTCTTTGTGTGTGTGTGTGTGTGTGTGTGTGTGTGTGTGTGTGTGTGTGTGTGTGTGTGATGGAGTCTCGCTCTGTTGCCCAGGCTGGAGCGCAGTGGCGCGACCTCGATTCACTGCACACTCCGCCTCCCGGGTTCACGCCATTCTCCTGGCTCAGCCTCCCAAGTAGCTGGGACTACAGGCGCCCGCCACCACGCCCGGCTAATTTTTTTGTATTTTTAGTAGAGACGGGGTTTCACCGTGTTAGCCAGGATGGTCTCGATCTCCTGACCTTGTGATCTGCCCGCCTCGGCCTCGCAAAGTGCTGGGATTACAGGCGTGAGCCACCGCGCCCGGCCATTCTAGGTATTTATTCTTAAGAAAATAACGGTGTGGCCAGGCGCGGTGGCTCACGCCTATAATCCCAGCACTTTGGGAAGCCAAGGTGGGCGGATCACCTGAGGTCAGGAGTTCCAGACCAGCCTGACCAACATGGAGAAACGCCGTCTCTACTAAAAAGTACAAAAATTAGCTGGGTGTGGTGCTGTATGCCCGTAATCTCAGCTACTCCGGAGGCTGTGGCAGGAGAATCGCTTGAACCTGGGAGGCAGATGTTGCAGTAAGCCGAGATTGTGCCATTGCACTCCAGCCTGGATGACAGAGACAGAGTGAGACCCCCTGTTCAAAAAAAACAAAAACAAACAAACAAAAAAAAAAAACAAAGAAAGAAAGAAAGAAAAGGAAAGGAAAAAGCAAATGGGGAAACTGAAGCCTAAAGAGTTTAGGAGCCTTAACGAAAGCCCATAGTGGCCGGGCGTAGTGGTTCACACCTGTAATTCCAGCACTTTGGGAAGACGAGGTGGGCGGATCACCTGAGGTCAGGAGTTCAAGACCAACCTGACCAACATGGAGAAACCCCATCTCTACTAAAAAATACAAAAATTAGCTGGGCATGGTGGTATATGCCCGTAATCTCAGCTACTCGGGAGGCTGAGGCAAGAGAATCACTTGAACCTGGGAGGCAGAGGTTGTGGTGAGCCGAGATTACGCCATTGCACTCCAGCCTGGGCAACAAGAGCAAAACTCCATCTCAAAAAAAAAAGGAAAAAGTCTTGAACGCCTCGTGTGTGTGTTAAGGCCTTTTAGGAATGGGTTATAGGTGATTTTTATTCTCTTAATTCTAATGATGCTTTCTAAAATCTCAACCATAACATATTACTTTTGCAATAAGAAAAGTTACCTTTTCATTTTTAACATGTGAGCTTTTGAGACTGGGGCAAATATGAGTTTTCACTGAAGGTCAGACCTAGAACTTAGCCTCAAATGGAACCACCAGTGAATAATCAGCTCCTTCTCCGCGAATCCCATCTGGTGAGCAGGGGCCCTCTTTCTTTCCCTTCCCTTTCTCCCTGGCTGGCTGCAGTGCCCGGCTCAGTAACCACAAGTTGATCTGAGAGGTTCTGAATGGGAATCCTATTTGCCCTCCATTTCCTCTTCTGGGTTAGCCTCTCAGATTTATCAAAATCATCATGAAATGATTTATTTTTAGCCATATCCCTTTGGGGTGATGAGTCCCTGAGTTCTGCCCTCCTGGGATTCCCTGGAGTTTCCTTGGGTGTATTCCCAGGCTGGATCAGAGCTGACGCTCATGCTCAGCAGGTTATAAAACAGGAGGTAAACATACTTCCACTTTTATAACATAGGACTATAGTATACAATCCTAAACATAAAACTATATGTAGGACTGTATATTATAGAACTTTCTTCATCTCTCTAGATATATAGAGATAAGCTACAAAGATATATTCGAATTATTTTTAGTTCATCCCTTTTTCTTGTCTTATTGCTTTCTTGTCTTATTGCACAGTGCAGCAGTCTATGCCCTTTGCCCCACCCTTCCATCCCTGCCCCAACCCCAGCCCTTATCCCCAGGCTGGGCAAGGGAATAGGCAGCAACAATAATGATGGTAAATCCACAAGAACCCTTTGGATTGGCTCCTCTACTATTCCTATTTTACAGACGATGGGACAGACTCAGGGAGGATGGGCAAGTGACATATTCAAGGCCACGCAGCCAGTAAATGGCAGTGGGTAGATTCATACCCATGTCCCTCAGCTGCACAGTCCGAGTTCACCATCCTTGCCCTGTCTACTTCTCAGAACATATGTTTATTTTATTTGTTTTATGTATTTATGTATTTATTTATTTTTTGAGACAGAGTTTCACTCTTGTTGCCCAGGCTGCAGTGCAATGGCGAGATCTTGGATCACTGCAACCTCTGCCTCCCGGGTTCAAGCAATTCTCCTGCCTCAGCCTCCTGGGTAGCTGGGATTACAGGTGCCCGCCACCACACCCAGCTAATTTTTTGTATTTTTAGTAGAGATGGGGTTTCACCATGTTGGCCAGGCTGGTCTCAAACTCCTGACCTCAGGTGATCTGCCCGCCTCAGCCTCCCAAAGTGCTGGGATTACAGGCATGAGCCACTGCGCCCAGCCAGATATTTAAAAAATAATCATTGTTAACATGTATTAAATGCTCACTAGGTACCAGGTGTCCTTTATTTATACATTGGTTTATTTAATCCTCCTAACAGCTCATTTTCTTTTTCTTTTTCTTTCTTTCTTTTTTTTTTTTTTTTTGAGATAGGGTCTCTTTATCTGCTGACCTTCCCTCCACTATTGTCCTATGACCCTGCCAAATCCCCCCCTGCGAGAAACACCCAAGAATGATCAATAAATACTAAAAATAAATAAATAAATAAATAAAATTAAATTAAAAAAAAAAGAGAGATAGGGTCTCACTCTGCTGCCCAGGCTGGAGTGCAGCGGTGCCATCACAGCTCACTGTAGCTCAACCTCCCAGGCTCAAGCAATCCTCCGATCTCAGCCTCCAAGTAGCTGGGGACTATAGGCATGCATTGCCACACCAGCTACTTTTTTTTTCTAGAGATGAGGTCTCACTATGTTGCCCAGGCTGGTCTTGTACTTCTGGGCTCAAAAGATCCTCCTACCTCAGCCTCCCAAAGTGCTGGGATTACAGGCCTGAGCCACCACACCCAGTCAGCTCATTTTACATTTAAGGCCCCCAAGAGAAAGAGGCTAAATAGATTGCTCAAAGCTCAGGCAAGGTCTTGATCTGCACCCAGGAGGCTGGTGCCAGACAGCCATCATGCTACAGAGATGGAGTTACCTCTCAACATGTGTAGGATGAGTAATTGCAGGAGTGAGTGGAAGAAGCCACTGTGGCCACTGGCCATGCCGAGAGATCGGAACACTGCGCTTCCCAGCTCTGGGCCTCGCATTGCTGATCTGTAAAACAAAAGGGCTTAAACCAAACAATTTCCATGGTTCTCCCAGCTCCAGAAGAGCTTTCACCTTTTTTTGGCCTCAGTTTTCCCATCTGTCTTCCAAGGGAATGATCTAGATGATCCCTCAGGCCCTTTGACTGCACAGGCCAATGTCAACAGTACCCTCTGTGTGTTCCAGGCCATGGGCCCAGAAGTTCACCTACTATGGAGTCCCCATTGTGCCCAGGAGACAGGCTCTTCATTAGGCGCCTTCCACTGTCAGGGAGCTGGGGCTTGGAGAGGGGAGGTGCTGATTTTTTTTTTGAGATGGAATTTTGCTCCTGTTGCCCAGGCTGGAGCACAGTGGCGCGATCTCGGCTCACTGAAACCTCCTCCCAGGTTCAAGCGATTCTCCTGCCTCAGCCTCCCGAGTAGCTGGGATTACAAGTGCATGCCACCATGCCCAGGTAATTTTTGTATTTTTAGTAGAGATGGGGTTTTGCCATGTTGGCCAGGCTGGTCTCAAATTCCTGACCTCAGGTGATCCACCTACCTCGGCCTCCCAAAGTGCTGGGCTTACAGACGTGAGCCACCACGCCCGGCCAAGGTGCTGAATTTGAGGCCACATGGCAGTAGGGGCATAGCTGGGGCTGGAACCCTGTCTCCAACACAAAACTGTTCTGCCTCTGGGATGAAGCCTCTACTCAGTGGGCTGTGCTTTTCCTGGGTAAGACCCCTCCACTCTGAGGGTTTTGCTGGGTGCAGGGGCAGGGTCCTCCCAGACATCCTGAGCCCAGTAGTGGCCCTACCCTGCTCGGTTCCTCAGAAAGTGGTTCAGCCACACACACTGTGGGCAGCACTGGGTATGCCCTGGTGCCCAGACTGGGCTCCTCCCAGCCGCCTAGGATGAGGGAGACTGGCGCCTCTTTGCTGGCCTTTCTTGCTGGACACTCCTTGGAGCAGAGGTCCAAGGACGGAGAACCCCGTCATCTCCAAACCCTCCCTACCCATGTGTGCACCTGCACGGATTGCTGTGGCTAAAGACACTTCAGGGACACTCGGCCTCATTTTTTAAATTATTATTTCTTATTTAATTTAATTTATATATATTTTTTGAGATGGAGTTTCACTCTTGTTGCCCAGGCTGGAGTGCAATGGCGTGATTTCGGCTCACTGCAACCTCCGCCTCCCAGGTTCCAGCTATTCTCCTGCCTCAACCTCCCCAGTAGCTGGGATTACAGGCGCCTGCCACCATGCCCAGCTAATTTTTTTTATTATTATTATTTTTAGTAGAGACAGGGTTTCACCATGTTAGCCAGGCTGGTCTCGAACTCCTGACCTCAGGTGATCCACCCACCTCAGCCTTCCACAGTGCTGGGATTACAGGCGTGAGCCACTGTGCCCGGCCTACTCGGCCTCATTTTGAAGTCGATTCCTTTCCAGCGCGGGAGGGGGTGGGGGCGGACACAAACAACACACGCTGTGAGGATTAATGTATTATAATGTATTGCTAGGCTTTCCTTAAAAATAGTGTTCCCGGCTGGGTGCGGTGGCTCACGCCTGTAATCCCAGCACTGTGGGAGGCCGAGGCAGGTGGATCACCTGAGGTCAGACGCTGGAAACCAGACTGGCCAACATGGTGAAACCCCTCCTCTACTAAAAATACAAAAATTACCCGGGCATGGTGATGCACACCTGTAATCCCAGCTACTCGAGAGGCTGAGGCAGGAGAAGCGCTTGAAGTCAGGAGGCGGAGGTTGCAGCGAGCCGAGATCACGACACTGCACTCCAGCCTGGGCGACAGAGCCAGACTCTTGTCTCAAAAAAATAAAAATAAATAATAATAATAAATAATAAATAAAAATAATGGTCCGCAGGCTTTCAGGGATGTGTGCGGGCCGGTTTTCCATATGGGAACAGGGAAAGGATGTGCTGAAGGCTTCCTCCGGTAGGCGACTTTGGCTGATGTGACTTTATGCCTCGTAGTGAGGGCAGGGCGACAGAGGGACGGGCCGGTGAGCGGCTGTCCTGGAGAAAGAGCAGTGGCATCCGGGGGGCTTAGGGTCTCAGGTCTGCTCACTCCGCACATCTTTTCTGTGCTTTCATTGAAAAACAAAACTGAAACAAGAGCGGACACCTAAGTCTGCCTCTCTCTTTCCTGTCACCCGTCTCAGGCTGGCTGTCCTCTGTGTGTGCGCCAGGAATTCTGCAACGAAGCGCCTGCCTCTCCGCTTGGTTTTCCTTGGGGAAGGGCCTGGGGCCTCCTGGGGGGTGGGCACCGGGTGTGTGGGTGTGTGTGGGGGACCTGGCAGGGAGCAGCGGGGGAGAGGCGGGGTGGGGGGTCGCGTACACCCCAGGAGCCTGAGGATGCGCTGCCTGCTGGGAGAGACAGCCTTGGGGCGGGTGGTGTGCACAGAGCTCTGTCGGCCAGCGCGGGCGGGCGGGGCCGTTGTTGGGGGCGCTGAGGCGAGTGAGGCTGGAGCTGGGAGTGGGGGGCTCGTCGCCTTCGTCTCTGGGCCGCCCCCTCCACCTGCGGAGGCGATTGTAAAGGGAAGGGGGGAATCCCTCTGCCATCACCTCCCAGATACTTGGGGGATGGAAAACGACAAAACACGGAACCTCCCACTCCCTAAAAAGTGGGTGGGGAGGGTGAAGGGAGGACACCCCTTCCCCGCCCCCAGCGCCAGCAGCCGGGGTGGGGGCGGGCGAGGCGCGCGGGGAGGAGAGGGCGGAGGAGAGGACGGGGGGCGAGGTTTGCTTCAAGAAGGGGCGTGTGGCCGGCGCAGCGCGTGCACCAGCGGCTCCGGAGCGAGCGGCCGTGGCTGAGAAGGGGAGGGCGGAAAGTTTGTTTCCCCGACGTCAGCGCCGGGCGGGCCGCGAGGCTAGGAGGCGGCGGGAGCTGGGCAGAGCGCGGGGCGGCCGGGGCTCTCGCTCCGACCCGCGCCCGCGACCCTTCCTGGGACCCGAGCCCGAGACCCCCGCCGGCCCCCCCGGGGCCGCTCGCGGGCATGGACAGCGCGGCCGCCGCCTTCGCCCTGGACAAGCCGGCGCTGGGCCCGGGGCCGCCGCCGCCTCCACCCGCGCTGGGGCCCGGCGACTGCGCCCAGGCGCGCAAGAACTTCTCGGTGAGCCACCTCCTGGACCTGGAAGAGGTGGCGGCGGCCGGGCGGCTGGCGGCGCGCCCCGGGGCCAGGGCCGAGGCGCGGGAGGGCGCAGCACGGGAGCCGTCCGGGGGCAGCAGCGGCAGCGAGGCGGCGCCGCAGGATGGTGAGTACGGCCGGCCAGGGACGGGGGTGGCGGGGCCGGGGCCGGGGCCGGGGCCGGGGCGCGGGGTCCGGGGAGCCGGCGCGGGGCGGGCGAAGATGCAGGGCGCGTGGTCGGCGGCAGGACTTCTGGGGGCGCGTGTAAGTGACGGTGGACGGCGGTTGACCAGCACTCTGGGCTGGGGGAGGGGGACCCTCTTCGGGTCTTGGGGTGCGTCCCCACGGGGAAGTGCGCTGCCTTCGCTCCCCAGTATTCGGCTCCCGAACAGCCTGGGAAGTGGGTGTGGCTGCTGCCGGGTTACAACTGGGGAAACAGAGACCTGAGTCGGGCAAAGCCGCTGAGCTGCACGTTGGGGTTTCAAACCCGCCCCCTCCCGCACGAGCTAGCGCCGCCCCAGCTCCTCCTCGGTCTTAAGTTGGGCTCTTTGGGGGGCGAGGGTGCCTGCCCACCCCCCCCCACCCTCCAGTTTGCCCCGGGAGCAGCTGCCTCGGTGGAACGGCCCAGCCAGGCCTCTCTTCCCCGGCAGAGGTCAAAGGTCATCAGGAAGGGGCTTTAAAAACAAACAACCCACCCAAGTGGCCTTTTTCAAAAAGTGACACAGGATGGCAGGGTCCTGAGCCCTTGGTAAGAAGGGGAGGGACGGGGAGAAGATGGAGAAAAAGCAAAGGCCCCAGCCCCGGACGGTTCAGTGGGGGAGGGGAGGACCGGAGTCCTCGCGGCTCAGCACACACTAAGGATGGGGGCCCGGTGATCTGAAACCAGGCCCCTGTCCCCTAGCTCTGGGGATGGGCCGGCCTGCTGGGGGCTCTGGGCCCCTGAAGTGTGCCCGCCTGACTCCAGCAGCCCTCCCACCCGCCCCGGGGGACCCTGTTCCCGGCACCAGCCTCCAGGTCTCAGGGTGCCCAGGCTGGTGGCTGCGTTCCTTGGCTTTTCAGAGACAGGAGGTGCAGGGAAAACAGAGGTGGCTGCAGCCTAGTCTGAATCCATGTGCGTCCACGAGGACGCCTGCGACACGCCTGCCTTTCACGGGGCACCTTCTGCCAGCCTGTGGCTGAGATGAAGCCACTGGCTCCCTCATGGCAGCGGCCACCACTCACTGGCCACAGTGGACTGGCCACTGGCTGCACCCTCCGGGGTGAGTGTGAAGCCAGCAGACCTCCCAGGAGTTGGGGTTTAGCTCCTCAGTAGAAAAGGGGAGGGAGATGTCCACTCTGGCCCGGAGGAAAGCAGGTGCCCTCTGGTTTGTGCTGGGGGAATGCCCTGCCGGCCCAAGGTCATTTGAGGACCTCAGCGGCTCTGAGCCGGTCCCCCAACCCCAGGACAGAGGAGAGGTCCCGGTTTACCCTGATGAAGGGAGACTCCAGGGGTTGGGAAGAGAAGGAGGAACAACTTGAAGGTGAAGGGAAAGAAGGAAAGGAGAAGGCAAGGAAAGGAGAGAGAGAGGGAGGAGAGACAGAGGAAGAGGAAGGAAGGGAGAGGAGAGAGGGGTGAGGAGGGAAGGAAGGGGGCCAGGGTGTCTCGTACTCCAGTCCTGGCCAGGGGACGGCCTGCCCATTTCTGACCTACCCCTGCTGTGGGGACAGCCAGGGAAGGCCGTGCTTCTCCCGGACACGGTGTTGGAGGTCTCTGGTGGCGGGTTTCCCCGGGGATCCCAGAACAGCTAGTGTCAGCTGGGGATGTGGGCGCCTAGACAAGGCCCTTGGCAGCCTCCAGGCAGCTGGGTGTGCAGTGGGTCTCCCCAGCAGCTCCCTGGGGCTAGCCACCCTCCTGGAGAGCCCATGAGGCCTCCAGGCCTTCTCCTAAGAAGGGGCATTGGCACACTGGGAGTACCCAGGCATGCTTGGGACACACTGGGTGTGGGATCAGGTGGGGTGGGGTCTGGGCCAGGCTCCAGGAGGCGCTCGTGGGCTGGTCCGTCTTGGAAGCTGCCTAGCTCTGCCCTGAGGACGATGGAGCCCTGGCAGGGAGAGTCCCTGGGCTCCGCCCGGGGTGTGGCCCGGATCTGGGTCTACAGGCAGAAGGTGGAGAGAGGGGACTGCAGGGCAGGCGCCAGTTTCCAACTCATCCATCTGGGTCAGGCGGCCCCACCACTGCCACTTGCTGTGGACTCCCAAGTCCTGAAGGCTCCAAAGGTGGGGGAGATGGGATCCTTCTTTCCCCATCATCGACCCTTTGAAAGTGGGCAGCCAAACCTTGCTGGGCTTGCCGGGACTGCAGACCCCAGGCCAGTGGGCTGAGTCTTGGGTTGCGGCATCATCCTCCAGTCCTGGACATACAGGAGCCCGGTCCCCTCACCACGGATCCAGACATGCTTGGAGGTGGGTTTTCCTGTGGCTCTTGGAGTTGTTTTCAGGTCCAAAGAAAGATGGTCTGGCCGGGGGCGGTGGCTCACACCTGTAACCCCAGTGCTTTGGGAGGCTGAGGTGGTTGGATCACTAGAGGTCAGGAGTTTGAGACAAGTCTGGCTAACATGGTGAAACCCCATCTCTACTAAAAATACAAAATTAGCCGGGTGTGGTGGTGCATGCCTGTAATCTCAGCTACTGGAGAAGCTGAGACAGGAGAATCCCTTGAACCCGGGAGGCGGAGGTTGCAGTGAGCCAAGATTGCACCACTGCACACTCCAGCCTGGGCAACAGAATGAGACTCCATCTCAAAAAAAAAAAAAAAAAAAAGAAAGAAAGAAAAGAAAAGAAAGAGATGGCACCAAAGAGGGAGTGCCCCCATTAGAAAAATAAGGGTTAGCCAGGTGCAGTGGCTCACACCTGTAATCCCAGCACTTTGGGAGGCTGAGGCAGTTGGATCACAAGGTCAGGAGTTCAAGACCAGCCTGGCCAAGATAGTGAAACTGCATCTCTACTAAAACTACACAAATTAGTCAGGTGTGGTGACAGACGCCTATAATCCCAGCTACTCGGGAGGCTGAGGCAGGAGAAAAAAAAAAGAAAGAAAGAAAGAAAAATAAGGGTTAATGGGGGACACCAATGAGTTAGGAATTAATACGTCTTCAATCTGCTGGGATAGCAGGCTCAAACTTTTTTTAATTTAAAAATTTTTGTTTGCACAAAGCCACCAGTAGATAAAGCCCGCTACTGCCAATGACTTTCTAAGACCAGGCTCCCTCCAGAAATGGCCGGGAAGACCGTGGCTTCGCCAGTGACTCAGAACAAACCAGGGTCGCGGGTTCCTTCCTCGCCAGTCAAACGCTGAGGGCTGCACCAGGCACGTTAGGAAAACAAACCCTGGTTTGCTGCCTTTGCAATGACTTACAACAAAAGAAACCACATTAATAACTGAGATTTTCTCTAAAGCATTCCCTCCTGTGGGCAGAGTGGAAACGGGGACGTGGACACACTGGGAAAATAAACAAAGCCCCTAGAGCCAGGCAGGGGTGAGGCCTCTGGCCAGGGAAGGCTGGGCGGCCAGTGCTCAGGGCTGGTACCTGCTTTGGAAAACCCCAGGATTCACTGCAGGAGAAACCTTGGGATCCCACGTGGATTCATTTTCCAGAGATTTCGGAAGATGAAGTGCTTGCATCTAAGGCACGGGGCAAGGCAGGGTGAGGTGGGAGCCCTCGAGGGGCTGTCGGTGCATCTGTTCATAGGGGTGGGTCTGGTTTGTGGTGGGGGTCCCCAGGGCTCAGCTCAGGGCCTGAGTTAAGAGACTGAGTTAAGAGACTGGCAGACCTACCTTCAATTATTTTTTATTGCGATAAAAGATGCCTAACATCAGATTGACCATTTTCACCATTTACAAGAATGCTGTCCGGTGGCATTAAGTCCGTTCACATTGTCGTGCAGTCGCCACCACCATCCATCTCCAGAACTTTCTCATCTTCCCAAACTGAAACCGCACCCCCTTGAACATGCATTCCCCCTCCCCCAGCCCCTGGCACCCAGCAGTCTGCTTCCTGTCTCTGTGGATTTGACTACCCTAGGGATCTCGTATGTAAGTGGAATCCTACAGTATTTGCCGTTCTGTGACCGTCTTATTTCACTTAATGTGACGTCTACAGGGCTCACCCGTGTAGCATGCGTCAGAGTCTCCTTCCTTCTGAAGGCCGAATCACATTCCACTGTACGGATGGACCACATTGTATCCGTTCACCCATCTACAGACACGTGGGTTGTTCCCATCTACTGTGAACAGCACCGCTGTGGACGTGGATGTATACAAGTCCCTGCTTTTAATGATTTGGGATATCTAGTCAGTGTTGGAATGGCTGCATTCTATGGTAGTTCTACCTTTAATTTTTTTATTTTTTAGTTTTTCACGGAGTCTTGCTCCATTGACCGGGTTGGAGTACAGTGGTGTGATCTCCGCTCACTGCAACCTCCGCCTCCTGGGTTCAGGTGATTCTCCTGCCTCAGCCTCCCGAGTAGCTAGGATTACAGGTGCGTGCCACCATACCTGGCTAATTTTTGTATTTTTAGTAGAGACAGGGTCTTGCCTTGTTGGCCAGGCTGGTCTTGAACTCCTGACCTCAGGTGATCCACCCGTCTCAGCCTCCCAAAGTGCTGGGATTACAGGTCTGAGCCACCGTGCCCGGCCCTACCTTTAAATGTGTTAAGGGTCCATAATACTGTTTTCCACGGCTAACTTCGGTTTTTAACCGGCCTCCCTGTAACTGATGCTGAAACAGGGCATCATCACAAGACCAGAGCCAGGCTTTGGAGGAAGAGACAAAGGGGTCCCTTCAGAGCCCAGCCTTTGAAAGGCAGCTTGCGTTCCTTCCCCTCCCCTCTCCCCTTCCTTCCCCTTTCTCTATTTCCTGGGACAAGGGGAGTCATGCAGTCAGTGAGCATTCTTTGGGGTGCTGGGATGCTCCAGTTGGGGTCCTTGCTTTTGCCTTCCTCTCCGTGTGTGACCTTGGGGGTGTCATGTCACCTCTCTGTGCCTCGTTCACCACCTGAACAGTGGGAGATGGCGTACAAGGGTTGGGAGGCCCTCCCGACTGAGATGATTTGACTCAGGCTTAGGAACCCCATGATGGGCGTGTCTCCCTGGGATGTGGGGTCTCTGAGCCTGGGTCTGAGCTGGGCCTGGTGCCTGGACCCTCAGATGATCATGTCTCAGCAGGAGCCGGGGAGCAGGGAGGGAGGAGGAGTGAGTGAGAGGCTGAGTGCCCAGGGGGCCTTCCGTTTGGGAACTGCTGGGCCTCCCAGCGTGGCTAGGGCGGGACAGTGGCCTGCATCTCGGCCTTCTTTTCGCCAGGGAGGGTTGGTTCATTATTTGTGGTTCCAGGACCTCTTGCTCCTCTGTCCAGTAGATCATCTGGGTGGAGCTTGGGGGCCTGGCACAGGGGGCTTAGACCGGCTTGCCCTTCTCTGTGAGCAGAAACTCAACAGGCTGGAGCCACCACTGTCCCCTCCCAGAAAACTCCAGAAAAGCAGCTTGGAGCAGTAGTGACAGCGCCGGCTTACACACCTCCCTTGAGGCCTGAAAAGAACCCTGCGAGTCAGTGTTGCCATCTGTGGGATAGGAACAAGGGCTGTGGTATCCCTCAAAGGGCGTGTCGAGCCCTGAGTGGGTGAGGGTTCTGGGTACCATGCCTAGTCCACAGTAAAGTGTCTCCACTGCAGCTCCTGGAGATGCTCTCTGAGGGCCTGTGAGTCAGGCGAGGCTGTCAGAGGCCCAGACAGGCAAAGCAACCTGCCCGAGGCCTCACAGCTGGGAAAGGAGAGGAGGGATTTGGTTTTGGATCACAAGTCCAGGCCTCCCTCTCCTGCACAGTCCTTGGGCTGGAGGAGTCAGGGAAGGGGAGCTCTCCTGGCTGTTGGGGAGATTCTGGCTGAGGCTTGTTGGGGACTAAAGCGGGTGGGAGGGGAGGGGCAGCACGGAACGGGCTCTGTGCCTATGTTAGGCGTTTCTGAGTAGGTGGGGGCAGGAAGGAAGGTTTGCGGTGGCTTGTCCCAGGCAAGAATGTGGGGTCAGGCTGGACGCGGCAGAACTTGGGGCACTTCCGTGGTTTCCTAGACCCTAAAGGACAGTGGCTCACCCAGGGTGGAAGGGGACCTTGGGGGTGATTTAAGGGGACCCAATGCTTGCTTGAAGATACCCTTACAGCAGTGTACCACCCTGGGCCAGAGGCTGCGCCAGTGGAGCAGAAGGGGGTGGCCGTGGTGGGGCTGAAGGAAGGCGTGAGGGGACGTGGTGAGAGTGACCGGGAAGCCTCGTGGGCACAGCAGCTGTGTGCTCTGCATGTCGGCTGGGGCATCACAGGCCTCACTGGAGTTGTCCTCCTGCCAGCCGTGTGAAGCCCATTTTATGAAGAGGGAAACTGAGGTGTGAGGTGAAGGTCACACCGTTCCCATTCCTGTAAGATTCCAGCCTGGCCCTCCTGTTCCAAAACCCCTGATCTCTACCACTGCCTGAAGCTGCCCCTGGCTCCCGGGAATGCTGGGGTGGCCTGACCAGGGATGTCCACACCCAGGCAGGCGCAGGCTGCATTCAGGGGCCGTGAGGTGGCCCGGGGTTGGGGGGTTTCTCCTTAATATCTCCAGCAACCTGGCCTGGGTCATGTCCCAAGTGTGAGGGAGATGGGTCAGGCCTGGAGAGTGGGGACTGCCCGGGGCTGGGGTGTTTGACATGGGAGTGTGGGGGTGATGCCCTTCCCCTCCTGCCCAGAAATAACCGGAACGGCCTCCCTCACCTGTCTCCAGCTGCCCGGATGCACGAGAGCTGTGGAGGGTCCCTGTCTCTGTGTAACAGCAATAGGACAGGTTCCCTTTCCCCCTCCATCCCCAGCTCCCGCACTTGTTCATTCATTCATTCATTCATTCATTCATTCATTCATTCATTCTACAGTCATTTTCCGAACACCTATAATGTGTCAATCCTTGAGTTCCACTGCCGGCCTGTGGTTCCCAGACTTCCAGTTTTCAAGTCCAGTTAAATTTCCAGTAACTGAGAGGAAGTGGCATACAGTGGACAGCGTTAAAGGTTTGCCAAGAAAAGCCATTTACTCACAGCCCTATGTTCCCACCCTTTCATCCAAGAAAGAACCTTTTAGTATCTTCATCTCTGAGTACAGAAAGGTTCTTGGCTGGGCAAGGTGGCTCAAGCCTGTAATCCTAGCACTTTGGGAGGCTGAGGCTGGAGGATTGCTTAAGACCAAAAGTTCAAGACCAGCTTGAGCAATGTAGCAAGACCTTGCCTCTACAAACAGTAAAAATTAAAAACAATTAGCTGGGCATGGTAGCATGCACCTGTAGCCCCAGCTACTCGGGATGCTGAGACAGGAGGATCCCTTGAGCCCAGGAGTTCGAGGCTGCAGTGAGCTGTGATTACACCACTGCACTCCAGCCTGGGCAACAGAACAAGACCCTGTCTCAAAAAATAAAAAAACGAAACAAACAAAGGTTCCCAAAATTGACTTCATTTAGCTTCATAAAAAGCTCACTTATTGCCCCTATTTTTCTCATTTTGTCGGTGAAAACTTTGTCCTAGGCTGGCATTTGGGAACCACATGGTCTGGCTTTCCCAGACTCCCAGACACAAAGACACACACAGACCCATACCCCCCATGCCACACACACACACACACACACACACAGGCACACACACGCCCCTCATCACGAGGGCTCCAGCCCGGCCCCCTGATGGAGCCCTGGCTGTTAGTGGTCAGGGTGGCCGCAGCTGCTGGAGAGTAGATGGGCAGATACATCTGCACCTGTGCGGGCCAAGGGTTAAGTGCCTTTTGCGAGGTGGTGAGTAGGAGAGAGTCGTGGGAGCTTCCTGTTTAGACAGAGGGAGGTTGGGGTTATCTTGCTGGCTCCCACACTGAGCAGACGAAGAGATGGGGTGCCCGGCGGTCAGCATCCCGCAGGTAGGGAGGTGACGTGGGGCAGGGGGGCAGGTGGCAGAGCATCCCCAGCCTGGAAGAGGCAGAGCTGGCCACGGCTGCCCCTCCCAAGGAGCATGGCTTACCAGGACACCCCGCTCTAGCCAGAACCCAGGAGCCACAGAATCGCACCAGATCCTGGAAACAGAGGTTGTTATGAGACCCAGAAAGCACTGGGTCCCTGGTTGCTCTCGCTGCCCTGAGCCCGGGTCCAGCTGCCCTGCTCTGTGTCCCTTCCACATCACGGAAGTTGTTTGTGCCCAGCCAGGCTCTGGGGGGCCACCAAGATGACAGAATGGGTCCCCATGGCGCCCTTGATGGCTAATGATATCTTTCCTTGTGTCCTAAAAATGAAGCAGTCTCTGGAAGATATTATTCTGGTTTATCTCTGTGATTGATTCTGCTTTTCTGTGCGTGGGATGGGCAGCCTGGACCTTCCAGTTTGGGGGCGGTAGGAGGGGCTAGGAGTGAGTGGGGGCAACGGGTGATGGAGCAGCCAAGGAGCTGAGGCCTGTAGGATTGGGGACCGGGCAACAGGCTGTGGGCTGCAAAACTCGCAGTCTTTGGAGAAGACTTGGGAGTGAGACAATGACAGAGAAGGAGGCCCAGGCTGTGAGGACTGGAAACTTCCACAGAGGGACCCCCCCGCCCCCAGAGCTGAGCGAACACCTCAGTTGCTTGAGATTTGACAAGGTGAGGGCAGGTGACCTCCTGTAACACTGCTGCCCAAGACGCAGTGAGAAGGGCCCCAGACTAGGAGTCAGGACATGGGGTTCCTGCCTCGCCTTGCCCAGCTCTACAGCTTGAGACACACCCTGTGGCTGGTCTGAGCCTCCGTGTCCCCATCTGCAAGACAAGAAGGTTGGACATTTGTTTATGGACATATTTAGTGTGGTCCCAGGAGTCACTGCGTCAGAATCACCCAGGGAGCTGGTGCGTGTTCCCAGGTCCCACCCTGACCCACCGGATCGGACTCGGAGCCTAGGCCTATGCGTCTGCATTCAATAGCCCCCTGCCTAGCGATTCTTGTACCCTGCTGCGGGCTCCTTCCAGAGCTGACTCTGCCTCCATTACCCTCCTCAGTTTACCCGAGTGGAAAGCGGTCCTCTCGAGGGGACAGAGAGGCCGGGCAGAGCTGCCGCAGGATGCATAAGGCTGGCTCTGGACCTGGAAGGGCCCGGAAGTGTCCAGTATACAGGAGAGGGAGGGGGCTGCGCTGAGGCTAAGCCCCAGCATCCCCAGGGACTGGATTTTGTGCCAAAGCTGCACTGCCGGGTCTAGGAGGAAGTATTTGCTCTCGACCATCCACCAGCATCCATTGAGCACCTACTGAGTACCAGCCCAAGGCAGCCCAGGGGCGTGGAATGCAGGGGTGATGTGATAGGGACGATTCCTGTCTCTCCCTCACCAGCATCCTGACCCCCTCTAGCTTTGGTGGCCAGGGTTGGGGTGTAGGAGGCAGTCAAAAGCACCCCTGCTGAGCTGGAGCCACTGGACAAGCCCCCTCCTGGCATCCTGCCGGCACCTCCTGCCCCCCTGCTACCCTCCCTCCCCCATGGGGTCCCCTCAAAGGGCTCTCTTGGGGATGGGGATCCACTGCCCCCAGGGGGCGGCTGCCTTGCCCCAGACTTTGTCCTCCTGCCCCCACCCCCGCCTCCCTGTCTGTCCTCCCCCACTGCCGGTCTCCCCCTCGCTGGCCTCCCTTCTTGCCGTGGGCGCAGACGTTTACACGCCAGAGATGGCGTTATTAAAAATGACATTTAACCAGAGCTGGAATTACCACGCGGATGGCTGCAAACCTCGGAATCAAAGCGGGAGCCGCCAGGCGGGCGCGCCTGGCAGGGGCCTCGCAGCCTCTCTCGCCGCCAGAGCTCTGCGCGGGCCTCCCGTATAAAACCCCGCAGAACGCCGAGGTCTTGAAAGCCAGTGCACCTCCTTTCATTAGACTAACAAATAACGCGTAACAGAAAACAGCTGTTAACAGCAGCCCTCTAATGCTCTCAAGATGGTGCCTCAGGCAGCTGGTCCAGCCAGTGGGCAGCCGGTGGGCAACTCAGCCTCAGGTGGAGGCTGCTCCCACCCCAGGTGGGTGTAGAATGTCTGGCACCCTCCCGTTTTTCCAGGGCTGGGTCTGCACCCTCTGGGACCTGGGAGCCTCCTTCTCCTTCTGTCCTTCCTCCTGCTCAGTCATTCACCCGCTCCTTGCTGAGAGCCCATGTCTGAGGGTCTGTTGGCGAGGGGTTGGGCCCTGGGACGGTGGGAATCAGGGGTGGCATGGCCAAGAACATGGGAAGCAACAGCCAGATCTTGAGCTCCAGCCCCACCTCTGGCCCGCTGAGGGACCATGGCTAGTTTCTCTCTAAGCTCCTTATTTGTCATCTGGGGAGGACAAGAGTCACACCTTCTTGCAGGGAGGTTTTATGGATTTGGGAGATGATGGAAGTGGAGTTCTCAGCAGGCAGCCAGACAGTGCTCAGAAGAAAGAGTATCTGCAATCGTGGTTACAGCTGAGGAACCCTGTGCTCAGAGAGGCTAAGTGACTTGCCCAAGGTCACACAGGGGGTGGAGAAGCCAGAGCCCATGTGCTTTCAGGACACTGTGAAGCAGGGACTGAGGCATTCAGAAGTGGGTCTGAACCGGCCCCTGCCCTCAGACGGCTTCCAGTCCACAGTTGATGTAGAGGATGAGCTCCCTAGCCCTCACTGAGGCCAGGCAACCCCTTGAGGCCCCCACCACTAACCCTGCGGGCTTGGAAGCCAGAGGGGCCTCCAGATGCAGACATCATTCCAAGTGTGGGTGCTGGGAGACCCGGGGCCTCCCCAGAAGCCGAAGCGTGATGCCCCCAGCTCAGAGGGGCTCTGTCCTCAAACCTGGAGAAAGAAGGGCTGCATCCTAGGCTAGGGAGAAAAATCCAGAGAAAACCTCCCTAAGTTGGGAAGAAAGACAAATGGGCATTTTGTTTCATTTCCCCTCATGGTGAAGCCACAGAAGAGACCCCTTTGCCTTCCCCCTAAGAGACTGTATGTTAAACTCCGTGCCTCCCCACTTGCCACCAAGATCCTGCTCTGCATTTTGCTTGCAAGAAAACTGCATAGGATTCTCCTTATTTGCTCATTTGTTCAGCGCATGTGCGTGTTGTTTTGAGGCGTGGTGCTGGGAAAATCCCAGTGAACAGGCCAGCCCTGGTCCCAAAGGGCATAATCTCAGCACAGAGCGCCCCCAGCGATCCCGTTCTTACCATCTGCCAGTCTCCGAGCTCTAGGATTTATGCAGAGCCTCTCACTGAATCACTCAGCAGCCTCACGAGAGAGGTGAAGCTTTATCCTCATCTTACAGGCGAGGAAACCGAGGCTTAGAAGGATAAAGTGACTTGACCCAGGAAATACGCAGTGATCCCCAGAGCCCAGGTATCACACTGGCCACCTCACGCCGGTGCCTCAGATGGCCAAGGAGCCGCGCGGGGTTCTCCTGCTAGAAGCAGCCTAGGCTCTGCCTCTGGGGGAGGCCCAGGAGGGATGGGGGGGTTCCTCCCCACCTCCCGGTTCCTGCCTGGAGAGCTCTGCAGTGTCCTGAGGAAGGCCCCCCTCCAAACCCCCCATTTGCAGGGACACACCCATGCAGACACTGGGCCGTGGCATGGTCAGGCGGGGAGGCTCCAGGCCTTGCTGTGATGGGGAGGGGGGTGACCAGGGAGGGGCCCTTGC
This sequence comes from Homo sapiens, assembly GCF_000001405.40. NCBI lineage: Eukaryota > Metazoa > Chordata > Mammalia > Primates > Hominidae > Homo > Homo sapiens. The sequence goes on from NC_000009.12 coordinate 129,677,671, forward strand.
CTTAGGGAAGCTCATGTTTCCTAGAGACATCATGTTTTAATTGGAAGGCCAGCCTCTCCCGCAGAGCGGGCCGCCCCACCACCACATCCCTGCGGGAGGAGAGTGTCAGGGCTCAAAGCGGGAAATTGCTAGAGACAAGAAGTAAAAACGGACTACTCTGATTTCACTGGGAAGGAAGAAAGAAAAGGCAAAGATCTAATACCAGCTGAAAGCAGGGTTGCTGTTTAAAGAAAACTGTTGCTGTTGCAGCAAATTTAAGGCTGCGGCTGCTTTTTCTTTCTTTCTTTCTTTTTTTTTTTTTTTTTTTTTTTGAGATGGAGTCTCACTCTGTCGCCCAGGCTGGAGTGCAGTGGCGCAATCTCGGCTCGCTACAACCTCCGCCTCCAGGGTTCAGGTGATTGTCCTGCCTCAGCCTCTCGAGTAGCTAGAATTACAGGCACGTACCACCATGCCTGGCACATTTTTGTATTTTTAGTAGAGATGGGGTTTTGTCACGTTGGCCAGGCTGGTCTCGAACTCCTGGCCTCAGGTGATCCGCCTGCCTCGACCTCCCAAAGTGCTGGGGTTACAAGCGTGAGCCACTGTGCCCAGCCTAGGGGGCGGCTTTTTCAAGGGGCTGGTTTCTCTGTCAAGGGAGGAAAAGTCAGGGAGGCCTTCTGTGAATGCTTCTCTCCTTCCACAAATATTGTTGAGCACCTACTGCACGCCAGGCCCTGGCCAGGCACAGGGGCCCCTGCAGGAATCAAGGGAGCTGTGGTCCTTGGTGTGAAGGAGACATGCTGGATGCTATGACAACACACGACGGGGCCCCTACATTGTCTGGAGGTTCAGGGACGGTTTCCTGGGGGAAACAGAATTTCAGAAGGGACCTCAAGAATGAGTGGAGTTGTCCAGTAGAGGAGGTCAGGGAGGGCACGCCGGGTGGAGGAAACAGCAGACGGAAAGGCTCCGAGTTGGAAAGAGCATGGCTGTTCTGGAGCAGAAAGGGTGGGAGAGAGCATGATGGGGGCCTGTGATCTGGCAGACCTTGTTTGAGGTGTGTGACTTTTGTGTTAAGAGCAGTGGGGATGCGTTCTGTGTGTCTGTGAGTGTCCAGAGTGGCCACTCACTCCGGCCCTCTCTGGGGGCGCTCTCAGTGAGCATCTCTTACGGTCACATGGGAAGCCAGTGTGTGATATGGGGATGACAGTTGTGTCTCAGTTGCCCAGAGCTCGCTGGGCTGCCCCAGTCTCCAAAGGAGCTGACCACAAGCCCCTAACTGGCTGCCCCTGGCCCAGCTGCCGTGAGACCTGCACTGCCTGAGAAGCCCAGATCCTCAGCCAGGGAGGGAAAGCTCCAGGAGCCATTTAGAGCCAGAGGTGGGGCAGGTGGCCGTGCCCCACGTCGCAGTCCACCACGTGCAGGACGGCAGCACCAATCAGGGAGGTGGGGACGGGGGTGCAGATGTCCAGGCACTGGGGAGCCATGGCTGGTGATGAATTCATGGTGTCAGGGACCCAGGACCAGGGCTGTGTGTCCCAAGTGCATGACGACCCTGGGGTGGAAGCTTTGTTCACAAGATGAGGAAGGAAGGCCATCCCAGGCTATCTGACCTTGAATCCTGTATTCCACAAGGAATGGAGGGAGTCCGGGGTGCTGCTGCAGAGTCGGAACAGTTGAGCTGGGTGACGGTGGCAGGGGGGAGGTGGCTGTGAGGGCCCACCTCCATCATCGTCGGCCCCATGATCCAAGAGGACCATTTATTGTGCACCTGCCAAGTGCTACACCCTCTGCATGGATCATCTCATTAAATCCTCCCAAACATTCTAGAAGGCAGGCGGTTTTATGACCCCATTTTCTAGGTGAGGAAACTGAGGCCCAGGAAGCCAAGTTACACAGTAAGTACGTGGGGGCACCAGGCCTTGGGCTCTTGACTGTGATCTATTCCCTACCCCTGCCGACCTGGAGTCCCTGGATTGGGCTGACTGCGACCTTACCCAGCCTCTCCAGGCCTGGTTAGGAAGGGAAAGGTAAGAAGGTTCCATAACGCTGGAGCAGGGGCTGCTGAACGAAACCAGAGGTGATCCCTGGCCCAGGCAGGCGGGCTAGGGGCAGGGGCAGCCCCTCTTGTCCCCCATGCAGCTCAGTGGTGATGCAGACAGAGAAATGTAGAGCCAGCTCCAGAGAGCTCCCAAGGGCACCCCTCCAGGGCCTCCGTTTCCCAGGGATAGGACACGCTGGGGAGTGGCCCGGCTCTGCTGTGGAGATTCTGGCCCAACCTCAGCTCCACTTGCTGGGTGATCTTGGCAAAGCACTCATGTCTCTGAGCCTCAAATTCCTCACCTGCAAAATGATCATCATAATAGTACCTGGGGTTTGGGCTGCTCAGAGGAGTCGATAAGACCAGGCAGGTAGGGGATTAGCTTTACGCCTGCCTCGCCCCTGAAGAGTGCTCAGTAAACACCAATTTAGGCAGGCACGGTGGCTCATGCCTGTAATCTCAGCACTTTGGGAGGCTGAGAAGGGTGGATCACCTGAGGTCAAGAGTTCGAGACCTGCCTGGCCAACATGGTGAAGCCCCATCTCTACTAAAAATACGAAGTTAGCTGGGCGTGGTGGCGTGCACCTGTAATCCCAACTACTCCGGAGGCTGACACAGGAGAATCGCTTGAACCTGGGAGGCGGAGGTTGCAGTGCGCTGAGATCATGCCACTGCACTCCAGCCTGGGTGACAGAGCGAGACTCCGTCTCAAAAAAAAAAAAAAAAGAAAAGAAAAGAAAAGGAAAAATAACAATTTGCTTTCTCTCTCTCTCTCCCACCCCCCCCACCCGCCCTAGACACCTGGGAGGAGGGGCAGATGTCCCATTTAGGACCATCACGTTCCCTTCACAGATGGAAAAACTGAGGGAGAGGTTTCCCCAAGCCCCACAGGAAGGGGAGCTGAGATTAGGAACAGAGTTCTGGGTGTCAGGAGCTTGCCTCACGGCTTTGCTGGTATCTAACCATGCTTTCCAAAAGGGAGATAAGTTACCCAGCCCAACACCCCGCCCCCAGCCCGCACACAGGACCCAGATCCCTCTCCCCTGCCCAGCCCTGCCTGGCGACCTGGGATCCCCTCTCTGGAAGGACAGTGCTGATCCACTGCACTGAACCTAGCTTCTGGCTGGATGTGACCGCCACTCCTGTGCAGAAGGAGGCATCTTGCTTTATTTTCCACAGCACAAATGGTAACCATATATAATGGCAGATACCATCTATAAAACACAACTGTTTTTGTAATGTGGTGTTTGAAGTTAAAAATTCAAATTAGAGATTAATTACGACATCTAGAAGGTCTGTGGCTAAGACGACCTTGGGGAGGAAGGCTGACACGTTCAGATTTGCAGCCTGGAGCATTGCAGATGGGTACTCCCTGCGTGCCTAGAGCGTGCACATGCACTCGCACCCACACTCTGAGCCAGTCCCCGGGCTCCGGCAAAGCTGGGTTCCATGTGGCATTGGCATCCCTGGGAGAGCTGGTTTCAGTGCTGGCTCCTTTTCTGCCTAGGACACTGAGGTCCAAGCAGGCATCAGAGAGCAGGTTCCCTGGTTGGGTGTGATGGCTCACACCTGTAATCCCAGCACTTTGGGAGGCTGAGGCGGGCGGATCACCTGAGGTCAGGTGTTCGAGACCAGCCTGGCCAACATGGCAAAACCCCGTCTCTATTAAAAATACAAAAATTAGCCAGGCATGGTGGTGTGCACCTGTACTCCCAGCTACTCGGGAGGCTGAGGCAGGAGAATTGCTTGAACCCGGGAGGTGGAGGTTGTAGTGAGCCAGGATCATGCCACTGCACTCCAGCCTGGGCGACAGAGCAAGACTCCATTTCAAAAAAAAACAGAAAGCAGGTTCCTTGATGATAAAGCAGCCCTGGGGGTTGTGGATGCGGCAGCAGGTGGGGAGATGCCCGTGTCTGGGGCACCCAGAAAAGTTGTGAATGTCTTGGATTTGCCTCCATCCGGTGCCCCCTCTCTGCTCCTCCCTAAACCCGCCCTCCCTCCACCCCCCAAAACCAGAACCAGATGGAAACCCAAAGTGAATAGTGGATCTGAGGCTGGGGCAGATGGTGTGGGATGGGAGCCCCGGTGTGGGGAGTGAACCCCATTCCAGAAACACTAAAGGCCAATGCATCTCCTTCGGCACAGGGACAGCTTGGAGCCCGCTGCGGAAGAACCTCCAGGTTCTGGAGGCTTCTGGGCTCCCTGGGGATCACGGGCACATGTTTGCTGCTTTATTCAAAATGGGGAACCACAGCAGTGACTGGAAGCGTATGGGCTGCCTGTGGCGCCGAGAATTTTCCTCCCTCCACCTTCCCACGGTACAGGCTGGTCCCTGAGGAGGAGGCGTGGGTCTTAGGAGGAAAGCAGCTCTGGGGAGCTGTTGGCCAAATGCCCGTGGCCTCCTCCTGTGCCCGAGGTACCCCAGGGAGAGGAGGTCCAGAGTGGGGCCAGGATGTCACATGGATCCCACCTGGCTCCCTGGGGCAAGGGGCTTCTTTCCCTCAACCTCAGTTTCTTGGTCTGTGAGGTGGGGACGGTGACAGCACCTACTCAGAGGCGTGGGTGGTGAGGATGCAGAGAGATAGGAAGCACTTCACAAAGTCCTGGCACAGATGTCCCCGCCGCTGCTGCTGTGCGCACTATGTTACTATTACTGCCATTGCTATTATTCGCAACTCCTGTGAGGGCCCCTAAGAGAGGAGGGGCTGAGGACCAGCCATACCCCTGGCAACCGCAGGCCCCCAAGGACGCTCATCTCCCTAGCATGGGGTTGGAGAACTGTCCCAACCCACACTAGCTCCATATTAAGGCAAAAACTCCACTCCTCCGCCCCAGCCCCACCCTGGGGCGGGGTGGTGAGAATAGGGACTTGTTTATTCCTTTGTCTCTTGACTGGTCCAGGGTGAAGCTGGAGGGAGGAGGGCAGGGAGTGTCTCCACCCCCTCTCAGCAATGGCTTCGCCCAATCCCGGAAACAGCTCAGGTATCTGTGGCCCTACCCAGTCTTTGGCACAGCAGACAAAAGCCTGGGCCTGTGGCGGGGTCAAGGACAGCCCCAGAGAGGGGCTCCATCCTCAGGTCTTCCAGCACCACCATGGAGACCCCAGACCCGTCCCTCAATCTTCCCCTCCTTGGCCGGGCCCAGTGGCTCATGCCTGTAATCCCAGCACTTTGGGAGGCCGGAGTGGGCGGATCACCTGAGGTCAGGTGTTCGAAACCAGCCTGACCAACATGGTGAACCCCCCCCATCTCTACTAAAAATACAACAATTAATCCAGCATGGTGGCATGCACCTGTAGTCCCAGCTACTCGGGAGGCTGAGGCAGGAGAATTGCTAGAACCTGGGAGGCGAAGGTTGCAGTGAGCTGAGATGGCGCCACTACACTCCAGCCTGGGTGAGAGTGAGACTCTGTCTAAAAAAAAAAAAATTCCCTCTGGCTATGCCAGTTCCTGCCAGGCCACCATTAAGTCTTATTTGGGTGAAGTCACTGCCCATCAGGAACCCCTCCTGGGACTCCCTTCATAACAGTAATTAATCATCTCCCTTTTAGGAAGCCCCCACTACAGACTAAGCACATGACACACACGGTCTCCCCTCATCTTTATAGACAGATATTGACATTTCCATTTTAGAGATGAGAAACAGAGGCTCCTTCCTGCAGCACATATTTCTTGAGAGCCCCTGCTCTGTGCAGGTCCTGGGCACACACCCACCTGCCAGCCCTTATCGAGCTTACAGGTAACTGATAAAGACACAGGCAGGAGGCCGGGCGCGGTGGCTCACGCCTGTAATCCCAGCACTTTGGGAGGCCGAGGTGGGCGGATCACGAGGTCAGGAGATCGAGACCGTCCTGGCTAAAACGGTGAAACCCTGTCTCTACTAAAAATACAAAAAATTAGCTGGGCGTGGTGACGGGCACCTGTAGTCCCAACTACTCGGGAGGCTGAGGCAGGAGAATGGCGGGAACCCGGGAGGCGGAGCTTGCAGTGAGCAGAGATCGCGCCACTGCACTCCAGCATGGGCGACAGAGCGAGACTCCATCTCAAAAAAAAATAAAAAATAAAAAAGACACAGGCAGGTAATTTACTGCAGTGCTGTTAAATTCCACCGAAGAGAAGCACAGGGGCCTCTGGGGCTCAGAGGCGGGAGCGCCACCCCCAGGCTGCACAGCCAGCACCTGCAGAGGTAAGGCTAAAGCCCAGGATCAGACTTCAGAGCCCTCCTGTCCCTACCCTCTTCCTGTACAAGGCTATGGCTAACGGGAGCCCCTCCCAACAGGCTGCAGAGACTCACATCCTAAATTCGCCCAGAGAGGGACCCATGACCCTGGACCCCATGTGGTGGAGGCAGCGATGGGAGCAGAGGAGAGAAGATTCCTGAGGCAGGTCCACCAGTCCCTCTGGCACTGTGCTCCCTGCAGACCTGGGGGTGAGGGGTTCCTGGAGTGGGAGCCACACTACTCTAGTTCTGCCAGGGTGAGGACAAGGGTACGGTTATAGTTGGACTTTGGCATTATATCAGTCAAGGCTGTCACCTATGATGGGTAGAAGACTGGTCCCAGCTAGCTTAAGCAAACTAGGATATATTTATTAGCCTAATTTAGAAATCCAGGGTGGGACTTCAGGCACTGCTGGATCCAGGCTTAAGCAATGACACTGGGGCCTGGGTTCTCTCTCTCTGGCTTCACCCTTTCCTATAGAGGAGACACACACACAGAGAGAGACACACACAGATACAACACACACACACACACACACACACACACACACCCAACAGAAAAGATACCAGAAATCACACACACACACACACACACACACACACACACACACACACCCACACACACCCCAACAGAAAAGAGACCAGAAATCTCCGAAAAAGTCTCGCTGTGCCATGATTGGGTCCTTACCCACTTCTGAACCAATCATATGGCCAAGAGAAGTGGAGTGCTGATTGGCCGAGGCCTGGGCTGTGTGGGGTGGGGCCTCAGTGGCACCTCTGGGACGGGGAATGTAGGGAGGTTGCTCTCCACGTGGTGCTCCTGGGTGTAACAGAACTCACGTTTATAAAGGAAGAGTTCTCTAAACAGGACAAGCAGTGCTTCAGGTACATCTCATGTATTGTCTCACCTAATCACGGAGGGACTGTTAATTGTGCTTGCTTTATAGACGAGGCAGCCAAGGCTCAGAGAGGTCAAGAAGCTTTCCCAAGGTCACCAAGCTTGTGGGTGGAGTTGAGGGAACTCATTCCGGGGTTCCTGTGTCAATCATGACTCTCAAAGCAACCAGGAGGCCTGGACAACTGCCACTGGGCCACCCTTCCACCATCTTGTCCCCTCTACCAGGGCAGGCAGTGTGCCACTGACGCCCCTCCTGCCCTCTCCCTGGGCTGAGGGCATCACTCTGGCCAGAGTGGGCCCCGTGGGCTGAGTGGTACTCAGGAAGCTGTGGAGGGGTCATCACCACCCTACCTGGTTCCAAGCACAGGCCTGGGAGGCCAGGGAGCAGGGCAAGTTGGGGTCTGGCTGGGCCCAGGGCCCCCTACCAGTAGCAGCATCCCCCTCACGTTACATTAAGCACCATGGCAAGTATGCGGAGCCAAAAGCAGGGTGGACTGTGGTCCGCTTGCCGTGCCATCACAGGCAGTCCACATTTCACTCACTGTTTGTTCATTTCCTTTTTTTATTTTTATTTTTTTGAGGCAGGGTCTCACTCTGTTGCCCAGGCTGGAGTGCAGTGGCACAATCACAGCTCACTATAGCCTCAACCTCCTGGGCTGTTGATCCTCCCACCTCAGCCTCCTGAGTAGCTGGGTGACATGTGCCACCACCCCCACCTGGCTAATTCTTTAAATTTTTTGTAGAGACGAGCGTCTCGAACTGCTGGACTTAAGCAGTCCTCCCACCTCAGCCTCCCAAAGTGTTGGGACTACAGGCATGAGCCACTGCGCCCGGCCAGTTTCCCTTCTTCACTGTACTTTGGAACTAAGTTAAAAACAATTTCCAGTCTCCCATTTTCCTGGGCCTTTAAAAAGCTCCAGGGCCTTAGGTATTATGCACCCAAAGACTTAAGGGCGTGGTTTGTGAGTCATTCATTCATTCATCCATGCAGTGTTTACTGAGCACCGACAATGTGCCAGGCGCCACTGCTGACACAGCCCTGAGGGCGCAGAGGGAACCCGGTTCTTGGTGCAGTGTAAGCAAGTTGAGTTAGTGATGGTGGAGTGGCTGGGAGACGTGGCCAGACCCCCACGCCTTTCTGGACCAGTGAGGGAAGGGTTCCTACAGGAAGTGTTGTCTAAGAAGAGAGGTGAGGGCTGGGTTGGGCTTTGTGAAGAGGTGGGAAAAGTCTTCCAGCCAGGGGGAACTGCATGTGCAAAGACTGGAAGTAGCAGAGTACCAGCGTCCAAGGAGCATAAGGAAGGCCAGGATGGCTTGTAGTGGGTGGGGCTCGTAGGGGGCAGGGGCACCCAGTGAAGCTGGAGGGGGCAGGTCCTGGGAACTAGACCCTGGGCTGGCATGTAGGCTCCCCTTCTGGTGTTGCTCAGAACCAGAGTCAAGACAAGGGTGAGGGGAGTGAGATGCCTCAGGAGCAGAGGCAAGGAGGCATCGCTGTTAGGGCTGGGCCCATGAGGGGCGGGTATCTGGATGCAGACCTCCTTACTTTTGTTTTGTTTTTGAGACTTGGTCTTGCTGTGTCGCCCAGGCTGGAGTGCAGTGGTGCGATCACAGCTCACTGCAGTCTCCATGTCCTGGGCTCAAGTGATCCTTCCGCCTCAGCCTCCCAAGTAGCTGGCCACAGGTGCACGCTGCCACACTGGCTAATTTTTTTAAGAGGAGTCTTACTGTGTTGCCCAGGCTGTTCTTGAGCTCCTGGGCTCAAGTGATTCTCCCACCTCAGCCTCCTAAAGCTCTGGGATCACAGGCATGAGCCTCCCACCTCAGCCTCCTAAAGCACTGGGATTACAGGCTACAGCCACCACACACAGCTGACCCTCTTACTTTTGCAGCCTGGGTGCCTCCCTCACCTTGCCCCACACCAGGACCTGCTCAGAAGGGGGATCCCTGGTCATCTGCAGCCTCCGGATTCGCCCTCACCACCGGCCGCCCCTCCTCCACCCAGGCCCCTCCCCTCCCTTCCAGAAAATACTCCAATGTCCTTATTTTTTCGGGGGAGGGCCTTGATGGGTCCAGCGGGGGAGTGGGGTCTGGGCAGAATGCTAATGAAATCAGAGGAGCCCGGGTTGGGGGCAGGCCCTGGGCAGGGGAGAATTAAGCAATTGCAGGCAGGCTCTTTTCCATATTTGATTGGCGCTGGCTGAGGGACAGCCACCTGCAGGGAAGCCCCCTGCAGAGGGGGTGGGGGAGTAGTAAAGGGGACAGATCTGCTTCTTCAGGTGCCCTCCTCCTACTTGGCTGAGGCAGGCTGCAGGCCGGGCATGGTGTAATCCCAGCACATTGGGAGGCCTAGGTGGGAGGATCACTTGGGGCCAGGAGTTCAAGACCAGCTTAGGCCACAGAATGAGATCACCAACTCTATAAAACATTAAAAAAGAAAAAAAGTCGGCTGCATTCAACATGCACAGATGCTTCATGGAAGGAAAGGGGCAAAAGTGGCCTCGAGGCCTGGCAGGGGTGTTGTTCAGCGGGCCCCTCGGGGTTGGTGAGGGGTGTGGAGGGCCCCAGGGACCCCTGTGAGTCCTGCCACCTGACCACCTTCCAGGCATCATCTCAGAATCCTTACAATGATCCATGAGTGGCTGGGAAACTGAGGCACAGAGAGGAGGAGCCGCGTGCCAGAGGAAGGGCTGGCAGCCACTCCACCGTCACTAACTCAACTTGCTTGCGCTGTACCAGCCGGCTTCCCTCTGCACACTCAAGGCTGTGTCAACAGTGGCGCCTGGCACAAGGGTGGTGCTCAGTAAATGCTGCCTGGATGAATGAATGAGTGACTCACAAACTATACCCTTTTGATCGCTGCGCCAACTCCGTGGAATTCTAGCAGCCTGGTTGGTGTGGGAACTCATCACACCCGAGATTTGGGGAGCAGAAAGGTAGCATGGCCCAGGAGACAAGGGCAGGCAGACAGACTGGCTCAGACCCTGGCCGGGCAGGCCTAGGCAGGCAGCATCAGCTCTCTGAGCCTCAGTTTCTCCTTTTCTAAAGCAACCTGATGACAGTAGCCCCCTCGCACAGTGATTGAGGGTGGATGAGAAAGGGCTTTCTGGAGGTAGCGGGGACAGTCTGTCACTCAGGCTGGAGTGCAGTGGTGCAATCACTGCTCACCGCAGCCTTGACCTCCTGGGCTCAAGCGGTCCTCCTGCCTAAGCCTCCTGAGTAGCTAGGATTACAAGTGTGCACCACCACGCCTGGCTAACTTTTATATTTTTTGTAGAGATGGGGGTCTCACTCTGTCACCCAGGCTGGAGTGCAGTGGTGCTATCTTGGCTCACTGCAACCTCCGCCTCTGGGCTCAAGCCATCCTCCCACCTCAGCCTGCCAGGTAACTGGGACTACAGGCATGCCACTACCATGCCTGGCTAATTTTTGTCTTTTTTGTAGAGATGGGGGTCTCACTCTGTTGCCCAAGCTGGTCTTGAACTCTTGGACTCAAGCGATCCTCCCACCTCAGCCTCCTAAAAGTGCTGGGATTATAGGTGTGAGTCACCGTGCCCGGTCAAGAAATGGCTTTGAGGACTGGGAAGAGCCCCATGATATAATGGGGGTCATTTGAAGAGCTACCCTGGACCTGTGTCTACAGTGTGGTCTCTGATCATGAACTCCCTCCCACAGTCTCTGCCCCAGGTGCCTTCCTTTCCCTACCCCGCAAACACGCAGTAGCACACTGACCTCACGTTTCTCCCAAGAAGCATCATCCACGTCAGGACAAGGTCTCTTGACTCTGAAGGAGAACAGCCAGGAGGGCTCACTGGGTCCACATTTCTGTCACTCTGTCTCCTGCCATTCAATGGCATGGGCCCCAAAGAGACACCTGAAACCTGGGAGCCTAGCAGAGCTAGGACAGGAGACCAAGCCTGGAACCCAGTGTGAGGAGGCTGAAGCAAACGTGCACAGGGGTTCTGGGCATCAGGAGAGGGCTTTTCCAGTTGGGTCTTGTAGGATGAGTAGGAGCCCATTGTTTACTCTCTTCACCAGTTCACACAGCACCACCCTCTGGTTGGGTGGCTCTAGGCCTAGCATCCTCCCCTCTGCGGCCTCAGGCTTCTCATTCATAGAATGGAAAGGAAAGGAAAGTGTCTGTCCTGTTGCTGGAATCATACAGAATAGAATCTTTTCAGGTTGGGTCTCACAGAAAAGAGGTGAAGTGTGCACGAGGCCAGAAATGTTGTGTGTCGTTGGCTGCGGGTAGGCTCATGGCTTAGGGGTGCTGGTTTGGCTTCATGGCACAGAGAGACACTCCTGTGCTCCTGAACACACTCCTGTCTTCTCTCCATTTCTCTCCTCCTTCAAGCTTCCCTGCCTTCTCCACCCCTAAGCTCTTCTCTGAGCTCCCAGAGCACAGGGGTCTTCAGTAAGAAGCCTGCCTGCTTCGGCTGGAATCCTGCCTCTGCCACTTGTGCAGGTCACCATGCTCCCTGAGCCAGGGCTTCCTCGTTTGGAAAAGGGGAGTAAGTGATAATGCTTGTCTCTCAGGACTGCCAGATTTCGGTGTGACCAGGCATTTGGCTTAGTGCTCCGCTTGAAGGAATTGCTCCACGCGAGTTAGTGGCATCCATCATCATTTCCCATTCTCCCATCTCCCACTGTGCGTGTTTGCTTGAGTTATCACCAATACCAACCCTGTAAGTAGATGTCGCTTTTGCAGATGAAGATACCAAGGCTTATTTGGGACAAGTGGTCCCTGGCCATAGGGCTGGGCCTCAACTCTAGGCTGGTCTGATGCGCAAAGACCTTGCACTTGGTGTCGCCAGTGAGTGGTCCTCAACCCTGGCTGCACGGTAGCATGAGCTGGCGAGCTTTCAATGAATGCTGATGGCCAGGCCTCACTCCGAACCTGTGGAGTCCGACTCTCCGGGGTGGGGGCGGGGGCTTGGCATCTTATTTTGCTTATTTATTTATTTATTGAGACGGAGTCTTACTCTTTCGCCCAGGCTGGAGTGCAGTGGCACAATCTTGGCTCACTGCAACCTCTGTCTCCCAGGTTCAAGCGATTCTCCTGCTTCAGCCTCCCAAGTAGCTCGTATTACAGGCGCGCGCCATCACGCCTGGCTATTTTTTGTATTTTTAGTAGAGACGGGGTTTCACCGTGTTGGCCAGGATGGTCTCAATCTCTTGACCTTGTGATCCGCCCGCCTCAGCCTCCCAAAGTGCTGGGATCACAGGCGTGAGCCACCGCGCCTGGCCAATAGCATCTTATTTTTAAAGGCTCCACCCTCTACTGCTCCCCAGTAATGCCCCGTGCAGCTAGGGCCGAGGCCCTGTCCCACCCTGCTGCCTTCATCCCTCCCACCTTACCCAGCCTGTCCTCCTCTCCGCTGCGATCCTCTGTTTTCAGGGCTGCGTCATTCTCTCCCTGAGAGTTGGCCTAAGAGCTGGGGCCCGAGTTTTCTCCAACATGACTTTTCCAGCCCTCTGGGCACACTTTTGAGGGTAACAACTCACTTTAGAAAGGCCCCTGCTGCCCGGCGCAGGTGATGGAGTTGGCACACAGGTTGTATCACGCCAATGGGTAGGATCTGAACCCTGATCAAGGTACCCAGGATCTGGAGACCTGAGAGGGCCCTCCCAAAGGCAGCAGCTCTGGGGGCTGCTAGTCCTTGGACAGACATGACTAGCACCATAAGTACGGTGCCAGCTCTTTTTTTTTTTTTTTTTTTTAAGACGGAGTCTCGCTCTGTCACCCAGGCTGGAGTGCAGTGGTGCGATCTCGGCTCACTGCAGTCTCCGCCTCCTGGGTTCAAGCGATTCTCCTGCCTCAGCCTCCTGAGTAGCTGGGATTACAGATGCCTGCCACCACTTCTGGCTAATTTTTTGTATTTTTAGTAGAGATGGGGTTTCACTATGTTGACCAGGCTGGTCTTGAACTCCTGACCTCATGATCTGCCCGCCTTGGCCTCCCAAAGTGCTGGGATTACAGGCATGAGCCACCGCGCCCAGCCAGTGCCAGCTCTTAACTCTCAAATGGGCTCTACACCATGAGGCCATCTCCAACAAAACACAGCTGCATATGGGTAAGGATGAGAGGAGAGAGGCAAAAATAAGACCCTCTCCTTTAGGTGGGCTGTAAACTAGAGTGGTGTGCTTGTGCCCGCTTGTCCTACTGCACAAGAGCCTATTGTTAAGTTTTTAGAATTTTGGAAGCTGGTTGTCAAACACAGATATTATTAAAAATTAAGGCCCGGACACAGTGGCTTATGCCTGTAATCCCAGCACTTTGGGAGGCTGAGGCGGGTGGATCACTTGAGGTCAGGAGTTCGGGACCAGCCTAGACAACATGGTGAAACCCTGTCTCTGCTAAATATACAAAAAAAAAAAAAAAAATTAGACACGCGTCATGGCGGGAACCTGTAATCCCAGCTACATGGGAGGCTGAGGCAGGAGAATTGCTTGAACCTGGGAGGCAGGGGTTGCGGTGACCCAAGATCGCACCATTGCACCCAGCCTGCATGACAAAGCGACTCTGTCAAAAAAAAAAAATTATATAAACTTACAATCACAGAAATTATATTTAAAACACAGGCAATAGATACTCAGATCTCATCTCTTTCTCATAATTTTACATTTTGCTGTTATTTATGCTTGAGGTTATTTGCACTGTGGTATCTGGATGGTAGGAATACCACACACTGGTGGGCTTTAGGGCACCTCTTCTCGATTTCGTCTTCATTGATGTTATGTTGTGGCTTGAAATTGGCCATGGTAGAAGTATTTATACCCCAGAAATTGACAAACACTGTAAATTAAGGATCTCCTCCCCCACAGAGAGCCAGTTGTGAAATTTATTTTTTAATATTCTTTTCCCTTTTTAAATATACTTTTTTTTTTTTTTTGAGACAGGGTCTAGCTCTGTCATCCAGGCTGAAGTGCAGTGGCATGATCACAGCTCATGGCAGCCTCCATCTCCCGGGCTCAAGCCATCCTCCCACCTCAGCCTCCCTAACAGCTGGGACTACAGGCACACACCACCATGCTCAGCTAATTAAAAAAATTTTTTTTGTAGGGACAGGGTGTCACTGTGTTTGCCCAGACTACAGGTATGAGCCATCGTGCCTGGCCTAGACGGTACTTATTTATTTATTTATTTATTTTATTTTTGAGGCAGGGTCTCACTCTGTCACCCAGGCTGGAGTGCAATGGTGTGATCTCGGCTCACTGCAATCTCCACCTCCTGGGTTCAAGCGATTCTCCCACCTCAGCCTCCCAAGTAGCTGGGACTATACAGGTACACACCACCACGCCTGGCTAGTTTTTGTATTTTTTTTTAGAAGTGATAAGGTTTTGCTGTGTTGACCAGGCTGGTCTCGAACTCCTGACCTAAAGTGATCTACTCTCCTCTGCCTCCCAAAGTGCTGGGATTACAGGCATGAGCCACCACGCCTGGCCTAGACTTTATTTTTTTAGAGCAGTTTTAGATTCACAGCAAAGTTGAGTGGAAAGTGCAGAGATTCCCCATCTATCTCCTGTCCCCACCTCCACCCCCACCATCCCCCACCAGAGTGTTACATTCGTTACAGTCAGTGAGCCTACAGTGACATACCATCATCACTCAAAGTCCATAGTGTACATTGGGGTTCCCTCTTGGTGTTGTTCATTCTGTGGGGTTAGAGAAATGCATAATGACACGGATCCACCACTGCAGTATCACCCAGAGTGGCTTCACTGCCCTAACAGTCCCCCGGGTTCTGCCTCTTCATCCGTCCCTCCTGCAGCCCTGCAACCACTGACCCTTTTACTATCTCCAAAGATTTGCCTTTTTCAGAACGTCATGTGGTTGGAATCATACAGTATGTAGCCTCTTGAGGTTGGCTTCTTTCACTTAGTAAATATCCATGTAAGTTTCTTCCACATTTTTTCATGGTTCGATAGCTCCTTTTTTCAGTGCTGAGTAATATTCCTTTGTCTGGATGTAGCACAGTTTATCCATTCACCTACTGGAGGACGTGTTAGTTGCTTCTAAGTTTTGGCAATTATGAACAGAGCTGCTATAAACATCCCTGGGCAGGCCTTTTTGTGGACAGAAGTTTCCACCTCATTTGGGTAGGAACCAAGGAGTGTGATGGCCAAATCGTACGGTAAAAGTATGTTTAGTTTTGTAAGAAACGGCCAAGCTGTCTTCCAAAGTGGCTGTACCATTTCGCATTCTCGCCAGCAGTGGATGAGAGTTCCTGTTGCCCCACATCTTCGCCAGCATTTGGTTGTCAGTGTTCTGGATTCTGGGCATTCTAATAGCCGTGTGGTGGTATCTCACTGTAGTTTTAATTTGCATTTCCCCAGTGATACAAGATACGGTGTATCTTTCATATGCTTACTTGCCATCTGTCTGTCTTTTTGGTGAGGTGTCTGCTCAGGGCTTCCGTCCATTTTAAAATCAGGTTGTTTATAATTTAATCTGCTAAAGAAGTTTTCTCATGGTAGATAGTCTTTTAAAAAAAATAGATTGTTCTCAGCTGGGTGCGGTGGCTCACACCTGTAATCTTAGCACTTTGGGAGGCCAAGGCGGGCGGATCACCTGAGGTCAGGAGTTCAAGACAAGCCTGGCCAACATGGCGAAACCCCGTCTCTACTAAAAATACAAAAATTAGCTGGGCATGGTGGTGGGTGCCTGTAATCCCAGCTACTTGGGAGGCTGAGGCTGGAGAATCACTTGAACCCAGGAGGCAGAGGTTGCAGTGAGCTGAGATCACGCTATTGCACTCCATCCAGCCTGGGCGACAAGAGCGAAACTCTGTCTCAAAAAAAAAAAAAAAAAAGATCGTTCTTTTGGGGCAAAACTCGCCTTGCCATCATTACTGGTTAATACAGTATTTATGTGCAGGAGGAAGAATATTGTCCCTATTGGAAATATGTCCAGAGAGGTTGGATAATTTTTCCTGCCACCACCAAGGCCTTGGAAGAGGGACGAGGGTTTGCCTCCTGGCAATGCCACATTGCTGCTTGTTTATTTTAAAAGGCAGAATTGAACATCATTCTCTTCAAATGTCTTTCTGTGGTCTATGTGGAACTTCCCAAAATGAGCGTGTCAAGGGACAAGGGATGGTAAGACGATGCCACACGTGACATAGTTTGCTGTGTCCTTGGAGGTAGAAAGGGCCCCCAGCAGGGAGTGAAGGCAGAGTCCTTGCTTGGGGTTTTTCTGAAGCTCTTCCTGAGCCCATGGCAGACGAAGCTCATCCACCAGAGACCCTCCGAATCCTCCACAACACAGGGTTCTAAGCAGCTACTAGCAGGCGATCAGGAGTGGCAGGGAAATGACACCATGAGCCAGCCCCGGCCTGAGTGTGCTCAAAAACACCCCACGTCTCCCCTTTAATTTTCTAAGACAGTCTCCCTCTGTGGCCCAGGCTGGAGTGCGGTGGCCTGATCCTGGCTCACTGCAACCTCTGCCTCCTGGATTCAAGCCATTCTCCTGCCTCCCTGGATTCAAGCCATTCTCTCAGCCTCCCGACTAGCCGGGACTATGGGTGTGTGCCACCATGCCCGGCTAACTTGTGTATTTTTAGTAGAGATGGGTTTTTGCCATGTTGGCTGGGCCAGTCTCCAACTCCTGACCTCAAGTGATCCGCCCGCCTCGGCCTCCCACAGTGCTGGGATTATGGGCATAAGCCACCGTGTCCAGCCCTTCAGAAGTCCCTTCTGACTCTGACATTCTGTGCTGGCTGCCTCCTGGGGAGAAGGTGAAGGGAGATTCATGCGTGCTCGGCAGGGAGGCAGCGCGGTTCAGGGGTTGGAAGCTTGGGTGCTGGAATCTGGTGCATCAGGATGTGGATGAGTCCCAGTTCTTCCACCAACTGGCTGTGTGGCCTTAGAGAAGTCACTTGACCCCACAGATCCTGTTTCTTCCTCTTGTTAATACTTGCTTCCTGGGTTTGCAGGTGTGAGGATTCCTCCAAGCTCTGTGTGTGTGTGTGTTTAAAGTACCTGGCACATAGGGGAGTCCATGGGGGGCAGCGGAGGGAGCCCCATTCAGAATAGTGATAAACACTATGATGTGTGCCATGACCCTAGTGGTCCAACGAAGGCTTCATGGCTGGGCCAGCCTTCTGGCCTGGGGGATTCAGCCACCATCCCCTCTCATCAGCCCCCCAAGACCCACTTGCCTGCAGCTTCCAGATGAAAGGGCTCACCATGGAGGAGGAATGGGGCGAGCTGCAGGCTGGCTCAGAGGGGTCTGGGGGCAGGGTCCCAGTACCCACTGATTAATCTTTTGGGGTCACCTAGCAGTCCAGGGAGAACCCCAACACCCCACAGGCAAGTGGCTGGACCTGGCCAAGGCCAGGGCCTCATGAAGATCCAGGGTCATTCTAGAAGTTCT
This sequence comes from Homo sapiens, assembly GCF_000001405.40. Taxonomy (NCBI): domain Eukaryota; kingdom Metazoa; phylum Chordata; class Mammalia; order Primates; family Hominidae; genus Homo; species Homo sapiens. The sequence continues at coordinate 129,695,179 of NC_000009.12, forward strand.
AGGAGGATTATTCCCTTCTCCACCCCACAGTCCGTGAGTGTGGATAGGTGGCCCGTAATCAACACTCCCTCCAGAGGTTTCTGGCTAAGGGGGACAGAGGAGAGGCCATGGAGGAGAAGGAAAGGCAAGAGGACAGAGTTCTGTGACCTGAAATTGCCACCAGCTGTCTTTAGCCCCAGAGGAAACTGTCTTTTCAAAGAGAGAGGCTGCGGAAATGGCAGATGCTTGAAGAATCAGCTTCCCTCCAAATTCCCGGTCTCTTGCTCTGGGCTTTACTTGACCAATGTGCTTCTTTGGTTTGGTTTTTATACACCCCACAGCCTTGTTGTGTTTACCCCCTTTTCAGGCCTGCTGGGGAAGGGCTCAGTCTTAGCCTGGCACAGAGCTGGGAGCCGGGCCGGGAGCCCCCAGCTGGCAGGCACCTCCCTTTCCTGGCCCACGCTGCTCTTCCTCCAGGCCCCCGCCACCCCAAACCTTTAACAGGAGACTTGGCTGGGAAGTCAAAAGGACTTTCCCGCTGCTTTCAGATGCTTAGGCACATTCACCAGGCCATTATGGGCCTCACTACCTTTAGGCGGGGAACTTTTTAAAAGTGAGTTTTTTTTCTAAAATCCAGAATTTCTGACAGCCCAAGTTAACAAGCCCCCACAAGTGAATTCAGAGAGCATTAACGGGAAAGTTCTAAACAGAACCTCTGCTGTCATGTAAGCAGCTCAGAAAAAAACACTCTTCTCCCATTTTAAGGGTGAACATGGCACTTTGATGTGGCCCCATTTCCTTATAAAGCCCCCTCTGAGAAGGCGGAAAGCTGAAGTTTAATCTGGAGCCAACAAATTACTTGGAATTTGCAAGCACACATGCTTAGCCCATAGGAGCTAAAGTCCACAGTAAAAGAAAGAAAACGAAAAAAAAAAGAAAGGTGGGGTAGGGAGTCACAGAAGGAGAGAAAGGGAGGAAGACAAAACCCACCTCCACTCACCAACTGGCTAAGACTCAGATGTATTATCATGGAATCTAGTGTGGGGGGTCCTAATGCTCACAGCCCCCTTTTCAAAACGAAAACAAGCCACATACCCCTGAATAGTAGAATGGTACTTCTAAAGCAGGGCACCTTGGCTGGGCACGGTGGCTCACGCCTGGAATCCCAGCACTTTGGGAGGCTGAGGCGGATGGATCGCTTGAGCCCAGGGGTTAGGCACCAGCCTGGGCAACATGGTGAAACCCCGTCTCTACAAAAAATACAAAAATTGGCCAGGCGTGGTAGTGGGCGCCTGTAATTTCAGCTACTCTAGAGGCTCAGGTGGGAGGATCGCTTAAGCCTGAGAGTTCAAGGCTGCAGCGGAGCCCAGATCGCGCCGCTGCACTCCAGCCTGCGCCACAGAGTTAGACCCTGTCTCGAAAAAAATAATAGTAATAATAATTTTTAAAAAATACATTTTATAAAGCAAAGCTACCCTCGGTTCCCGGTTTGATAAGGGGTGGATTCCAAATAAGCAGCTGTCTTGCCGCCTTGCCAAGGGAAAGGAGCTGGGCAAATTCCTGCAGAGTCCCCACAAAGCTTCACTTTCCCCAGATGCTTGGGTGGGAGGACCCTCGCTAAGGGATCAAGGTTGCAGGTGCAGAGGGGGTCCCTGACAGAGGGAGGGCAAGGGAGGGGCGCCCCGGGTGAAGGTGACTTTGAGTTCCAGGTGTGTGGGCTAGCAGTTGAAGAGGGGGTGCAGCGCGGACCCCCCTGGGGCCAGAGTCCGATAGACCAGCTGAATGGCCGCTCTGCAGCTTTCTCGCTGTGTGACCTTGGGCGACTGACCTCCCTCCCTAGTCTCGGTTATCCCGACTGTTAAACGGGGACGGTAGCAGCAGTACCTGCCTCATAGGGTTACCGTGTGTGGAGACACGCCCATAGGCGCCCGGCCCGGCCTGGCCCTTAGCCTTGGCCTTGGCCGGAGCTGGACACGTAGGAACTGCCTTTGTCACTAATCGGGGGTTGGATTCCCTTGCACTCGGTGCCAGGATAGGAAAGAGCAGTCAGTCCTGGCTCCCACCCGGGACCTGCCTGGAGAGCGGGAGTGGAGAGGGAGGTGTCTGAGCTGGAAGGAAGGCGAGGAGGGAGCTGGCTGGGCTGCAGGGGAGCGCTGCGTCCCGCTCCCCCTCCCCTAGGCCGTGCCCCCTCCCGCCCGGCCGGGGCGCGCACCCTCGGAGCAGCTGGGCGGCGGCGGCGCGGGCAGCGCGGGGCTGGGCGCGGGATCTATTAACGTCTGTGTGTCTGGGCCGCGGGACTGCGGCGAGGCAGGCGCCAGGGGCTCGTCTGGAACCAGATGTGCCGCGGCGCCGCTCTGGCCGCCACCAGCGCGGCGCGCTCGCACGCACTGGCTGGCGCGCACATGGCCGGGCTGGGCGGCGGCGGCTGGCGCGCCGGCCCTGGCATCCCCTGGATTTCGGACCGACCCCAGACCCGCGCGTGCGGAGGGGAGACCCCCGCCCAGCAAGCCAGCTCCCCGTCCAGATGGGAAAGCCACCCACGAGACGGGTGGGGTCCGCCTCGCCCCTCGGCCCTGTCCCGGGGGAGGGAAAGATGGCTTCTCAGAAACCTGCCCCCCTGCTAGCGCCCCCGCTGTCTCCACCCCACAAAGGGCTGGGGACGCTTCCCCGCCCCCCGAAGTTTGTTTTCCTAAGTTTGTGCGTAAGATTTTTCAAAATTCTGAGTCAGAGCTTCCCCTAAGATGAGGCCTTTGGGGCATGCGAGAAACGCCAAAATGTGGGTGGGGGAGGGGAGCGTGGAGGTTGGAGGGTTTTAAGCGCCGGGATTCGGAAGGGGGCTTTTCACCCACTGGGTGAGTACAAGGGCTTCATTGAGGCCGGTCCCAGCTCCGCACCAAATCTGTCTTAACCACAAGGTGGTCCCTGGTCCTGGCTGCTGTCAGCACCGAGCCTTCCCGTCCCCAGGCAGCTTCGGGGTGCTCTGCCTTTCTGGACCAGCCCCTTCAGCTCTCTGGGCCCCCTCGCAGGGCCTATAAAGTGAGCAGTGGAGCTGGGAGCTCCCAGCAGGGGAGCTTAGGAGAAATGGGTGGTTGGATGGGGCGGGGGGGGGGGGGGGCGGGGGCACTTAGGCTCTGTCTCCATGGTTCTCCACCAAAAGGAAGCGTAAGACCAGGCGGTGGTGCTGCCAGGCCGGGCTGGGCCAGGCCAACCCAGTCTGGCTGCAGAGAAGAGGGCTTGCCCAGGGCTTGGGACTCAGCAGTTCCCCGAGTTCCCCCTGGTGTGCAGCCCTTCCCCATGATCGGGAGGAGGGTGTTTGGTGAAACACACGTGGCAAGAGCGGGTTTTTCCCGCCACGCCTGCCTTCCTTGTTCCGGAAAAGGGGAGCTGGGATGCTGGGTAGGGTGGGGGTGTCAGCCATGCACATCAACTCAGAGACTAATCCCTGCTAGGCGCGTGTGGGCAGAGGTTGAGACAACCCAGACTGGGCAGCCAAGGCTTTGGCCATTTGTCAGTACTGGGTGGACGCCCCCTCACGTCACTACCTCACGTCACTACCATCCCATCTGAGGCCCTATGGGCCCACTTCACAGGGAAACAGGCCCAGAGAGGAGCGGTCACAGGCTCAAAGTCACAGAGCTGGGATGTGGAGAAGGTAGGATTCCCACCCTGCCTGCTGGACTCCAGAGATGAAACCTTGGGCTTGGGATCAAATCTTCCTGGTGTCTGGAGGCTCAGGAAACAAGGTGGTTCGTTCCTAAACTCTAGGAAGTAGAGGGAGGATGCTGGCCCAGCTGGAGGGCCATCAGGATAGCCTGACTGTCCCTTCCCTCCCAGGGCATGCTGGAGGCCCTTCCCCACAGGAAGGCCGCTGTGCCTGTTCCTCTGACTATGAGCACCAGCAAAGCCAGGCTGAAGCATTTCCCTGTGGGAGGTGATTTCCCTAGCCCATGCTCTGGCCTGTCAATTAAAAAAATCCATCAATAGGCTGGGCGCAGTGGCTCACGCCCATAATCCCAGAACTTTGGGAGGCCAAGGTGGGCAGATCACTTGAGGTCAGGAGTTCGAGACCAGCCTGGCCAACATGGTGAAACCTCGTCTAAAATATATACACACAAAATTAGCTGGGCGTGGTGGTGCGCACCTGTAATCCCAGTTGCTTGGGAGGCTGAGGTGGGAGAAACACTTAAACCCAGGAGGTGGAAGTTGCAGTGAGCCGAGATCACGCCATTGCACTGCAGCCTGGGCAACAGGGCAAGACTCTGTCTCAAAAAAAATATATATATGTGTGTGTGTGTGTGTGTGTGTGTGTGTGTGTATACATATATCCATCAATATATTAGTTTCTGCAGATAGGAGGGTCCAGAAGTGAGAAGGCTTGTAATGGTGTATAGTGCATACAAATTTTCAGGTGTTTGGGCAAGCAGAGAATTGAGATTATGTTCCCATCAGGAGCCAAAATCCATTCATTCATTCACTTACATATTCATTCAGTATTTATTGAGGACCTGCTATGCATCCGCCCGGAATAAAGAATATCCAGTGTGTGACTGTGCCATGGCTTTCTACATGGTCCAGCCCAGCTTTCTGGGAAGCATCCACGAAGGATGAATTCTTTCCTTGGGCACCTTCAGGGCAGCCTCTGCTCTGTGTGTGTCAGTGCAAGCTTTGGGGAGGAAGTGTCCCAGGGAGCAGAGAACTTGGTCTCTGAGGCACCGACAGCAGCTGTTCAGGAGAGAGACCTCAGCGTGCCAGGCACATGGTTGCTTCTGCCTCTCAGCATCCCAAGTCTCCACCAGACAGTTACAAACCGAGGTCTAGAGAGGTTCAGTAAATTGCCTCAAAGCTGCACAGCCAATATACAGCAAGTGTGGGAGGGGAACGCACACGCACCTAACTCCAGATAAATATACTAATGGCTAACGTGATTTAGCACTTACTACGTGCCAGGCACTGCTTTAAGAACCTTATATATATATTCTTTCATTTAATTTTCACAACAACTCTGGGAGGAAGATCTTGTTATCCCCATTTTCTGGATGGGATAACTGAAGCACAGAGAGGTTGTAACTTCCTCAGGGTCACACAGCAGTGAAGTTGGGATTTGAACTTAGGCAGCCTGCCGCCAGGGTCCAGCTCTTCCTCAGTGGGGTGCTGTATTTTTTTTTGGTTTGTTGTTGTTGTTGGCTTTTTTTTTTTTTTTAGATGAAGCCTCGCTCTGTCGCCCAGGCTGGAGTGCAGTGGCGCAATCTCGGCTCTCCGCCTCCCAGGTTCAAGCGATTCTCTTGCCTCAGGCTCCTGAGTAGCTGGGAGTACAGGCACATGCCACCAAGCCCGGCTAATTTTTGTATTTTTAGTAGTGACGGGGTTTCACCATGGTGGCCAGGCTGGTCTTGAACTCCTGCCTTCAAGTGATCTGCCCGCCTCCGCCTCCCAAAGTGCTGGGATTGCAGAGCCACACCTGGCCGTTATTGTTGTTTTGAGACAGGGTCTGAACCTGTCACCCAGGCTGGAGTGCAGTGGCACAATTGTGGCTCACTGTGACCTTCATCTCCCGGGCTCAAGTGATCCTCCCACTTCAGCCTCCTGAGTTGCTGGGACTACAGGTGCGTGCCACCATGCCCGGCTAATGTTTTAATTTTTTGTAAAGGTGGGGGTTTTGCCATGTTGTCCAGGCTGGTCCCAAACTCCTGGCCTGAAGCGATCCACCCGCCTCAGCCTCCCAAAGTGCTGGGATTACAGGCGTGAGCCACGGTGCTTAGCCAGTACGCCACCTTTTGTGGGCTGGCCTGTTCTGACCAACTTGGTAGCAAAAAGGTTCCTTCTGGAGAGGAGAGCGCTGTTGGAAGAACTTATGTGAAGGATTTGGGGTCTTGAAATCCAGCAGAAGGACAAAGAAATGAGACATTTTTCACAGTGTTTACAATAGAGGAAAATCGCAAGAGACCTAAATATCCCACAAGAGGGGAAGGGCTGTGAGGCCGTTTTGGCATCCCCACTAGGGGAAGTGATGCAGCCGCTCACACTAACGTGAGGAAGAAGATAGGAAACAGAGCAGAGGGTTTAGGATGGAGCTTGAGGGACCATCGTTCACTGTGTGTCGCTCACAGCGGGAAGCAGTCTACCTGCACCATCACATTGACTTCGCTTCATAAAATGGTGAGGTCATGGCAGTCACCAACGCGATAGCTGATGTTACTTGACCACTAACTGGGTGCCAGGTATTGTCGAGGCACTTTAGGTGTTGCTGTTCCCACTTACAGTGGGGACACTGAGTCTCACAGAGCTCACAGAGCTGGCATGGAAAGCCAGAACCAGAATGCAGCTATTTCCAGGAAAGCGGGATATGGTTGGGCAGGTTGTCCACTGCATAACTGCAGGGGACACCAGTCACACTGGAGTCTGTGGGAATGGCACCCCTGAAGTTGTACAGTGCACAGCCTGTGCAACCATACGCAGCATCCCTGGGTGTGTCTGATCACAATCCTAGGCTCTTAATCCATGCCCCATCCAAAACAGAAAATGATATTCATGCACACTGTAAATGGAGTCATGTGATAGCTAGATACATGTGGACATGCAACAAAAAGTATGCAAAGAATTAAACAGATATGCTGTTGTCGTGGGATTTGTAGGAGATTTTTTTCCTTTCAAATGTCCTTAGGCCAGGCGCAGTGGCTCACGCCTGTAATCCCACACTTTAGGAGGCCAAGGCAGGCGGATCACTTGAGGTCAGGAGTTGGAGACCAGCCTGGCCAACATGGTGAAACCCCATCCATACTAAAAATACAAAAAAATTAGTCAGGCCTGATGCCGGGTGCCTGTAATGCCAGCTACTCAGGAGGCTGAGGCAGGAGAATCGCTTGAACCCGGGAGGCAGAGGCTGCCCTGAGCCAGGATCGCACCACTGCACTCCAGCCTGGGCGACAGAGTGAAACTCCGTCTCAAAACTTTCTACGACTGCCAGGCGCGGTGGCTCACACCTGTAATCCCAGCACTTTGGGAGGCTGAGGCGGGTGGATCACGAGGTCAGGAGATCGAGAACATCCTGGCTAACACGGTGAAACCCTGTCTCTACTAAAAATACAAAAGCATTAGCTGGGCATGGTGGTGGGCGCCTGTAGTCCCAGCTACTCGGGAGGCTGAGGCAGGAGAATGGCGTGAACCCGGGAGGCGGAGCTTGCAATGAGCAGAGATCGCGCTACTGCACTCCAGCCTGGGCGACAGAGCGAGACTCCGTCTCAAAAAAAAAAAAAAAACTTTCTAGAACTCTCTGTGATGATGAAAATGTTTCCTATCTGTGCTGTCCAATGTGGCGGCCACTGGCCATGTGTGGATATTGAGCCCTTGAAATGTGGCCTGTTCGACTGAGGAATGGAATTTGTATTTTTATTTCATTTTAATCAGTGAGAATTTCATTGAGATGGCCACGTGCAGCTCGTTGCTCCCACGTTGGACGGTACAGAGCTAGAGTGTGGACTGGTGTCTTTCAGTCTGAGCCATGTCATTCCCAGATGTCTGCTCTGAAGCTTGTGGTTCCTGAACTTGCGGGTGAGGGAGTGTCTACTGCAGATTCCCAGCTGGACCCTTGAGATGGGAGTGTCTGGCTTTAACAAGCTTCCCGGGGAATTCCCAGGCAAATTGTCAGTGGACTCCCTTTTAAGAAATGCGGAAGATGTGGTGCCAGCCTCTTCACGTGGCAAAGTGTGGCAAGGGGGGCGGGGCAGCTCCCAGAGCTGTGGCTGAAATCACCAGAACAGCTGCCCTCAGAGGCTAGCAAGGGGGTCGTTGAGGAATAGAGTCCTGTGTGCTGCCCTTCAAAGTGTAAACACAGCATGTCGTGGGGACCACAGGGAGGTGGACTAGGACCTACTGTAATGGAGAATTTTCTAGAGCCAGGGTTGGCTGTTGTGTGAGGATGTGATTGGAAACATGCTGGAGATGTCGAAGATGGCCCCGTGCCCAGACTCTGAGCATGCACCCCACTGGTGAGGCTGTCCTGGGTGGGGCACAGCAGCTGGTGGGTACCTGGTGGAGGCTGAGACATAGCAGGGGAGCCAGGTGGGTGGGTGTGGGCCGAGCATTCCGACTTGTTCGGGTAGAGAGGGGTGGCCAATTAAGCCGCAGGAGTCTGAACGGTCTCTGCGCCTGGCCACCAGCACTTGCCCTGGCTTCCCTGCAGGTCCTGGCTGCAGACTATGAGCAGCCCAGGAGCTCTTAAATGGGGAAGAGCTCATTTCCCACATGGGACCCTTAGCAGCAACTTCGCCTGGTCTGGAAATGGTTAACTTTTCCAAGGGCAGCTTTCATCCAGATACCAGCCACTTTGGGGACAGAGTCTGGACATAAATCACCCCTGATCACTGGCAGTGGTACCTGGGTTTGGTACTTTACCTCTCTGAATCTCATTGCCCCTGACTGTGAACAGGGCTTAATAACAGTACCCTCTGCATTGTACGACGCAGGGCTCCATAACCCAGTGCCAGGCGCATAATAAAGTGGGTTAAATGGAAACCAAAAAAGAAAAAAAATTAAGGGTGTGGAAGAAGTCCTTCTCGCCTCACCACAGTCCCATGCTGCGGTGAGGGGCGCGGCAGAAACACTCAGGACGCCATTGGAGCTTTGCCGAGCAAGGCTCAGACTCACATTTTCCAGCACTGCCCGGAACTCACAAATGGGTCATAGAAACCTCCAGCGATGTTTAAAGTTGAGCCTCTCTGGGAATGCAGCACTGCCCAGAGCCAGGGGCACGGCAGGTCCCGTCAGCCTCGCAGGCACTGCCCTTGTCTGGGCTGCTCGCCATGAAGGGCTGGCCAGGGGACCCCAAGAGGGGGCAGAGGGGCAGGTTCTTCCAGGACAGAGAGAACTGACTTTCCATGGAGCTGGTGCTTTAGGGTGGGGTCTGTGGACAGGATTCAAAGTGTGTGAACCACCTCTCCGTACAACATTGCATGCAAACTTTTCTGCACGCCTGTGTTTTTCTAGGGAATGGTTCGTAGAGTTCCTCAGAGTTCTCAAGGGGGGTTCATGATTAAAGTGGGGAAGAACCACCAGGCCAGGCCTAGCCTTCATATGGGATGAATAATAGTGGGGTTAGCAGTCATTTCTGGAGCACCACGTTAAGCATGTCCTTGGGAGAGCCCTGGGCCACGCCATCCTCACTGAGCCACCTGAGAGGGAGGGAGAGATACTGTTTTGTCCCAATACAGATGGTGAAACCAAGAATCCAAGAGGAGAGACCTCTTGTCTGAGGACACACGGGGGCAATTTTTCTCATTCTCAGATGCTCAGGGCAGGCAGGCGTTTGCTATCTGGGTGGGCTGCTGGTAGCCCCCCTAACCCAATTGCTGGGTTGGGAATATTCTCTCCTGCATCCTCCCAGGAAACCCGGGAACAGAGATGGGAGCAGGAAGGAAGCGCATGTGTGTCTGCAGGCAGCACATCTCAGCAGACAGAACTTGGGGTTCCACTGCCTTGCTGTGAGTGCGTGGCCGAGTCACTGCCCCTCCAGGCCTCAGTTTTCCTATCAGCAAAATGAGGGGTCTTGACAGATGACCTCTAAAGTCCCTTCAGACCCTGAGTCCTCGAGACGACAAGAATGACAGGTTTGAGACCGCAGAGCTGTTTGCAGGTTTGTTGCAAAACCAAGCCACACGAAGTCAACATCTTTGTGCCTGGGCCCCAGCCCTCACCCCAAGTTCCCAACTGGCTCTGGGCTTTAGGAGGCCCAGGAGCTCTTAAATGGGAGAGAAAAACCCACCTTGGGCCCTGAGCAGAAAACTTCATCGTGGTCTGGAAACAGTTAACGAGGGCAGCTTTCCTCCCGATACCAGCGCCTTATTAAAATGTAGGCTTTACAATAAACCTGGCATTTGGCCATCAACCTTAGATTAAAACCAGACGGGACAGACATGAACCCCTCTCTTAGACCAAATTTCGAGCAGAGGGCTGCTCCCCTTCCTCCTGGGTGACTCCCTGCCTCCCACCCACCCCGCACCCCATTCCAACAGGTGCCCCCCTCTCTAGAGCTTAGTTTTGGGGTCTCAGGAATAGAGAGACTGAGCTGGACTTGGGACCCCCAGCTCCTAGTGCAGAGGGAGGTAGTCAGGCACCAAAACGCAGGGGCTGAGGGATATGAGGGGAGGCTCCTGCTAGGGCCACGCTGGGGAGCCAGGGCCTCAGAGCCACTCGGCTGCATCTGGCCTTGGCCCCCCTGGCCCTTTGATTGCCTGTGAACAGGAGGCAAATGGAGTTCAGTGGCTTGATCCTGGCCCACGGCAACCTCCGCCTCCCGGGTTCAAGCAATTCTCCTGCCTCAGCCTCCCGGGTAGCTGGGATTACAGGCAGGTGCCACCATGCCCGGCTAATTTTTGTATTTTTAGTAGAGACAGGGTTTCACCATGTTGGCCAGACTGGTCTTGAACTCCTGACCTCTGGTGATCTGCCCGCCTCGGCCTCCCAAAGTGCTGGGATTACAAGCACGAGCCACTGTGCCTGGCCCTGAAGACTCCTTTTCTCAAGGATCCTGGGCTCAGAAGAACTTTTGGCCTCACCTGTCCCCAACCCTGGCTCCCCGCTACCGTTAGCCTGCTGCTGTGACCCGGCCGCATGGGGACATTCTGTGCGAGAGCCACTCCCTGGCTGGGCACGGTGGCTCATGCCTGTAATCCCAGCACTTTGGGAGGCCGAGGCAGGTGGATCGCCTGAGGTCAGGAGTTCAAGAGCCACTCCTGCTGGCTCTCTCACTGAGGGTTCCCCAAAGACCCTAACCCAGAGGCCCCTGACCTCTTGGGGCCTCCCCGGCACCCCAGCCCACCTCACTCCTCACCCCCTGTCACCTCACTACCTGTGGCACCCCCAGAGACTCAGGAGATATCCTTTGCTTGCCATTCTCTCCAATCTCAATGCTTCTCTTGACACCACCTCCTTTTTCTGTGTGTTTTTAGGAATAATTTTATTTCGTATATTTCACATACTGTACAATCACCCATTTAAAGTGCACAGTCCAGGGCCGGATGTGGTGGCTCACACCTATAATCCCAGTGCTTTGGGAGGCCAAGGTAGGAGGATCACTTGAGGCCATGAGTTTGAGACCAGGCTGGACAACATAGTGAGACTCCCATCTCTACACAAAAATTTTTTTTTCCCAGGCGCGGTGGCTCACACCTGTAATCCCAGCACTTTGGGAGACCGAGGGGGGCAGATCATTTGAGGTCAGGAGCAACCCGGTAAAACCCTGTCTCTACCAAAAATACAAAAGTTAACAGACGTGGTGGCATGCGCCTGTAATCCCAGCTACTCGGGAGGCTGAGGCAAGAGAATCGCTTGAACCTGGGAGGCGGAGGTTGCAGTGGGCCAAGTTCACGCCACTGCACTCCAGCCTGGGCGACAGAGTGAAACTCCATCTCAAAAAAAAAAAAATAATTATTTGAGCATGGTGGCGCATGCCTGTAGTTCCAGCTACTGGGGAGGCTGAGGTGGGAGGATCACTTGAGCCTAGGAGTTCGAGGCTGCAGTAAGCCATGATCGCAAAACTGCACTCTAGCCTGAGTGCAGAGGAAGACCATCTCAAAAAATAAAATTAAATTAGAAAGATAAAATGTGCAGTCCAGTGATTTTTTAGTATATTCAGTTGTACAACCATCATCACAATAAATATTAAAACATTTTCATACCCCCAAAAGAAGCCCTGCACTTTTTAGCTGTCACTCTCCAGCATCCTCACTGCAGTCCCCCCAGCCCCAGCAGCTGCCAGTCTACCTCCATCTCTATGGATTTGCCTATTCTGGACATTTCATATAAAAGAAATCATTCACTAGGGCCTGGTGCAGTGGCTCACGCCTATAATCCCAGCACTTTGGGAGGCAAAGGCGGGCAGATCACTTGAGGTCAAGAGTTCGAGATTAGCCTGGCCAACATGGTGAAACCCCATCTCTACTAAAAATACAAAAATTAGCCAGGCATGGTGGCTGGCACCTGTAATCTCAGCTACTTGGGAAGCTGAGGCAGGAGAATCGCTTGAACCCAGGAGGCAGAGGTTGCAGTGAGCTGAGATGGCGCCACTGCACTCCAGCCTGGGCAACATAATGAGTGAGATTCTGTCTCAAAAAATAAATAAATAAATAAATAAAAGAAATCATGCACTATATATTCCCTTCTGGCTGGCTGCTTTGATTTAGCATCATGTTTTCAAGGTTAACCCACAGTTACCATCTCTAAGTGTTTCATTTATTTTTATTGCTGAATACTATTCCATTGCATGAATGGGCCACATTTTATTTATTCATTCACCAGTTGAAGGACATGTGGGTTGCTTTCACTTTTTGGCTATTATAAATAATGCTGCTATGGCCGGGCGCGGTGGCTCACACGTGTAATCCCAGTACTTTGGGAGGCCAAGGCTGGTCTGGTGGGTCACCTGAGGTCAGGAGTTCGAGACCAGCCTGGCCAACATGGTGAAACCCCGTCTCTACTAAAAATACAAAAATTAACCCGGTACGGTGATGTGCGCCTGTAGTCCCAGCTACCAGGGAGGCTGAGGCAGGAGAATTGCTTGAACCCAGGAGGAGGAGGTTGCAGTGAGCCGAGATCGTGCCACTGCACTCCAGCCTGGGTGACAGAGGGAGACTGTGTCTCAAAAAAAAAAAAAAATGCTGCTATGGACATATGTCATTGTGTACAGGTTTTTGTGTGGACACATGTTTCATTTCTCCTGCGTCTGTACCTAAGAGTGGAATTGCTGGGTCAGATGGTAAGTCTATGTTTCACCTTGTGAGCAACTCCCAGACTGTTTTCCACAGCAGCTGTACCTTGCATTCCCACCAGCAGTGTATGAGGGTTCTAGTTTCTCCACTTCCTGGCCAGCACTTGGTGTTATCAGGCCACCTGCCCTGGCTCAGCCTACTGGAGTCTCGCTCTGTTGCCCAGGCTAGAGTGCAGTGCGTGATCTCGGCTCACTGCAACCTCCACCTCCCAGGTTCAAGCCATTCTCCTGCCTCAGCCTCCCGAGTAACTGGGATTTCAGGTACCTGCCACCACGCCTGGCTAATTTTTGTATTTTCAATAGAGACGGAGTTTCACCATGTTGGTCAGGCTGGTCTCGAACTCCTGACCTCAAGCAGTCCACCTGCCTCGGCCTCTGAAAGTGCTGGGCTTAAACAGGCCTGAGCCACCATGCACGGCCGTTATCTGTCTTTTGATTCTAACTATCCTAGTGGGTGTGAAGTCTGTCTCATCATGGTTTTGATTTGCATTTCCCTGCTGGCTGATGATTTTGAGCGTCTTTCTGCCTATTGGTCATTTGTGTATTTTCTTTAGAGAAATGTCTACTCAAATCCTTCACTCATTTTTAAATTGGGATATTTGTCTTTTTATTGAGCTGTAAGGGTTCTTTATATTTTCTAAACATAAGTCCCTTACCAAATATGTAATGTGTAAATAATTTTTCTATTCTGTGGGTTGTCTTTTCAGTTTCTTAATGGTTATAACAGTTACAAAACTGTTTAGTTTTCATGAAGTTCCATTTATCTTTTTTTCTGTAGTTGCTTGTGTTTTTGATGTCACATCTAACAGCCATCGTCTGGCCCTTTTGAAGATAAAGGGACCTGGCTTTGGAAGTTGAGACTTCAGATCCTTTTCTGGAGTGAGCCGCTCCTTCATTTACATAGTCATTCATTCAGAAATATTTTTGAAACCAAACTTCTTGCCTGGTCCTGGGGATACAGCATTGACAAGGAAAACCCAGGCCCTGCCCGTCTGGATCTTAGAGTCAAATGTGGGATAGACAGGCATGAAGCAGATAACCCAAACACGTCATTTCTCTGTTTTAGTTAATTGCAGATGTGCAGGAGAGGGAGAAGGCCTAGGAGTCCATAACAAGGAGACCTGCGCTTGTATGGGAGCCGGGAAGGCCTCTCAGGGCTGGGCATGTAGGCTGAAATCCAGGGCTGGGTCAGCTTTAGCCAGTGCGGTGGGGATGGGGGAAGGGTGCCCTAGCTAGAGGGAACAGCAGATACCAAGGCCCAGAGGTGGGAAGGTGCTTGTGCTCCCTTCCAGGGGCAGCTCCTGCTGGGTCACTGGCCCCTCCGCTTTCTTGTGGGTCTGGTGGCCCCATGGAAATGTGTGCATGTCATGTATTTAGGGGTGAGGCTCCCGACCCCAGAGAGACCCAGATACACCGCAACTGCCTCCAAGCAGGGCTCTGCTGAGGTTTGTGGGGGACATGAGGGAACCTCCTCCAGCCTCCTCCAAACTCCAGGGTCATCCTGAGCCTGCGGAGGCCACACTAGCCACCATTCTTGCAGCCACACTGGCTACCGGCCCCCAGGGCTGGGAGCAGGTCAGAGCACGGCAGTCCCAGGTTGGGTGGCCCATGCCTCTCGCTCTTGTGTGCTGTGCCGAGGCCGGGGAAGCCATGGGATGGGGCCCCCTGGGGACCTGTCTGACTCCTCGGGCCCCACTGCGGCTTCCATCATCACCTTCCTTCCCGGGATGTGTTTCTCCTTCTCCAGGCTGGTAGCTATAAAAATGTGTCAGCGTCACGGGTTTTTGTTCAAAATTAATGAGGTGAAACATTCTTAAAAGTGTGGCAGGGCAGTGGCTGGTGGTGGCCGGCCTCCCCCAGCCTCTTCCTCACTCGGAGGACGTGTCCTCACCAGGCCTCCATGGCTCCAGGGGAGGAACCTAGACCCCTGCACAGGAGGGCGGGCTCTGCAGGCTCACCCGGCCCTTCCCATGCCTCCCCTTCACTCAACACTCAGCACTCAACACAGATTGATGAGAGGTTCCCTGTGCCAGCCCCTGTGATGCATTCCAAGGAGACAGAAAACAGTAAGTCCCAGCCCCTACTGGACCGATGACCCCACACTTACCCTACAGTATAACAGAGCTACAATGGGAGAGGCACAGGGCTTTTTGGGAGCTTAAGCCTGTGGGTCCAGGAGGGCTTCTTGGAGGAGGAGGCATCTCTGCTGAGACCTGAAAGTGAGCAAGAGAGGGAGGAGACGTTGCCAGCTCAGGCAGGGGTCCATGGTGAGAGGGCGTGGTGTGTGTGATGCAAGCAGTGACCCCAAAGAGGCAGGGACCTGGAACAGCGGCCGGGCAGCCCTGAGGCCACCTGCCCTGGCTCTGCCTACTGGAGTGGCCTAGGTGGCCCCATCCAGCAATGGTCCAGGGAGGTGAAGATGGACCTGTGCCTTGTAACTGGCACCAGAGGACCCAAGACCCTCCTTTGTGCCTTACACCTGGTCCCTGAATTTCTGGGGTTGAGGCCAGCTTGGCCTGATTGAAAGCTAGCTTGGCCGGGCGCGGTGGCTCACACCTGTAATCCCAGCACTTTGGGAGGCTGAGGCGGGTGGACCACAAGGTCAAGAGATCGAGACCATCCTGGCCAACATGGTGAAACCCCGTCTCTACTAAAAATACAAAAAATTAGCTGGGTGTGGTGGCAGGCACTTGTAGTCCCAACTACTCGGGAGGCTGAAGCAGGAGAATCGTTTGAACCTGGGAGGCGGAGATTGCAGTGAGCAGAGATCGCGCCAGTGCACTCCAGCCTGGTAACAGAGTGAGACTCCATCTCAAAAAACAAAACAAAACGAAAGTCAGCTCTTGGGCCCCTTGGTCGGGGTGCTGGCTGGGGCAGGGCTGCACTCCTGGGGTTGGAACAGCCTAGAAGCCCCGGGATCCTTCTCCATGAGGCCCCAGGGACCATGTTTCTTCTCCTCTATCCTCCCTTCTCCCCTTCCTTCTTTTCTGTCTTCACATGTTGTTGAGCTCTCTCTGTGCCCGGCCTGACTGTGGCCCACCCTCACAGGGCTTGGGGCTGGGCCTGCACACATCCTTAATCCTCGCTGCCCTGCTGCCTGTGTGCCTGAAGCCACATGCTGCAGCCCCAAGAATGTTTCTGTTGCCTTCAGCCTCCCTCCTTTTTGTTGATCCATACACTGTTAAGCCACCAGGGAGACCCCCAGAATCCCAGCACCACGAGGATCTTGGGGCTGGCTTCCCATGCCGAGGTGACTCAGGCAGCAGTGTGGGGAAGTGGCTAAGACCCCGGACTGTGTGCTGCTCTCTGAGTTCCAATCCCAGCTCTGGTCTTTCCTGGTCATGTGGCATCAGTATGTCATTTAACTCTCTGTTCCTCAGTTTCCTCCTACGTAAAATGGAACTAGGAGCCAGCCGTGTTGGGTTGTTATGAGGGTTAAATGAGGTAGATCCTGTTATTCCCATTTTTCAGGTGAGATTCTCTTTTTTTTTTTTTTTTTTTTTTTTGAGACAGAGTCTTGCTTCGTTGCCCAGGCTGGAGTGCAGTGACATGATCTCGGCTCACTGCAACCTCCACCTCCCGGGTTTAAGCAATTCTCATGCCCCAGCCTCCCAAGTAGCTGGGATTATAGGTGCACACCACCACACCCAGTTAATTTTTTTGTACTTTTAGTAGAGACCGGGGTTTCACCATGTTGGCCGGGCTGGTCTCAAACTCCTGACCTCAGGCATTCCACTCGCCTCGGCCTCCCAAAGTGCTGGGATTACAGGCATGAGCCACGGCGCCCGGCCTCAGGTGAGATTCTTGAGGCTGGGAGCGGTTAAAGGTTCACCCACGGCACTCTGCTAGTGAGGCGGACCGGCCTGAGAGCCAGACCCGGACCGGCCACCTCCTTAACCAGTAGGCGGTACTGCCTTCCATTCCTTACTGGGGGAGGTGAGAATCCTCCCTCAAGCCTCCCTCAGGGCCACTTGTGTCCTTGCTGATGATGCCAGGCAGTGGCTAAGGATGTGGTTTCAGAGTTCCTGTCTGAGCCCTTCTCCCAGGGGCCCTTCAAAGGAACCCAAATCTCTACCAAGAAATCTCAGGGGGAAACCGAAGCCTCCACGGCCTCTCCACCCTACCCCACCTCCACTTCTTGCCTAAGACGTTCCAGGCTGTAAATATTTCTCCAGCTCCGAGGCTCCTCTGAGAAGGCCCAGTGTTAATTTGTTAAATCCACATCGAGGTCCCAAGGACCCGTTGTTTGTTTTTGCGATCCTGTTGGCAGAGATCACGTTGGGGGTGGTGAGGAGGGCTGCTTATTTGCTCAGAATAAATGCTAATTAATAAAAGTTATTTATTTGGGTTGGAGCTCACCTCAGCCCGGGGGTCAGGCGCAAACTGACTATTTGAAGCAAAAACAAATAGAGTGTGTCTCTCAACAGCTTGAGAAAGGCAGGAACGAAGAGGCTGAGTTTATTTGTCTTAGGAAGAATCTGCAGTTAATTCCCTCCAGACTATTTAGACCCTTAAATTACACGGAATAAGAAAAACCATAGGCACAGGGGAGGGCGGTGGGAACACTTGATCATTTGGCTGAGAGCAGAGTTTTTAAATGCCTTTGGCCCCCAGTCAGCCAACTAAATGGTACGTGTGAAATAATTTAATGGCAGAAAACCGTGCACCAGTCATTTTTTCACTGTAATGTAATCGGGGACGATGTCGTTTTGGTTTTAAGGAGGAGACAGCGCGAGACAGGCCTCCCCCATCTGAGCTCGTTTCTCTCCTCTGGGATCCAGGCCCCCTACAAAAGCAGCTAAACAGCCTGGTCAAAGGGAGGCGGTTTCATGCTTTGTTTCAGTCTCAGGGAAAAGCAGAACTTTTCCTGAACAAAAAGAGACTCTGGGCACGGCCCTCCTTGGAGAGTGCAGACGCAGGGTTTGCTGACCGGAGGAGAGGGCCCCCGTGAAAAGGCAGGGACCTGACGCCAGTGGCCTGAGGCTTAGAGAGTATTTATTTTATTGATTTCCTAAATGCTTTAAGCCCAAGCACGGAGTCCCCAGAGGAACACACACGCCCACCACAATGCATTTCTCAGGAGGTGATTCAGGAACTTAGGGCAACAAATATCCGGCACATCCGCTCGGAGGCGGAGGCGAGCGCCAGAGCCCCCGGCTAAGTCCAGAGCTGTGGGTTCGAGTTCTGGTCCGCGGGGAGGTGCTGCCTGGGTCCTCCTCCCCGTCCGCGTTCCTTCCCAGCCTCAGCCCACGGCAGGGGTGCAGCCCCATCTTTCTGCTGTAGGCTGGGCTACAGGGACGAAAGGATCATGGAGAAAGGTCCTTGTCTTCTCATACAGAGCTGGCTGCACAAAAGCAATCATGTTAAGGGGAGTGAACATTTATTGAGCAATTACTATGTCCTTGGCACTGAGCTACACTCAACTCCTCACAGCAGCTTGGTGTGTCCTTCAGCAAGGTGCTATCCCACACCCTCCCAGGGGTGAGGGCTTCCTTTAGGACGAAGAGGTGACGTGAGGCTGGAGGCCTCCCACCATGGCATCTCCTGACCCCGCCCACCCATGGGATCAGAGAGCTGGGACTGAGCGTGTGACAGGCCCCCTACGCTGCTGAGCCTGGGAGCGAGGTAGAAGAGGGAGGAGGCCCCGTGAAGAGGGGTTCGCAGCCTTGGCTTGGCCAGGCCTCCCAGCAGACATCGATTTCTTCCTTTTTTTTCTTTCTTTTTTTTTTTTAGACGGAATTTCACTCTTGTTGCCCAGACTGGAGTGCAATGGCGTGATCTCAGCTCACTGCAACCTCCGCCTGCCGGGTTCAAGTGATTCTCCTGCCTCGGCCTCCTGAGTAGCTGGAATTACAGGTGCCCGCCACCATGCCTGGCTAATTTATTTATTTATTTATTTATTTTTAGTAGAGATGGGGTTTCACCATGTTGGCCAGGCTAGTCTTGATCTCCTGACCTCAGGTGTTCCGCCTGCCTCGACCTCCCAAAGTGCTGGGATTATAGGCATGAGCCACTGCACCTGGCCAACAGACATCGATTTCAATCCCAGATGTACGACGTTGGGCAAGACACTCTCACAGCTTCAGTTTCCGTGTGTGTAAAATGATTCCATTGGTAGCTCACGCCTGTAATCCCAGCATTTTGGGAGGCCAAGGCAGGTGGATCACCTGAGGTCAGGAGTTCGAGACCAGCCTGGCCAACATGGTGAAACCTCATCTCTACTAAAAATACAAAAAAAATTAGCCAGGCATGTGGCGGACGCCTGTAATCCCAGCTACTCGAGAGGCTGAGGTAGGAGAATCGCTTGAACCCAGGAGCCGGAGGTTGCAGTGAGCCGAGATCGTGCCACTGTACTCCAGCCTATAATCCCAGCTGCTCTGGAGGCTGAGGTAGCAGAATCGCTTGAACCCAGGAGGCAGAGGTTGCAGTGAGCCGAGATCGCACCACTGCACTCCAGCCTGGGGGACAGAGCGATACTCTGTCTCAAAAAAAAAAAAAAAAAGTAATAAAATAAAATAAAATGGCACAGTGCCTCCTAGGGTGGATGCAGGGGACGGTGGGTGGCCACACGTGGAGCACTTGGCACCACTCCTGTCCCAACCGGCTCTGGCTGAGCGCATCCCATCACAGCTGCCTTGGCACGACCCTGGGCAGAGCTGACTTGGGAAGCAGTGAGGACGCCAGCCAGTGTTGGGGGCGGTCTGGGGCTGGCTGGGGTGGGGGTAAATGCCTCTGCATGAGGATTTTGGCTCCATGTCGCCACACAGCTTAACTGGCATGAAAGTGGAGCTGTTTCTTCGGGCGCTTACTCGGCAAGGCGAAGGCTGCAAAATGGTTTTCATTTAAACACCCCCAGGTTTGAATTGCTCAGAAACTTCCCGAAAATGTCTCCTTTTTTGGCTGAAATGCCTCCTGTGTTGGGTGTGTGCCCAAGAGGAACTGCCTGAAGGGGGGTGGAAATGACCCCTGCAATGACTGGCTTTCCAGAAACTTCCATCCCTGCTTTCAGGCTATTGATCACCACCCAGTTTTCAGCGCAAGGGCTCTTGTTTCGGTTTAAAGTTTCTTCCTCATCGAGGTGGTGGGGGTGGAAAGACATTCACAGGCAGCAGACATTCTCATCCATCCTCGCCTTTGCTTGAGGAGTGAAGAGTGAAGCGGTCCCGGCAATGAGACCAGCTCCACAGGGCCACCACGTGCTCCCTCCCCACTGCCCCCACAGCCCCCGCCTGGTCCCGTATGTTTGCAAGTATTTCCCAAAGGGGGAAACTTCTGAACATAACCTCCTAGTCATCCCTCTAAACCAGGGTTTCTCAACCTCAGTGCCATTGACATTTTGGACAAGATAATTCATTGACGTGGGGGCCTGTCCTGTGTCTTGAAAGATATTTAGCAAGGCCAAGCATGGTGGCTCGTGCCTGTAATCCCAGTACTTTGGGAGGCTGAGGCAGGAGAATTGAGGTCAGGAGTTTAAGACCAGTCTTGGCAACATAGTAAGACCTCATCTCTACATTAAAATAAAAATCAGCTGGGCATGGTGGCAGGCACCTGTAGTCCCAGCTACTTGGGAGGCTGAGGTGGGGGAATTGCTTGAGCCCAGGAGGTCGAGGCTGCAGTGTGTTACGATTGCGCCACTGCACTCCAGCTTGGGCAACAGAGTGAGACCCTGTCTCAAAAAATAAAAAAGATATTTAGCAGCACTCCTGGCCTCTTTACCATTAGATCCTAGTAGCACCCCTTCCCCAGTCCTAACGATCAAAAATGTCTCACAGGGGCAAAATTGCCCTCGGTTGAGAAGCAGTGGTCCAAACCCAGCTTCAGGGACATCTTTCTCACACACACACACACACACACACACACACACACACACACACACTCATTTACAGTCTCATGGAGCAATTTAACCTTACATCAAATCAGTTGGTTGCTCAAGAGTCAGTAAACCCTCCTAACCTGGGAACTGATTAAAAGCAGATATTCAGCAGTACCCATCACTGGGCCTGGCATGTTCTAGAAGCTCAGTAACAGTTCACTGAACAAATGCCCAGTACTGTGCAAAGAACATCGGGTGTAAAATGGGAACATGTAACTGGGGAAACAAAAATACAAGGTATGGACTAAAATCCAAAGCTCTTCTGTTGGCCAAACTGTAGGCAAAACACGTCGCCCCAAACCCGGCCGGTGGGAATGCAAAATAAGACCAGTTATACGAGGGAATTTGGCCACATCTAGCATTCACTCATTGGCCCAGAAATTCCACTTCTAGGAATCTGTCCTAAATATACACTGGCAAAAATAGAAAATCATATTTGCATGAGGTTATGCATTGTGGCATTCTTCTAGTTCCAAGAGATTGGAAACCCTCCAAATGCCCATCAATAGGGCTCTGGTTGAATAAACACAGCAGAGTCACATGGTAGACTGCTATGCAGCTGTGAAAAGGAACATGAAGGGCTCCGGTGTGCTGAATGGGGGAATCCCTGGGAAATATCGTTAGGTGGGGCAAAAAGTGAACAGTACATACTATGCTTTCTTTCTTTTTTTTTTTTTTTTTGAGACAAGAGTCTCACTCTGTCGCCCAGGCTGGAGTGCAGTGGTACGGTACCGGCTCATAGCAACCTCCACCCCACAGGTTCAAGTGATTCTCCTGCCTCAGCCTCCAGAGTAGCTGGGATTACAGGCATGCACCACCACACTTGGCTAATTTTTGTATTTTTAGTAGAGACTGGGTTTTGCCATGTTGCCCAGGCTGGTCTTGAACTCCTGACCTCAGGTGATCCACCTGCCTCGGCCTCCCAAAGTGCTGGGATTACAGGCATGAGCCACCGTGCCTGGCCGCTATGCTTTCTTTTGATAGAAGAAAGGGAGAAAATATTACACATATTTTGTTATATTTGCAAAAAGCAATGCTGGAGGGATAAAGGAAGAACTAACTCTTAAAATGGTTCCTGAAGGTAGGGGAGAGGGAACAAGAGGGAAAATACATTTTGGAAAAACAATCGCAATAAAGATGGTTAGGTTTGTTTCACTAAGATGGAAAGGTATCCAGAATATTATTAAATAAAAAGAGGTAAGTTGAAGCCCCAGTGTGTGCTTGTCAATTTTTAATTTTATTTTTAAATTTTATTTATTTATTTATTTATTTTTGAGACAGAGTATTGCTCTGTCACCCAGGCTGGAGTGCAGTGGCATAATCTTGGCTCACTGCAACCTCAGCCTCCTGGGTTTAAGCGATTCTTGTGCCTCAGCCTCTGGAGTAACTGGGATTCCAGACACTTGTGACCATGCCTGGCTAATTTCTTTTGTCTTTGTCTTTGTTTTGTTTTGTTTTTAGTAGAGATGGGGTTTCACCATATTGCCCAGGCTGGTGTCAAAATCCTGGCCTCAAGTAATCCACCTGCCTCAGCGTCCCGAAGTGATGGGATTACAGGTGTGAGCCACCGCGCCTGGCCATTTTTTAAACTTGTATTTGTAATCTTAGAAAATGTGGGCAGTGGGGCTGGGCATGGTGGCTCACACCTGTAATCCCAGCACTTTGGGAGGCGAGGCGGGCAGATTGCTCGAGGCCAAGAGTTCGAGACCAGCCTGGCCAACATGGTGAAACTCTGTTTCTACTAAAAATACAAAAATTAGCAAGGCATGTTGGTGGGCGCCTGTAATCCCAGCTACTCGAGAGGCTGAGGCATGAGAATCACTTGAACCCGGGAGGCAGAGGTTGCAGTGAGCCAAGATCATGCCA
Organism: Homo sapiens; assembly: GCF_000001405.40. Taxonomy (NCBI): domain Eukaryota; kingdom Metazoa; phylum Chordata; class Mammalia; order Primates; family Hominidae; genus Homo; species Homo sapiens. The sequence continues at coordinate 129,717,657 of NC_000009.12, forward strand.
CTGTACTCCAGCCTGGAGGACAGAACAAGACTCCGCCTCAAAAAAAAAAAAAAAAAAAGAAAAAGAAAAAAGAAAGAAAATGTGGGGAGTGGGATAGGGGAGGGGAGAGTATTTTGTTTTACTTTATACCCATCTGTGTTGTTTGAATCTGTTACTGTGACAAGCAGTGTGATTACTTGGTTATTAAAATACACATTTTTAATGAGAAAAAATCAGATACAAAAGAAGTGCTGAACCGGCAGCATTAGTTGATTCTAAGTGCTGGAGGGAAGGGGGTTTGGTTCCATGTGGACTCAGGTGATCAGGGAGGGCCCCCTGGAGGAGTGGACAATAGGCTGAGCCCTAGAGGATGAAGGGTCAGAGGTGCCCTTGGATAAGGTTTAAATGTGGAAATAGTAGCTGGACGCCCCCCCACCCCCTCCCCCAAGGTACAGGCTGGGCCCAGAGGTTGCCACTCCAGGACCTCCCCAGGGTTCTGCTGGGCCCTCCTTACCAGAGCTGCTAGTTCTGTACCACAGGCCAGCACCACCCTCGGTCAGGTCCCCTGCTGGGATCCTCCACCGCCCCTGCTGGGCCTTGGCTGGACACCCTCCCTCACTCTCTAACTGATTGGAGAACTCTTGGGGATCCTTCAAACCCTTTGCAAGCTCCACCTCTCCTGAGGGGCCTCCCCGGCCAGCTCCTCATCCCCACCAGAGCTGAGCATCCTCCCGTGCCCTGGCCCACACCTGCCCTGACCCACCCCACGGCCCCACCAAAGCTTATTCGGGGCCTGCCTCCCCTGCCGATGGATCCCTCTGGTTGGTCTCTCCCCGGCCCCCAGTACAGCCTCTGGCCTAGTAGGCCCTCTGGAAAGGAAGGCTGCTCTCAACAGCTGCCTGATTGGCTAAAAAGGAGAAGATGAGGACTCTCGTACCCGATTGGTGGGTTCAGATCCTTCCACCAACAATGACTCCACTGGGACCTTGAACTTGGGCCCGAGACCATAGCCTCTCTGACTCTTCCTCCTTAGGAATGATGAGGATCACGACATCTGTCTTTAGGGCTCCTGGGAGCTTCCTAGAATCTGTGGGTCCTGAGCCTTGACTCCCACTGCTCTTTATGACATATTAATTATTATTATTATTACATGTCAGCAACAGGTGTCCATGCAGAATGTGCCATGCCCCACAGCCTGGGCCGGGTGCTGGGGACACTCAGGTGTCTCCTGAGCCCTCCTTGAGCAGGTCACTTGTCCCTGGTGGAAGGGACACCTGTCCCCAGGGCTCTTGCCGTGGTCCCATCTCAGTTGGCTCAGACTGGGGTTTCCACAGGGCAGGGGTGTGGCTGCTTTTGTTCTCCGTTATCTCCCCGGAGTCTAGCACTGGGCCTGCCACACAGGTGCTCAGTAAATACGTGTTGAAGAGTGAATGGATGGGTGGATGCCAGAAGGAAGGAATGAGGGAGTGAATTAAAGGGACGCATTCCTGGCGGCGGCACTAAAGCACTCAGAGCAAACTGCAGAGTTGGGGGCTGAACTGTGACTGTAGCCACTGGCCGTCCTGCTGACCATCCCGCCCCCCCAACCTCCGCAGGTGAGTGTCCCAGCCCGGGGCGCGGTAGCGCCGCCAAGCGGAAGAAGAAGCAGCGGCGGAACCGCACCACGTTCAACAGCAGCCAACTGCAGGCGCTGGAGCGCGTGTTCGAGCGCACGCACTACCCCGACGCCTTTGTGCGCGAGGAGCTTGCCCGGCGCGTCAACCTCAGCGAGGCGCGCGTTCAGGTGAGCGCTCAGTCCCGGGCCTCCCGTGGGAGCGTGCGCGTGGGAGCGCACAGCCACTGTTCACCCGGGATTACACAGTTGCCCAGGAGGGGTGTTTGAGCAGGAGCATCTGAGGCCAGGAGGACGGGGGTTCAGATCCCAGCCCTGCCACTTACTGGCTGTGTGCCCTTGAGCAAGTGACTTAAGCTGTCTGTGCTGCAGGCACCTGCCTACCTGGAAAATGAGGATCACGTAGGTCTTTGCTATAGGGGTCCTTCGAGGATTAGAGTTAAAATTTTCATAAAGCGGCCAGGCACAGTGGCTTATGCCTATAATCCCAGCACTTTGAGAGGCCGAGGTGGGTGGATCACTTGAGGCTAGGAATTTGAGACCAGCCTGGCCAACATAATGAAACCCCATCTTTACTAAAAGTACAAAAATTATCCGGGCGTGCTGGCGCGCGCCTGTAATCCCAGCTGCTTGGGTGGCTGAGGCAGGAGAATCGCTTGAACTCGGGAGGTAGAGGTTGCAGTAAGCTGAGATTGCGCCACTGCACTCCAGCCTGGGTGACAGAGTGAGACCCTGTCTCAATAAATAAACAAACAAACAAACAAATAAAAATAAATTTTCGTAAAGCGCTTAGAACAATGCCTGGCACCAAGGGTTCTGATAAAGAAGTCCTTTTCCAGTTTCAAGTTCTTAACTCTGTGCCAGCACTGAGCCGAGTGCTCAGCAAGCGCCTCTCCCCGCGAGTCCTCAGCAAGCGCCTCTCCCCGCGAGTCCTCAGCAAGCGCCTCTCCCCGCGAGTGCTCAGCAAGCCCCTCTCCCCGCGAGTGCTCAGCAAGAGCCTCTCCCCCCGAGTGCTCAGCAAGCGCCTCTCCCCCCGAGTGCTCAGCAAGCGCCTTTCCCCGCGAGTGCTCAGCAAGCACCTCGCTCCCAGTGGCCGAGTGCCTCTCCATTCGTTCTCATTCTCCAACACATTCTCCATTCATTCTCCATTCATTGGTGTTCTCAATCTCCAACACATACCCAGCAGCAGGCGTCATTTGTCATCCCCATTCTACAGATGAAAAAACTGAGGGTCAGAGAGGTGACGCTGCCAGCCCTGGGCTGGTGACAGAGCAGGCACACACCCAGGTCCAGAAGGACTTGGGTCCCCCCTGCCCATGCTGCACCCTGCTCACCCTCCCACCCACAGGTCTGGTTTCAGAACCGCCGCGCCAAGTTCCGCAGGAATGAAAGGGCCATGCTGGCCAGCCGCTCTGCCTCGCTGCTCAAGTCCTACAGCCAGGAGGCCGCCATCGAGCAGCCCGTGGCTCCCCGGCCCACCGCCCTGAGTCCAGATTATCTCTCCTGGACAGCCTCGTCCCCCTACAGGTGAGAGCGGGAACACCTTTGGGCCAGGAAGGGGCAGCTCGAGGAATCCCAGAGGGCTTTTCCGGCCTGGACTCCTCTGAGGGTCTGGAGAGAGCTTGAATGGTGTCCACGCGCCCCTGGGATCTGGGGTACACCAAGTGATGTGTGGCGAGTGTGCCTGTGAGTGGGTGTTCACGAGCACCTGCACGTGCATGTTGTAAGAGTTGGCATGTGTGTGTGTGTCAACGTACATGTGGGCACACATGACTGTGAGTGTGCATGCACATGCCTGCGTATGCAAAGGAGCGTGCAAGCATGCGTGTCCACAGGGGTGTGAGTGTGTGCGTGAACACCTGGAGCCGGGAGAAAACAGGCCTATCTGGAGGGGGAGCAAAGTACAGGCATCACCCTGAGGGAGTAGAAAACCTGCAGGAAGATTCCTAGGCTGTCACGGGGGCCCCAGCGCCCTGTGTCCACCCTCCAGACGAGAAACTGACGCTGGGAGGGCTGAGGAAATGGTCTCCCTGGCCTGCGGGCATGGCTGGGGCCCAGAGCCAAGTTCTGGGGCAGTTTTGTCTGGATCAAAGCTGGAAAGACTCTGACATGGTCGGCAGGAGGTGCTCGAGAGTCGGGCCACCATACCCCACAGCTCCAGAGGCGCCGTCTGCTCCTTGGGCTGTGAGGGTGGCTCTGCTGGAGCCATGGTCATGTGGGGGGACAGGGATTTCGTGGGTCCGCTTGAGGGTTCTTAGTCCTCACCGCCCTCCTAACTTCCCTCCCTATTCATCGTTACAGGGGGCAGGAAAACCAAGGGGCATCCTTATTTATTTATGTATTTATTTTTGAGACAGAGTCTCGCTCTGTCACCCAGGCTGGAGTGCAGTGGTGCAATCTCGGCTCACTGCAACCTCCGCCTCCCAGGCTCAAGCAATTCTCCTGCCTCAGCCTCTTGGGTAGCTGGGATTACAAACGCCCGTCACCACGCCAAGCTAATTGTTTGTATTTTTAGTAGAGACAGGGTTTCAACATGTTGGCCAGGCTGGTCTCGAACTCCTGATCTCAGGTGATCCGTCCACTTCGGCCTCCCAAAGTGTTGGGATTACAGGCGTGAGCCACCACGCTTGGCCCCAAGGGGCATCCTTAAATCCAGGTGCCTGTTCATTCTGCCTCCATCCTGCTGAGAGCCAGGCCCAGGGTACGCATGGAGGGGGGCATGGACCAACCCAGGCCCTGCTGTCAGGAAGCTCATGGCTCATATGGAGGCTCCTGTGTCCCAGCACTGAGCTGGGGGGACTTCTGACTCCTGCCCAAACCCTACAGCTCCAAATCACCCCCAGTCCTGGGTGAAGGCTGCCCAGGAGAGCAAGCTAAGGAGGGGGGTGGCAGGACCAGAGGCTGGGGTCGAGCACTGATACCCAGAAGCCAACCGCACCCATGTGACCTGTGTCTCATGTCGCCCCCAGCACAGTGCCACCCTACAGCCCTGGGAGCTCAGGCCCCGCAACCCCAGGGGTCAACATGGCCAACAGCATCGCCAGCCTCCGTCTCAAGGCCAAGGAGTTCAGCCTGCACCACAGCCAGGTGCCTACGGTGAACTGAAGTCCAGTCCCACCAGGACCCAGACGCCTCCCTGGGTGGACAGCAATAGAAAAGGGGGCAGACGCCCAGGAAGTGACCTTCTCCTGGATGAGCTCTCCTGGCCCGTCTGTCCAGCCTGGACTCCCGAGCCCACGAGGCTGTTGAGGCCCCTGCAGCCGGGCCCAGCTCTTCTGTCCTTGGCCACCAGAGACTGCAGCCCACAACCCTTGGAGGGGTTGGGCCGGAAGGTGGAAGAGCCTGCCAAGGACCTCATTTAGTTTGTGTATTAAAACCAAAAAGCTTTTGTCTTTAAGAAATAAAACCATTTTTTTAAGCCCCAAAAGGTTGCAGGAAGGTGGGTAAGGGCCGCAAACAATGTTGGTGGCTGAGATGAGAGCTGGGACCCCACAGGGCTGGATGGCCTTCCTGGGCCCTTTTCTGGCCTGCAGCAGGCATGGAGACCGCCTCGGCCTGGCTCAGACCAGCAGCCATGGGAGGCCCACTGCCCTCATATCTGTACTGTTCCCGGGAATGAAGTCCTCTGTCACCCTGCAGGGCCCCCAGAAATGGGGGCTGGGGGGGTGGGAGAGGAGGACAGAAACCCACCCTAGACCCCATCTCCCATCTTGAGTCCCAAGGGGACACCCAGATGTTTGGGCAGAGCCTTGCTGTGTGAACCTGGGCAGGGATCGTCTCCCCATCCTATTGCGGGGCAGGATGGGTGATCATGGATTCCTAGACTGGCCAGAGGGTGTGTGGGACAGATGGAAGGACATTCAGTCCCTTGCTTCTGGGCACACAGAAGGCGTGGGATCTCTCCGGCCATTTAACCATGAAGGGGCTGAGGAAATGGCCCAGAAAACAGGTGCAGACTGTAGGTCCCGGCCAGGCTCCCAGGACAGCTGAGGCCAGCAGAAGACTCAAGTCCCTCAACCCACCCATTTGCAGCCAGTAACTGAGGGTGCCACCAGCCAGTGACACCACTTACGAGGGATCTGCAGAAAACAGGGGTGAGGGATGGTCTGAGGCCAGTCCCTCTACCTGTCCCCACGCCCACCAGGGAAGTCAGGAGAGCCTTTCTGCTCAAAGTCACCCCAGTCCAGCCCCCGGGAGGTAGGACAACACTCCCCCATCCCAGAGGGCACAAAGACGGTCAGCCCTGGGCAATGGTGGTGGGAACCCTGGCCCTTGGGGTGGCGGGGTGGCAGATGGCACAGCAAGGAATCTCGATGGAGTCAATGAGCTGGGCCAGTTCTCCAGTATCCCGCCCTGCCCATGCAGGGTCACCATGCCCCTAAAGTGCCAGCCATGGGGCTCCACACATGAGTAGTCTGCACGGGGACAACCTACTTTCTTTTTCTTTCTTTCTTTCTTTCTTTCTTTCTTTCTTTATCTATCTATTCTATTTTTTTGAGACGGAGTGTTGCTCTGTCGCACAGGCTAGAGTGCAGCAGCACGATCTCAGCTCACTGCAACCTCCGCCTCCAGGGGTTCAAGCAATTCTCCTGCCTCAGCCTCCCAAGTAGCTGGGATTACAGGCGTCCGCTGCTACGCCCAGCTAATTTTTTGTATTTTTAGTAGAGATGGGGTTTCGCCATGTTGGCCAGGCTGGTCTTGAACTCCTGACCTCAGGTGATCCACCCACCTCAGCCTCCAAAAGTACTAGGATTACAGGCGTGAGCCACTGTGCCTGGCCCCCACTTTAGTTAGAAGGTACAGCAGCTACACTTGTGAATAAAGTGAGGACCATCTCCCACCTGCCCCCAATACACCCCTGAATACTCTTCCCCATACTCCATCCGGATTTCCACCACAGAACGTGGCCCCTTCAGATGTGCAAACACACCTGGGGAAGAGTGACCGCCCGGTCGCTGTGTGACTTCTTCCTTCGGTGGCTGGACGGCTTCCTCCCTGGCCGCAGCAGGGCCTCTGACCAGCAGGAGAGCCTGGGGCACCAGTGGGGGCTGGGGTGGAGGGGAGGGGGAGTTCTGCTGAGGTCTACAGCTGCTCAGCCCCACCTGACTGTGAGGGCCAGGCCTGTGCCCTGGACTGGGGGAGGAGGGGGAGTCAGATTTGTGTTTTCTGGCTCAGTTTGGCCTCTGCCTCGGGTAAGTGCTTTCTGGACCTCCATTTGCCATTCTTGCACTGAGAAAATATTATGAAACGCAAGGTTCCTGGCCGCAGAGGCTGCGCCATGCTATGAGGAGGCAAAGACAAAGGAATAATTACAGCACCACTAAGGCTATGAGGGGGTGCTGCAGGGGCCCAGGGAGCACAGACGGGGCCCCAAACCTTGTTGAAGGCATCTGGGCAGGCTTCCTGGAGGAGGTATGCCTGAGAGGATGAAGAGTTCACCAAAGAGGGGGGAGGGGCAACGGTGTTTCTGGCTGAGGGGACTGCATGAGTGTAGCCCTGGGGCAGGCCAGAAGCTTCTCTTTGGGCCAGTGGGAGCTGTTCCCGGGCTGGATCTCCTGGTGCCGGGTGAAGGTGGAGAGGAACAGGAACTGGCTCAAACGAGGTTTGTGTGGCCGGGACTAGATGTTTGGATGTCACCCTGTCTGTGGGGAGCCATGGAGGGGATTTGCTTGGTGGAGGGACGTGCCCTGAGCCTCCATGAGGAAGAGGGACCGTGGGCTAAGAGTGAAGGAGACAGCCCCTTGCGGAGGCCAGGGCGGGTGTCCAGGTGGGAGGGGCTGTGGCCTGGGCCAGATGGGGACAGAGTTGGTGGAGCTGGGAGATGTTTCGGATGCAGCAAAAAAAAAAAAAAAAAAAAAAAAACAGGAATTGGTGACTTGGTGATGGGCTGGGGAGACTGGGAGCCTTCAAAGCCAGTTTGCAGACTGGGCACGTTGGCTCACGCCTGTAATCCCAGCACTTTGGGAGGCCGAGGCGGGCAGATCACTTGAGATCAGGAGTTCGAGATCAGCCTTGCCAACACGGTGAAACCCCGTCTCTACTAAAAATACAAAAATTAGCCAGGCGTGGTGGGGCACACCTGTAATCCCAGCTACTCGGGAGGCTGAGGCAGGAGAATCACTTGAACCCAGGAGGTGGAGGTTGCAGTGAGCCGAGATCAGGCCACTGTACTCCAGCCTGATAGAGTGAGATTCTGCCAAAAAAAAAAAGCTGGTTTGGGGTTAGACACACAGGAGTGACCAGGAAGAAGAGATCCTGGCCATGGGACTTGCCTGGTGGAAGCCTCTGGAAGATGCAGGCCTGTCCTCCCACCCAGACAAGAGCTGGGGTCCAACCTGGCTTGAGTGTCCTCCTAGGCACAAAGCTTGCTCCCTTTCCCCATCTGGGGGATCTGTGCCCGCATTTGGTCCAGAGCATGGGGGCCCAGAGCAGAGCACTCACGGGCAGCCGGGAAGAGCAGGCTGTTTTCCCCCAGGAAGCACTAACCTGGGAGCTCGTGAGTGGACAGACCCCCCAACCCAGGCCCCTGGCCAGTGCTCCAGGCCTGGTGCAGGCATCTCAGGCCTTTCTACTTTTCAACCCAAAGGGAGGGCACCCTGAAGAATCGCCAGGCTGAGGCTGCCTGTGCAGTGATGAGGTCACACCAGGTGGGGGCCTGGGAGGCCAGTCCCAGGAAGGCCAGCTTCAGAAAAAAACGGGGACCTTCCCACGGAGGTGCTGGCCTTGCCGTTGGACCATGAGGATGTTAATGTCACTTCCTCCGAACGCTCTAGAGAAAACAAACCAGCTTAATCGTTTACACATGCTGCTCCGGGAAGCTGAGGGAGGGGTCGAGGCAGCCCTCCCTATAAAAGAGAAAATATTCAAACACTGCTGTCGCTATTGTAGCCCTAATTGCAGGGCTGTGTGGGCAGCTTCCTGGGCACCCATCCCAGGGTATCATTTTTCCATGAGGACAAGGTACCTAAGGCCCTGCCCTGGGCTGAAGAACTTGCTGCCTTTGCCCATTTGGCCAAGTGAGCTTGAGTTTGGGAGAGGGCATTGCGTGTCTCTGCTTTTATTTTTTTTTATGTGAAATAAAAGAACTTGAGAGAGAAAGGGAGGGGGAAGGAGAGAGAGAGATTGAAGGAAAGACAGTCAGCTCTTGCAAAAACCCAAACCAGAGAAATAAAGACTAGAGTTTCTGGTCCTGTGACCCTGGACAAGGCACTTCTCGGGGACTTGGTTTCCTTGTCTGTAAAATGGGGATAATTACAGAACCCACTGCATAGGGTTGTTGGCACAAAGTTCCCGCCCATAAATGGGTGCCTCAGTGTTTACGGTGGAGGAGCACAGGGTGAGGGATGGAGTTTGAGAAAATATACGTACTCCCCTTCCTGGGGTGAAATGGCACTTTCTCTGTCCAGAGACCCGGCATACCCGGTCCAGAGGCTCTTCCCCCGTTCCTTTGATGTCCACTAGCCTTAGGAGCCCCAGCTGGGGACCCAAATCAACTTGGTACCTCCGGCTCCTGCACCTCTGCTTCTCGCCCCTGGGGGGCGCCGTGGGGCCGCTGCAGGGCCCTGGACTGGGTTCCCGCGATGTGGCCGCACACACCCCATCCTCTCCGCTCTCCTGGGAGATCTCCAGGGCTGGCAACGGGCTCCTGACCCAGCCTCCTCTGGAAAGACAAAGAAACAAGCAAATCCCAAACCACCAGCAGGGGTTACAGCGTTTACAGAAGCCTTAGGAAACAGGAACCAACAGCCGTGAAGATATTCACATGCTTTCCCCCAGCAAACCCGTCTCTAAGCTCTACTTTGAAAAATAATCAAAATCTCAAAATCGGGGGGCGGGGGAAGCAATGTGCACATCAGTGTTTATCACATATTTTATACGTGCAATGTAAAAAATCTGGAAAGACACAAGCCAAAATGTGAGTAGCTTAATTTTTTTTTTTTTTTTTTTTTTGAGACTGAGTCTCACTCTGTCACCCAGGCTGGAGTATGGCACAACCTCGGCTCACTGCAACCTCCACCTCCCTGGTTCAATTGGTTCTACTGCCACAGGCTCTCGAGTAGCTGGGACTACAGGCCTGCGCCACTATACCCAACTAACTTTTTGTATTTTTAGTAGAGACAGGGTTTCACCATGTTGGCCAGGCTCGTCTCAAACTCCTGACCTCAGGCAATCCACCTGCCCGGGCCTCCCAAAGTGCTGGGATTATAGGGCTGAGCCGCTCTGCCAGGCCAATTAGCTTAAATTTTATGGTGACTCACAATCCACGAGTCTCCATATTTTTAAAATAACTTTATAGAAAAAACAATCTTTAAAAAGAAAGCAGGCCAATGTAACAGCCTCGAGTACATAATAAGGTCTTCAAAGGTTAAAAAAAAATGTGCTTTTGGCTGGGACTGGTGGCTCACACCTGTAATCCCAACACTTTGGGAGGCCGAGGCGGGCGGATAACGAGGTCAGGATTTTGAGACCAGCCTGGCCAGCATGGTGAAACCTCGTCTCTACTAAAAATACAAAAATTAGCCAGGCGTGGTGGCGCACACCTGTAGTCCCAGCTACTCAGGAGGCTGAGGCAGGAGAATTGCTTGAATCCGGGAGGCGGAGGTTGCAGTGAACTGAGATCATGCCACTGTACTCCAGCCTGGGTGACAGAGTGAGACTCCGTCTCAAAAAAAAAAAAAGTGCTTTCTTCCCTGTGTTTTGTGTCCCCCTGGTGCCTCACACAGAGCTAGATGTGTCCTCTGGATACTTGCTGGTCAGTGGAGGTACTGGAAACAGTGTGTTTGAGAACATCTGTCTCCCAGGCTGGAGTGCAGTGGTGAGATCCTTGCTCACTATAACCTCAAACTCTTGGACTCAAGTGATTCTCCCGCTCTGGCCTCTCCAACTGCTGGGATTACAGGTGTGAGCCACTGCGTAATGGCTCTCCAAGAACTTCTTAATTCTTAGTTCACACCTTAGAAAAAGTGGGAATGGATTGAGCTTGGGATATAAGGCAGTCAGGAATGAGCACCTTGAAATCAGAAGGGGGACTCAAAAGAGAGACGGTGTGGCAGATACAATTCTAACATGGCCCTGCCAGCCGGGCGCAGTGGCTCACACCTGTAATCCCAGCACTTTGGGAGGCCGAGGCAGGCAGATCACCTGAGGTCAGGAGTTTGAGACCAGCCTGGCCAACATGGCATCTCTACTAAAAATACAAAAAATTAGCCGGGCACAGTGGCGCACACCTGTAATCTCAGCACTTTGGGAGGCCAAGGCAGGCAGATCACCTGAGGTCAGGAGTTTGAGATCAGCCTGGCCAACATGGCATCTCTACTAAAAATACAAAAAATTAGCCAGGCGTGGTGGCACACACCTGTAATCCCAGCTACTCGATAGGCTGAGGCAGAAGAATCGCTTGAACCCGGGAGGTGGAGGTTGCAGTGAGCCAAGATCACACCACTGAACTCCAGCCTGCACTGCAGAGCAAGACTCCGTCTCAAAAAAAAAAAAAAAAAAAAAAGATGGCCCTGTGATTCCCACCCCAGGTAGTCCCACCTTTGTGTAATCCCTTCTCCTTGAGCGGAAACTGTGGCTTGTTTCTGACAAATAGAGTGCGGCAAAGGTGAAAGGATTTTTCAGATGTAATTAAGGTCTCCACTCAGTTGACGCTGATGTAAGCAAAAGGAAGATTCTCCCTGGTGGGCCTGACCTAATCAGGCGAGCCTTTTGAAAGATCCAGGTTGTCCCTGAAAGAAGAGATTCCAAGCAGACAGCCACTTTCCTGCTGAGCTGGAAGACGCAAACAGCTATGCTGTGAAGTGCCTGCGGAGGGGGAGGCCGCCAGGAGCTGAGGGCTTCAGTTTCAGAACCACAAGGAGCCCAATTCTGCCTACAATTCAAACAAGCTTAGAAGAAGACACTGAGCTTCAAGTGAGACTCAGCCTGGATGACACCTCGATTGCAGCCCTGGGAGGTCCTGAGCACAGCACCAAGCTGAGCCTCGCCCAGACTCCTGACCTACAGGAACTGTATGATCGTAAGCGTGTATAGTTTTAAACTGGCAACTTGTTACACAGCCATAAAAAACTAACACAGGTGGGAATGAAGCTTGAAAGTTTACCTTGGCTGGTGCGGTAGCTCACACCTGTAATCCCAGCACTTTGGGAGGCCGAGACGGGAGTATCACCTGAGGGTCAGGAGTTGGAGACCAGCCTGGCCAATAAGGTGAAACCCCGTCTCTACTAAAAATACAAAAATTGGCCAGGCGTGGTGGTGCACACCTGTAATCCCAGCTTCTCCAGAGGCTGAGACAGGAGAATTGCTTGAACCCGGGGGGGCAGAGGTTATAGTGAGCCGAGATTGCCCCATTGCATTCTTGCCTGGGCGACAGAGCAAGACTCTGTCTCCCCCCCGCAAAAAAAAAAAAAAAAAAAAGAAAGAAAGAAAAGAAAGTTCACCTTGAGCTTGGCCTCCCTTGGCCCACGGGACACCCAGGGAACCCCCAGACCTGCCACAGAGCAGACTGGATGGTAGGCCCCTGCTCTAATTACCTGCCAGTCCACAGTAAACAGCCTCTTGTCTTATTTATCTCCTTCCTGGCCATTCTGCACAGTCAACAGGCCAGTTGTCTAAAACACAGCCTTGATCACGGATCATGTCTCTTCCCTGCCTAGAGCCTCCCTTGGCTCCCCAGGGCCCTTGCAGCAAAGATCAATCACCCAGGCCAGGTGTCTACAGTGCCACCATCCAACCTTAACCCCGCCTCGTCCCTACCCAGATTTTTTTTTTTTTTTGAGACAGAGTTTCGCTCTTGTCACCCAGGCTGGAGTGCAATGGCACAATCTCGGCTCACTGCAATCGCCACCTCCCAAGTTCAAGCGATTGTCCTGCCTCAGCCTCCTGAGTAGCTGGGACTACAGGCACCTGCCACCACGCCTGATTCATTTTGTATTTTTAGTAGGGACAAGGTTTCACCATGTTGGCCAGGCTGGTCACAAACTCCTGGCCTCAGGTGATCCGCCCGCCTCAGCCTCCCAAAGTGCTGGGATTACAGGCGTGAGCTGCTGCACCTGGCCAGATTCTTCAGACAATCCTAACAATTCGGTCCCCTCTTTCCATTGTATCCCTCCTCCCTGTCTCCCTGTAGCAACAGCTTCCCATCCAACCCCTTTGCCAGCAAAAATCCACTCCAATGAGGTTACAATGTAGTGTCACCTTTTAAATTTTTTTTTATTTATTATTATTATTATTTTGAGACATGGCCTCACTCTGTCACCCAGGCTGAAGTGCAGTGGCATGATCTGGGCTCACTGCAACCTCCGCCTCCTGCCTCAGCCTCGCAAGTACCTGGGACTACAGGCATGCGCCACCACACCCAGCTAATTTTTGTATTTATTTTTCGAGATGGGGTTTCACTATGTTGCCCAGTCTGGTTTCGAACTCCAGTCTCAAATGATCCACCCACCTGGGCCTCCCAAAGTGCTGGGATTACAGGCGTGAGCCACTGCGCCTGGCCAAGTTCAATTCTGGACAGTCAGCAAACATAATAAAAAATATATATAACTCCGTGTTATAATTTTATATTTGGAAAATGGAAAAAAAAAGCCCTAGTTTCATAATTCAAACTTCTAAAAGTGAAGCTACTCAAACTCTTCTTGGCTGGTGTAGATACTGAGGGGGCAGCCACCGTCAGCTGGGTGGCCTCAAACCTGCATCTCTAGGGACCATCACAATAACATCATCAAAAGGGGCTTAGAGGTGGAGAAACACTGCCTACCTCCCAGGCTCACTCTCTCTTTTAGATATATATATCCACATATATCCATATGACATTATATATGTTTAACATGCATAGTAAAAGAATCTGGAAAGTCATAAACGATAATGTGACCAGTGACTTTTTACAGGGAGGTGGGATTCTGGGTGGTCCCTATTCTTTATATATATACTTGTAAATTTCTCTACTTAGGTACTAAAAATTGACAACACTCTAAAAAATCCTGTCCAAATTGGAACCATCTTTTTGGAGGACAATATGTACTACACGTCCCAAACAGACATGCCTTTTTGACCCAGCAGTTTTACTTCTAGAAACATATTTTAGGAGGGGCACAGTGGCTCACGCCTGTAATCCCAGCACTTTGGGAGGCTGAGGCAGTAGGATCGCTTGTGTCCAGGAGTTTGAGACCAGCCTGGGCAACATAGCGAGACCTTGTCTCTACAAAAAAGTCAAAAAATTGGCCAAGTGTGGTGGTGCATGCCTGTGGTCCCAGTTATTTGGGAGGCTGAGGTGGAAGGATCACTTGAGCCCAGGAGGTCAAGGCTGCAGTGAGCTATGATTGTGCCACTGCACTATAGCCTGGATGACAGAGCAAGACCCTGTCTTGGAAAGAAAGAAAGAAGAAAGAAAAGAAAAGAAAGGAAGGGAGGGAGGGAAAGAAGGAAAGAAAGAAAAGAAAAGAAAAGAAAAGAAAAGAGAGACGGGGAGGGAGGGAGGGAAGGGAGGAAGGAAAGAAAAGGAAGGAAGGAAGGGAGAGAAAGAAACATACTTTAACGAAATGGCTGTGAGGTAGGAGGTGGGACTCAACTCTGGAGGTGGGGCTCAGACACCGGACCAATTGAGGACTAGCCAAAACAGGGACGGGGGCAGAAGCAGCTTTCCATACCACAGATCACCAGTGTGCCATGTCAGTTTACTATCGCCATGGCAACACCCAGGAGTTACCCCCCATTTCCATGGCAATGACCCAACAACCCAAAAGTGACTACCCCTTCCCTAGAAATTTCTGCATAAACTGCCCCTTAATCTACATTAATTAAAATATAATTAAAAGTAGGTATAAATATGTCCGCAAAACTGCCCTGAGCTGCCCCTCTCTACCTGTGGGGGTAGCCCTGTTCTGCAGGAGCAGTCACGGAGCTGTGACACCGTTGCTTCAATAAAGCTGTTTTCTTCTGCTCTACCATGGCTTGCCCTTGAATTATTTCCTGGGCAAAGCCAAGAACCATCACGGGCTAAGCCTTGCTTTGAGGCTCGCCTGTCCTGCATCCGCTGTGCACAGAGATTGATGTACGAAGACGCCCATTGAAAGCATGGCATGTGCTCATGCACCCTGATGAATCAATTATCCAACAACGAGGGCTGATTAAATAAATGATGAGGGTCTCCAGGATGATGATGTACCGTGCAAGGGCACTGTCACAGTTCATGCCACTGACCACCGAGACCCCTAGGAGTACATGCAGATGTATGATCAAAGGAAATTCTCAAGCGATGATAAAAAAAGCAAGTCTTAGGTGTCTCTTCAAGGCTGTGAGCCCCGAGCACAGACAGCACTCACCGCTGTGACACACTGGCGTCTCCCCGATGCTGAGAAGCCCTCTGTAAATATCTTTTGCTGTGGAATTCCATCCTGAATATAGTCTTCAATTTGGTCCGGTGGGGGAAAAAACAACCTGAACCTCCCTGTGGCCCTCTGCTTGTATCCACACACACGTGCATGTACACACTCATCATTCACATCCGTTTCTTCACTTAACATATCTTCCCCAGGAGCCGGGGACACAGGCACGGCAGAGAACGGCACAGACCGAAATCCCGGTGCCCCTCAAGTGCACATCCTAGGGGGACACGGGCAATGAGATAAAGACACAGAAGGTAAAGGGGGTCTGCACACTGACGACCTCGAGGTACCTTGCTGGCCTCTTGAGAACTTGGCCTTCCTCCAAGCAGGATCAAAGCCACCTGAGGGCTTCGCACACAGGGGTGATGGGGGCCTCTGACTCTGGGTGGGGAGTGACCGTAAGGGCCCAGGGTAGACTCAGGGATCCAGTCGGGAGGTACTGCAGTGACCCAGGGCCTCACTGCAAGGCGCTTGAACAGGAGTCCCAGAGCGCCCGGAGCCCGGCCTGGGTCAGCCTCCGCATGGTGATTCCTGGAGGGGTTGATGTTTCTCTTGTGAGCTCTTGTGAGCTTTCCTGTAGTTTCTAAACCTGTGACATCGACCATTACTTGCAAGTACATATAATTAACAAGTTCAGAAACTTAAACAAGCCTTTCTTTAAGACAGAGTCTCGCTCTGTCACCCAGGCTGGAGTGCCGTGGTGCGATCTCGGCTCACTTCAACCTCCGCCTCCCGGGTTCAAGCGATTCTCCTGCCTCAGCCTCCTGAGTTGCTGGGATTACAGGCACCCGCCCACCACGCCCAGCTAATTTTTGTTATTTTTAGTAGAGCTGAGGTTTCACCATGTTTGCCAGGATGGTCTCGATCTCCAGACCTCATGATCCGCCCACCTCACCCTCCTAAAGTGCTGGGATTACAGGCGTGAGCCACTGCACACGACCTAATCTTTGTATTTTTAATAGAGATGGAGTTTTGCCATGTTGGCCAGGCTGGACTCGAACTCCTGGTCTCAAATGATCAGCCTGGCTGGGCCTCCCAAAGTGCTGGGGTTGATTTACAGGAGTAAGCCACTGCACCCAGCCTAAAAACATAAACAAGTTTTAATTCAAGCGATGCCTCTCCTGGGAAGCCTGCCTGGATTCTTACCAGCCCCAACAGATAATCCCTCTTTGGACTGCCTTGAATTAGAAACAGTGCAACCTTCCAGCCTGGCCTGCCTGGAAACCTGTTCCCAACCGCAGCATCCTCCCAGGATACACACACAGAGGCCCAGGAATCCCCTCAATCCTGTGGATTCTGCCTTCCCAGGGGGTCCCCAGGTTCGATCCCTGCCTCGCAGACCAGCATCCAAGGCGGTGAACAGCAGGTCCCTCTGTCCACTGTCATCATTGCCTGCCCTCATCCTCACCCTCAAGGTCCTCACGCACCAGGGAGGTTCTCAGAAGCCTTGAGACATTAGACTCATTAACCTGTTTGTCGAGGGAGCCCCAGGAGGTCCTTGGTGGGCCTGTCACGAGAGATGGGGGAGCCCAGGTGGGCAGGGCACAGCTGCCATCACCTGCCATGGGCTTCCTCCTAAGAAGGTGTGTGGGGTGGGAATGAAGGCTTCTGTAACATGAGATCTCACTGACATATCATGAAAAGAGGCCCCCAGATTGCTATCCTGTTCCCTGGGCCTTGGGTCTACATGAATTCCAACTGCTCACTCAGAGCTCGGGAGAAGATGCTCCAGACAGTGGGCCCCAACTAGGGCAGCTTCAGCTTTGCAGGCCTGGACCTTGGCCCCATTCACTGCCCCCAAGAGGAAAAAGTCCTTGCCTGCCTCCCTGAATCGAGGCTCTGGGCCCCCCAGGCTTCTGCTCAGTGCCCTCTGCCCCCTAGACCACAGACAGCCGAGGCCCACCCTTCCCAGTGCCCCCAACTCCAGGGTCAGGAAGGAGGAGACAGCCCCCAGGAGTTGAGCTAAATCTGGGGGGAGTTGGGAGGAAGATGGGCTGCAGGCGTGGGGGGCCACAGGCGTGGGGGATGAGGTCAGGAAGAACCCCGCCAGTGCCTGAGGTCATCTTGCACTCGGTACCAATTCCCACTCTGCCTCTGGTCAGTTCGGAAGATGCGATCAACCATGAGGTGCTTTAGCCAGGCGTGGTGCACACATCTGTGGTCCCAGCTACTCAGGAGGCTGAGGTGGGAGGATTGCCTGAGCCCAGGAATTCAAGGCTGCAGTGAGCTGCAATGGTGCCACTGCTTTCCAACTTGGATGATAGAGCCAGACTCCCCCCGCCCCCATCTGTTAGAAAAAGAAAAGGATGCGGCTGGGCATGGTGGCTCACACCTGTAATCCCAGCACTTTGGGAGGCCGAGGCGGATCATCTGAGTTCAGGAGTTCGAGACCAGCCTGGCCAAGATGGTGAAACCCCGTCTCTACTAAAAATACAAAAATTAGCCTGGTGTGGTGGCGCATGCCTGTAATCCCAGCTACTCGGCAGGCTGAGGCAGGAGAATCGCTTGAACCCAGGAGGCGGAGGCTGCAGTGAGCCGAGATCGTGCCACTGCACTCTAGCCTGGGCTAGAGCAAGACTGTTGTCTCAGAAAAGAAAAAAGAAAACCATGAGATGCCCTCCCTGCCTCGCTGGCCTACTGTGCTCCACTGCTGCCCGGGAGATGGGCCCTGGCCCCCTAGGGCCCTGGCTGTGGAGCCAGAAGACCTCTTCCTGGCCCTCCCCATCCCCGAGGGTTGGGTCTGATCTTGGGTGGGAGCAGCACAGGCCTCCAGGGCCTCCTTCTCTCCCTTAAAAAATTCAATGGGCTCCTCATAGCAGCCCAGACACCATCCTGGGTACTGCCCCTCTCTTCTCTCCCCCGCACCTGGGTCCTCCAGCTCCTGGGCGAGTAGCCAGGGGACTGTCCAAGCCACTGGGGAAGCAAGAGCCATGCCACTGCCCACTGTGTCCACTGCCTGGCTGTCCACACCCCCTGCCCTCCCACGGCAGAGCCAGAGGTCCTCTTAGGAAACAAAGCCAGCCATGCCAAGCCCATCCCGGCGTGACCCACAGCCCCAGACTCCCTGATAAGGGCCAGAGGCTCGTGACCCCACACTGCTGATCCCTTTAGCCCCTCCCACACTTACACCTCATTTCTATGCCCATCTGTCTCCCACCCCCACCTCCCTTCCATACCCACCACTCCCCGACACCCACCCCCAACCCAGCCCAACCCAAGCCTCCCTTCCATACGCACCACTCCCACAACACCCTCACCCACCCCACCCCACCCTGTCTTCCTTCCATACCCCAATCCTCCCCCACACACATCCCCAACACCCACCCCACCCCACCCCTCCCTTCCATGTCCCAATCTTCCCCCACAACCACCCCGACCCCTGCCCCTCCTTTCCATACCCACCCCTCCCCCACACTCATCCCCAACACCCACCCCACCCCTACCCCTCCCTTCCATATCCACCCCTTCTCCACACCCCCCACGCCTCCCTTTCATACCCCATCCCTCCCCCATCCCCACTCCCTCCCCCTACCCCCACGCCCCTCCGTACATCTCCCCTCCACACCATCAACCCTCACACTTTTCCTCCCCAACTTTCCCCACCGCCCTCCACTTCCCAAGCTCAAGGTGGAGGGGTCTGGGGAGAGCTGCTGAGCTCTTCTCTTTGCTCCTTGCTTTCTTGGCTTGGATGGTCCCCTTAAAACCGCTCTTTCACCCCCCACCGCAGGTGAGTTGCCCCCTCCCCAGGCAGCCGCTCCCCAGCAGGGGTTAAAAGGCCCCATCTGCCTCCATCAGGGCGCTGAGCCTTGGGGTCATCACGGGCGCCGTCCTGCGGAGCCCGCCCACCCCAGGCTGGAGCTGCATGCATGGGGACGGGGGGCAGGATGAGGTTGCCACCCCAGCATCGGGCACCACCCCACCCTGAGGAGGCACTCACAAGCCGACAGAACAGGGGCGGTGCCGGGCAGGGGACCTCATGGTCTCGTGGTCTCTGCGGCTCCAGTGTGGTGGGGGCCGCCTCCTTCACCCACGCCCCAGGTTCACAGTATTGCCATGGGCATCCGATGCCCCTGCTCACCTGGGTCCGGTGGGTTCCCAGCAGGTTATTTTGCCCACAGAGCCCCTCTTTCCCCAGGAAGGAAAATATAAATATAAAAGCGCACGCTGCTGTGGCCAGGCACGGTGGCTCACTCCTGTAATCCCAGCACTTTGGGAGGCTGAGGCAGGCAGATCACTTGAGGTCAGGAGTTCGAGACCAGCCTGGCCAACATGGTGAAACCCTGTCTCTACTAAAAATATAAAAATTAGCCGGGTGTGGTGGCACATGCCTGTATGTAATCCCAGCTACTCGGGAGGCGGAGACAGGAGAATGGTTTGAACCTGGGAAGGAGAGGTTGCAGTGAGCCGAGATGGCACCACTGCACTCCAGCCTGGGTGACAGAGTGAGACTCCATCTCAAACAACAACAACAACAACAACAAGAATGCACGCTGGGTTCGCCTCCTGGATGGCCCCTGCCCTGGGATCTGTCCTCCCTCTGGCCTTACACTGTCCGAGCCCAGGGACAGCAGGCAAGTCACCTCTCCCCTGTGAGGAGACACCCCCTACAAGCCTCCTTCCTGTGAACCTTGCCTCTCTCATCTAAAAACCCTCACCTTCCTCATCTAGAAAGCGGAAATCCCTCCTGCCTCGGATTGTTTTGGGGATTTTTTTTTTTTTTTTTTGAGACATTTTCCCTCTGTTGCCCGGGCTGGAGTGCAGTGGTGGGATCTCGGCTCACTGCAGCCTCAACTTCCCAGGCTCAAGCGATCCTCCTGCCTCAGCCTCCCGAGTAGCTGGGACCATAGGCAGGCACCATTACACCCGGCTAATTCTTTTTTTTTTTTTTGGTAGAAAAGGGATCTAGCTCTGTTGCCCAGGCTAGTCTCAAACCCCTGGGCTCAGATCTTCCAACTTCGGCCTCCCAAAGTGCTTGAATTACAGACATAAGTTGGAAAAAAATCCAACTAGTATGCCCAGCCCAACGCTTAGCAAGCAGTAGGTGCTCAATACTGGATCGCGCCCTTCCCGTTTCTCTCCCGAGAGCCGCCGCGGCCCAAAAACAGAGGCGTCCCCTTACCACCAGGGGGCAGTGTTTCCCCTCTCAGCTCCGAACGGGACCCGGGGCCTCACGGCGCTTTCTGGCGGGGCCTGGGGTCCCTGCGCTGCTGGAGAACCCCCGGCACGGCAGGTCCCATCCGTTAGAGGGGCTCCGGCCTCGGGGTGCTGGGAGGGGGCGTTCAGGGAAAGTGAGGCCGTGCAGCACAGGGGCTCCGCCCAGGGACTTTGGCAGCCCCGACTTTCAGACCTGGCCCCGCACTTCCGGGCGCTGGCCTCCTGGAGTCTCCGTGTCCTGGTTGACGGAGCTGATAATGGCAGCCCGCGGGCGGGGCAGCCCCGCAGGGAGGGGTGACCTGGCCGGGGCAGGATTTGGGTGCTCCTGGCTCACCTCGCCAGATGCCACCTTACCCGCCCCAACGGGAGGCAGGAGGCTGCTGCTTGCTGTGTGATTAACACCCAGCCAGGGCGCGTTGGTGTCTGCGCCAGAGATCTTGTCCCGCCAAACTGGCTGTAGACAGTCACCGGCAAGAACGCCCAGCGCGCTGGAGCATCAGGCCAGCTTGGGCAGCAGGGAACACCAGGAACGCGCAACCCAAGACGAGGTGCTGGGCCCAGCTGGCAGACACTTCCATTTAATGACTAAAAATCACACATCTCAGGTCACGGGTCTAGGAGAAAACACACACACACACACACACACACACACACACACACACACACACACACGGATTCCCCATCAAGGGGACATTTGCAGTTTCCAAACCTTGAAGATACTGAAGGGACCAGAAAGTTCCTTTGAGTGGCTGGTCACCCAAAGCTCCCGGTCCTCCACCCACTGCCCTTTGGAGGGACTCAAACCTTGGGAGGAGAAGGCTGAGCTTCCTGTGGGCCCCTCCCACCCACACCTGAGCCAGAGAGAAGACTGCAGCAAAGACATCCAAAGCCAACGGCAAGGGAAGCGTCAGCGGGGGCAGAGGAGCCAGCCCTGTCCTTGGCTCACCCAGCTTCCACCATACAGGAACCCAAGACCCCAGCCTTGCTTCCACAGAGAACTGGCAGGGGTCCCCTGGCCTGGCCATCACAGGGACTCACATGGGAGCCTTTTAAAACTCCAGATGGTGGCTGAGCACAGTGATTCATGCCTGTCATCCCAGCACTTTGGGAGGCCGAGGCCGGTGGATCACTTGAGGCCAGGAGTTCGAGACCCTCCTGGGCAACATGGTGAACCCGTCTCTACTAAAAATACAAAAATTAGCTGGGTATGGTGATACGCGCCTGTAATCCCAGCTACTCAGGAGGCTGAGGCGGGAGAATCGCTTGAACCCGGGAGGCGGAGGCTGCAGTGAGCCAGATTGTACCACTTCACTCCAGCTTGGGCAACAGAGCAAGACTCTGTCTTGGAAAAAAAAAAATACAGATGGCCAGGCTTGCCTCTAGATTGGCTGGGCCAGAATTTCTGGGGTCAGTCTGAAAAGTCTGCATTCTTAGCCCGGGATTCAGATGATCATTAGGTTTGGGAATCTTAAATAGAGTCTCCCTTCTCTCTTTTCACTGTTAGGGAGGGAGAGGGAGTGATGTTTTTGATGCTCTGTTACTTTAGCTGAAGGATTTTCTATCAATCTTCACAATCTGTCTTGAAATGGTTCCCATCAGCCACTTCGTGCAGGAATCCAAGGGGCTAAGAAACATACACACACACATACACACACACGGGCACACACACAGGCCCACTGTGCCCAGAGACCCACACGCGCAGCAGGCTGCCAGGAAACCAGGACTCAGGGCCCACCACAATCTGGAAGGAACATCAAGTCCCCAGGTATAGCCACGGCGGCTCTTGGCCCATGGTCTGGTGGCCAAGGAGGCATCAGCTGCTGGTCACAGGTGGCGGGCCGCTTCCCAGAGGATCTGCAGAGCCATGGAGGCGCAGGGGAGCTGGGCCAGGGTGTAGGTCACGGAGCGGATGGGTGCCCGCAGCTTCCCCAGGTAGGCCACGGTGTGTGCCACACGGCCCACGAGGAAGACCAGGAAGTGCATCCAGGCGACAAAAGGGTTAGGACCCAGAAAGGAGTAGACGAAGCCCAGGAAAAGGAAGGGGTAGATGGTCTCCATGTCGTTCCGGTGGGCCCTGGGGAGACAAGAGGGGTGCGGTCAGCCAGGTATTAGCTTTGGGGCCATAGGCCCTTTTGAGAGTGTCATGGAAGCTGGGGGTGCTTTGACCCACTGGGGGTCATTTCAGGCATATCACACACTCAAATCCATTCACAGCCAGGTCAAGGAGATGGATACCCCAGAGTCCAGAAGAAGGCAGCTCCAAGCTTATGCTTGCAAGCAGCTGAGGCAGCGAGGCCACGTCATGGGCTGGGAGTCAGAGGGCTACTGGTCCAGGATGCTCTTACCATACCTCTATGGCTTGCCGGGACCCCACTCCTGCCATACTCTCCCCCACCTTCCTCTCTAGCCCTTGGATACCAGGCAGGAAAAGTGGGACTCAGAGGTGCTGAGTGCTTTACAGAGCCAACGAGTGGAGGAGCTGGGATTGGAACCGAGTTCTGACTGGAGTTTGTGCTCTTTACCTCCAGGGCAGGGCTTCTCTGAGTCAGGCCTGAGGTCATCCTCCTTCTGAATGCAGCTTCCTGGGCCCCTCCCGAGTAGAAGGGGCTAGAGCCCAAGAGCAGGCCTTTGAAATGAATGCCGGGCTCTGTCTCCTTTTCCCCCTAAATCTAACTACCACCTGTCCTTTCAGGGACAATCATAACAAGATCCGCTCCCACTCACTGGAGCCAACCGATGGCCAGCCCCCGGTGAAGCTCTTCATTTTACACATCCTTTCCTGCCTCTTTTTCTGTTGAAAGGAATCAAGCATGTGCATATGTGTGGTGGGGGCGGAGGGGCTCTGTATAACCCCACCATAAATAAATGACCAAGAAAGAAAACTCAGAAAACTCACCTACTTCTGCTGGTTCACATTTTCCAGACTCCTACTAATGGCCGGCTTCCTTTATGAAGGGTGGGGAGGTTGAGTCCCATAAATTAGAGACTGAATGAGCAACTAAACCCATAGATTGCCACATTGGAAGCTCAAATAAACAGGAATTCAGTGCCCAGGGCATGACCTCCCCCAAGGACAGGCCACGCGTGTGAGGTGCAGGAACAGAAGCATGTTCTCCGGGCCTTCCTGCTGACATACATTCCACCAATAACACCGTCTCCTCGGGCCAGGCCCAGACTAGCAGCACTGAGTGGGGACCCGCTGCAGGGTCCTCCTCTTCCCTCTCACTGGCAAGACGATTCTTGGGCCAGTGCGATGGTGTGTGGGCCTGACCAAAAGGAAAGAGGGGGCCTGGAGTGCTTGGCCACCCCACACTGTAGGAAGCTCTGCAGCGTGCCTGGGGTGGGGGTGGGCAGGGAAGGAGACATATGTGCAGAAGCCTGAATGATGAGAAGCTGGCCCTGCAGGGGAAAAGCATTCCAGGAAGGAAGACCAGTGTGTGCAAAGGTCCTGAGGTCACAATAAGCACAGCATGTTCAATGTGCAGAAAGGTGAGCCCATGGCTACAGTGCGGTGCACAAGAGGGAGTGAGGCAGATAAGAGAGGGAGAGGAATTCAATCTGAGTGTACAAAACTCCTGTAAACCCAGCAGGGCCTAGATCTTTCTCAGGCCAAACTCAGGACACAGCACCTGGCATCTGGGTCCGCATATCCCGAGACTGACATGAACCCCTCTTCTCCTTTTCCCCCAGATCCTGACCTTGCAACCCAGACACAAGGAAAGCAAGTCTGTGGCAGGGCAGTTCTCACCCAGCGGTGGGGAACACTGTGGCCTGCCTGTGTCTGTCAGAGGCTGGCTCTGGATAGATCCTGGGGTACTGCCCTCAGGGAAGACATAAGAGGGAGATTACAGACTCACGCCTGTAATCCCAGCACTTTGGGAGGCCAAGGCGGGCGGATTACCTGAGGTCAGGAGTTCGAGACCAGCCTGGCCAACATGGTGAAACCCTGTCTCTACTAAAAATACAAAATTAGCCAGCCATGGTGGTGCATGCCTGTAATCCCAGCTACTCGGGAGGCTGAGGCAGGAGAATCACCTGAACCGGGCAGGTGGAGATTGCAGTGAGCTGAGATCATGCCATTGTACTCCAGCCTGGGCAAAAAGAGGGAAACTCCCTCTCAAAAAAATAAATAAATAAAATAAAAGAGAGGGAGAAACCAAAGACTGGGGCCACCTCCCTGTCAAGTAAGTCCCTTACCAGGACTGATGAGGAAAGGCAATAGGTGTTCCTCCAAAATCACTCCATCCTTGGCCGGGTGCAGTGGCTCATGCCTGTAATCCCAGCATTTTGGGAGGCTGAGGCTGGTGGATCACTTGAGGACAGGAGTTTGAGACCTACCTGGCCAACATGGCAAAATCCCATCTCTACTAAAAGTACAAAAAAAAAAAATTAGCTGTACATGGTGGTGTGTGCTTGTAGTTCCCAGCTACTCAGGAGGCTGAGGCAGGGAATCACTTAAACCTGGGAGGTGGAGGTTGCAGTGAGCCAAGATCGTGTCACTTCACTCCAGCCTGGGCGACAGAGTGAGTGAGACTCTGTCTCAAAAAAAAAAAAAAAAAAAAAACATAAAACAAAACAAAAATCACTCCGTCCTCTGGCAATTGAGCTGTGGGTACCCACATCCCCCTACAGGCTGATTAGAGGGACACCCTTGGAAAACCCATTTTTGATTATGTCCCAAAATGAGGTCTGCCTGTCACAAGTGATTCACAAGGGAGTGCCACCTGGATGAGGAGTTTTGTAATGTTTATTTGAAAGTTTCAGGAAAAGCACAACCAGCATATGCAACTCGTTCACTCAGCTATTCCTTAAAGTATGTGTTGATATTTTAAGAGTAAGTCCTTTGGGAGGCTGAGGCGGGCGGATCACGAGGTCAGGAGATCGAGACCATCCTGGCTGATATGGTGAAACCCCATCTCTACTAAAAATACAAAAATCAGTCAGGCGTGGTGGCAGGCGCCTGTAGTCCCAGCTACTCGGGAGGCTGAGGCAGGGGAATCTCTTGAACCCGGGAGACAGAGGTTGCAGTGAGCCAACATCGCGCCACTGCACTCCAGCCTGGGCAACAGAGTGAGACTCCGTCTCAAAAAAAAAAAAAGAGTAAGTCAATGTTTGGAAAGCTGTTAAGAGAATCATAGTACAGATAGTTCACAAACATAGCCAAACCCTGAAGAGTGGGTGAAGGAAAGAAGTTGGGGAACACAGGGTGGGAAGGAGGAACAAGACGGGAAGTTCATGGCAGACGTGGATCCTGCTCTGCCTGGCATGTCTGCAGGCTGGGGAGGAGCAGGCCTTGCAGAAAAAGCGGGGACTGAGCCCCACCTTCTATTTCCAGCCATTGGGCAGCAATTCAGCGGTCACCAGCGTGGGAGGAGAGGTGGTCAGGAGCTCTGACTGTCAGCCCCTGGGGCTGGCCCAGCCCTCCCTCACTCGTCTGGTCTGTCTCAAACCGCAGAGGGGCCCCTCCGAGGCCGCAGTGGCCAGGGACAGGGAGCAATGGAGACACCAAGGAATGATGGAAGAAAGCTCACCTCCCTCCTCCCACCTCCAGGCTCCAAACCGAGAGACATGGAGGCAGGCACGTACCACAGACGTGCTCGGGTGAAATGCATCATTCAAATAATAACCATTTTTTTAAGGTAAAAGCCACCCAAAGCAAATTCCTACTAGACTGGACTTGTATTGCCTCCTGCAGCATCAGGCCTGCCTTCACCCTCCACAGACTTTTCCACACCAGCTGCATTTTCCTGCATAGGTGACAGCGGTGAGGACAGTGATCCCCAGATGGCCAGGACAGGGACAGCTGCTGGCCGCTCCACAGGGTCTCCTCTTCTCTCCCCCAGCCCTGCTGGCATCCACGGTGGGGCCAATTTCCTTGACTTTGTATCAGGGTTGACGCAATGCAGTGCCTGCTTCGTTTCAAAGGCAGGTATACAAGACAGTGAAATCGCCTTCCCATAGAGGGACAGCCTCAGGAGCAGAGCCGAGAGTGCCAGGCCCCTCCTCAGAGTGCCAAGTGAGTGAATTCCTGGAAAGTGCTTACAACACTCCTGGACACTGAGTAGGAAGATCTTTTTTTTGAGACAGAGTCTCGCTCTGTGCCCCAGGCTGGAGTGCAGTGGCGTGATCTCGGCTCACTGCAACCTCCACCTCCTGGGTTCAAGTGATTTTCGTGCTTCAGCCTCCTGAGTAGCTGAGACTACAGGCGAGCCCCACCACGCCTGGTTAATTTTTGTATTTTTAGTAGAGACAGGGTTTTGCCATGTTGGCCAGGCTCGTCTCAAACTCCTAAGCTCAGGTGATCTACCCGCCTCAGCCTCCCAAAGTGCAGGGATTACAGATGTGAGCCACTGTGCTTGACTGAGTAGGGAGATTTTAAGCAAGCCGCCATCTCCTCCATCGCCATCACCAGCCCTGTCCTGGACACCATCGCTAAAGCTCACTTCACCCTCTTGGCTTTGCCAGACTTTCTGACTGCCCTCAGATGCTCCGGCCAAATGAATCAAAAGCACGTTATGGGGCTGGGTGTGGTGGCACACACCTGTGATCTCAGGCTGAAGTGGGAGGATCACTTGGGTGCTGGAATCAGCCTGAGCAACATAGCAAGATCCCGTCTCTACAACAATAAAAATTTAAAAATTAGCCAGGCATGGTGGCACGTGTCTGTGGTCCCAGCTACTCAGGAGGCTGAGGTGAGAAGATCGTTTGAGCCCAGGAGGTCAAGGCATCAGTGAGCCGGGATTCCACTGCACTCCAGCCTGGGCGACAGAGCAAGACCCTGTCACAAAAAAAAAAAAAAAAAAAAAAGACCGGGCGAGGTGGCTCATGCCTGTAATCCCAACACTTTGGGGAGGCCGAGGCAGGCGGATCACTTGAGGTCAGGAGTTCAAGACCAGCCTAGCCAACATGGTGAAATCCTGCATCTACTAAAAATACAAACATTAGCCAGGAGTGGTGGCGCGCACCTGTAATCCCAGCTACTCAGGAGGCTGAAGCAGAAGAATCACTTGAACCCGGGAGGCGGAGGTTGCAGCAAGCCGAAACCACGCTATTGCACTCCAGCCTGGGCAACAAGAGTGAAAGTCCATCTCAAAAAAAAAAAAAATTTTTTTTGAGTACTTCGTGGTGCAGCCGGAAGGGAGTATTAGGCTGGAAACCTCCAGTTCTGCTGTGGTGCTTATTAGCTCCATGGCCTCAGGCAAATCTCTCTCACTCTCTGGGACTGCGTTCACTATGTACAAAATGTACATGCTGGATGACATCTAAGGGACTTCTAGGGCTGACATTTTGGGACCCAATTTCCTGACAAATCAGTTCACTCAGTTTAAGTCTATACACTCCAAACAGAAATGCTCCAAGCTTAGGTCGCACGTTTGCCTCTCTTCTTTGGGACCACACAGGTAACCCCTCCGTGCAGTTCCACACACCCAACCTCAGATTCTGGCCCAGACGCACATTGCCGGGAACTCCGGATAGGTATCCTGAAAAGGTGGCTAGTCCCTGGCTTCTCCCAGAACTAGGCTCACATTTGGACTGCAGCATGTGCTAACCTGCAAGGCAGATTCATGCTCCAAGAACCAAGACTGAAGTGCTTTCCTATTTGACAGAAGGGTGACTCGAATCATACCATAAACCCTGGTCTAATATTTAACCAACTTTTGCTTCCAGGTGGTCTCCCCCTTCGGGTTCCAGCCAGTTCTCCGGTAGCAGACGGCAGGATATAGAATTCTCTTAGTTCTGCACACTCAAGTTTCCATGAGGTTCTGTGAAATCAGGTGGCAGAGGAGGGGCCCAGGGGACCCAGGCACTCCCCAGGTCTGACTTGGGCCCAGTATACAGTCGGCTTCCAGTAAGTCCTCACCAAATGGCTATAAAGTATTATTAGATAAGACGCACTCAGAAAGTGCTGAAATGAATTTCTACCATTTAAACCCCAGTACTGTAGATGAGGGGTTATTTTGGGCTGGGCGCAATGGCTCACGCCTGTAATCCCAGCACTTTGGAAGCCCGAGGCAGGTGGATCACCTGAGGTCAGGAGTTTGAGACCAGCCTGGCCAACATGGTGAAACTCTGTCTCTACTAAAAAAAAAATACAAAAATTAGCTGGCGTGGTCACAGGTGCCTGTAATCCCAGCTACTCGGGAGGCTGAGGCAGGGGAATTGCTCGAACCCGGGAGGCAGAGGTTGCAGAGAGCCGAGATCGTGCCATTGCATTTCAGCCTGGGGGACAAGAGCGAAACTCTGTCTCAAAAAAAAAAAAAAAGATTGGTTGGGTGGAAATGTCTCGGCGCCACCCGGGTCTATCGTCTCTCCATGGGGCATGGTTTCAGCCAGTAAAAATAAACCAAGTATCTGTAAGGCCACTTGGCCACTCCTGTGCCACATTGTGCCACATGAAAGCTTTGCTACATAAAACCTCTGCAGCCTGGGAGGAGCCAAAACGCATCCTCTTGGTGGCTGCTGTGAGCTGGCCCCGGGCAACCCACCGTCCTGGCCTCCTGCTGCCTGGACAGCTCATCCCATCCTTCTCCACTGTCCAGGAGGGCCGCCACAGCTGGGGACAAGAGTCACCAATGGAAGTCATGTATGGAGAAGGCTTTTGTTCTTGAAAGTACAGCCAGTGCTTAGCACAGTGTCTGGGATGTAGTAAGGGCTCATTAATGGAGAGACGGGCCTCATATGAAGGATTTGAAAGGGTAAAATAGCAAGGAATTTCACTTCCTACATGACACAGGTCTGTAATTTTTTTAAAACCACAAGTGGACATATTATTGTCAATGGCCAAGAAAAACATAAGAAAAAAACCCACAGACTTTCTTTCAAGTGAAAGAAATTTGTATTATTTAAATGACAGTGTCCCACCCATTTCCGCCTGTGATGCAGGGGAATGTGTTGAGACCCATGAGACAGTTTGTCTCCGGCCTCAGCCTGTCCAGCTCTCCGTCCTCCCCACTTCCCCTTCAAGCTCTTCCGATGACCCCAACCCCTGGAGTGCCATCGCCTCACTCTCCAGCTAACTGGTAAAAGATGGCAGAGCAGAAACTGCCAAAAAAATTTAATATTGACTGTGATTATGTGAAATTAGCATTTAGTCTCTGATGGGATTTTACGAAGCCAGTTTTTTAAGGATCTTTTGTTTTTTTTGAGATGGAGTCTCACTCTATCCCCCAAGCTGGAGCGCAGTGGCGCAATCTTGGCTTACTGCAACCTCCGCCTCCTGGGTTCATGCCATTCTCCCGCCTCAGCCTCCCGAGTAGCTGGGACTACGGGCCCGTGCCACCATGCCCGGCTAATTTTTGTATCTTTAGTGGAGACAGGGTCTCGCCATGTTGGCCAGGCCTGACCTCAAGTGATCTGCCGGCCCTCGAAAATGTTGGGATTATAGGCATGAGCCACCACATCTGGTCAAGAATAATTTTTTTAGTAACATTTACCAACATGGAAAGTGTTCGCAAAATAATGTTAATAAAAGAAAATCAGAACTCCAAATTGGGTGTACCTAATGCATGCCTAATTTTATGGAAAATATTTAGCTATAGAAGACAAAGAGGAGAGAGATGCAAGTGTGAACTGTGATTAGAACTGTGAGTGGTTTTCCTTTCTGTCTCTGTGTTTTTTCAGTATTACCCAAATCGTCTGTAATGAGTTCTGATTTTTATAATGAGGAAATTCATTTTAATTGACCAGGGGGATGTTAAGCATATGAAAAGATGTTCAACTTCACTAAGAATAAAGAAGTGCAAAGCAAAACAAAAATGTGATATAAATTTTCACCTATCACCTTGGTAGGAATCCACCCAAATATGCCAATACAATGAGTTGTCAGTTGCATTGTCAGAGGGATGGAAAAATGGCTCCCACACCAGTAGTGGGACATGATTTTGTTGCATCCTGCGGTTTTACTCACACATACCCATAAAGGCAAATGAAAAAAGTGTTGAGGCCGGGTGCGGTGGCTCATGCCTGTAATCCTAGCAGTTTGGGAGGCCGAGGCGGACAGATCATCTGAGGTCAGGAGTTCCAGACCAGCCTGGCCAACATAGTGAAACCCCATCTCTACTAAAAATACAAAAATTAGCCAGGCATGATGGTGCACGCCTGTAGCCCCAGCTACTTGGGAGGCTGAGGCAGGAGAATCGCTTGAACTCGGGTGGCGGAGGTTGCAGTGAGCCAAGGTGGCACCACTGCACTCCAGCCTGGGCAACAGAGTGAGACTCTGTCTCAAAAAAAAAAAAAAAAAAAAAAAAAAAGAGGTATTGAGGCCTTCTGTTCATAACACAGAAGGAGCCCAAATGCCCATCGCAGGGGAATTGGTTAGGGAAGTTATGGGCTGTACATTCAACAGAGTGGCAACATAAATACTGGAGCACCAATACAGTGAATGCAACTCCTCTGTGAGCCGATATGGAACAAACTCTGTTGCCATATTAAAAAAAAAAAAAAAAAAAAAAAAGCATAGTACAGACCAGAGGATAAAGGGTGATTCTATGGGGCAGAACGGGAAAAGCGTGGCACACATGTTTGTAAATGCAGCAAATCTCTGTGGGAAGATGCATGGCCATTGGCAGGAGTGTTTGCCCCTGGCCAGTAGAACTGCGTAGTGCCTGGAGGTCAGAGGTAGGAGGGAGACTGAATGTTCACTGAAGTCACCACCTTTCTCACTTTGTAATTATGAGTCATGACCACGTCTTACTTTTCCAAAGTTCATTTGAAATTAAATCATTGAATAAAGTAAAACAGTCAGAGAAGATCAGGAACACAGAAAACCTCAGCCCCTGGGAGTCCTCCAAGTCCCCTGTGTGCAGAAGAAGTTCTGAAAGGGCAGGCCATGGCCAGGTGTGGCCAGGCCAGGGGCCCGAAGTACTTGCCTGAGGCAGCGTTCCACGTCGGGGTCGCTCCTGCAATACTGGGGGCCTCCGTGTCTCAGGGCATCCTCGGGGTTGGCAAAGGCCTGAAATATACCAGTTGAGAGTCACTCCTCGTGAGACAAACGGCCCAGTCACCTGGGGCTATGTTTTGTCCATGACCAGAGTTCACAGTGGCAGGACAGAGGTGCAGTTGCACACACACCCATCCAACCATCATCCACGATTCCTACCCTGTGCCAGGGGCTGGTAGCTCACCATGAAAAGGCCCCCCTGTCTCTGCTTTTATGAAGCTCACAGTCCGATGGGGGAGTTGCCTATGAACCAGGGAAGGCCAGGGTGTCTCACCTGTTAAGAAGAAGGCACGGCTGGCCTTGAGAATGTTTACGTGGGACCTGACCCAGTCTGAGGCTCTGAGAAAGTTTCTCTGAGGCAGTGACATGAAAGCTGAGGCTTAGGGCTGGATGAGGTGGCTCACACCAGTAATCCCAGCACTTCGGAAGGCCAAGGCAGGGGGATTGCTTGAGCCCAGGAGTTCAAAACCAGCCTGGGCAACATAGCAAGACCCCATCTCTAAAACAAGCCAGGTGTGGTGGCTCACGCCTGTGAGCCAAGCACTTTGGGAAGCCAAGATAGGAGGATTGCTTGAGCTTCCAGGAGTTTGAGACCAACCCGGGCAACATAGCAAGACCCCATCTCTAAAACAAACAAACAAGCTGGGTACAGTGGCTGATGTCTGTAATCTCAGCACTTTGGGAGGCCGAGGCAGTTGGATCACTTGAGCTCAGGAGTTCAAGACCAGCCTGGGCAACATGATGAAACCCCCTCTATAAAAAATACAAAAATTAGCTGTGTGTGGTGATACACACCTGTGGTCCCAGCTACTTGGCAGGAGGGCTGAGGCAGGAGGATTGCTTGAGCCTGGGAGGTCGAGGCTACAATGAGCCGTGATCTTGCCACTGCACTCCAGCCTGGGCAACAGAGCCAGACTCTGTCTCCAAAAAAAATAAAACAAACAATCTGAGGCTTGAAAGATGCATTGACATTAACCAGATGAAGGGAGGGCTGGAGCAACAACATTCAAGGCAGAAGGGACAGCACGTGCAAAGGCCCTGAGGCTGGAAGAAGCTGGGCATGTGTGAAGAACAGAAAACCAGCACACGGGAGCACAGAGGGCAAGGGACAGGGGCCCAAGATAAAGGGACAGGGGTCATCAGGGGTCCTGGCAGCACCTGAAGAATTTGGACTTTGCACTAAAAGCCATGAGAAGGTCTTGAGAGCCCCAGGCTGAAAACCCAGCTCCGCGCTGATTAACCACAGGATCCTGAACTCTGAAAACTCAGGAGAAATCACAGCTCATGTGCTGTGTGACGAGTGAGAGGGAGACCTGGAGAAGCCGCTAGGACAATGCCCAGCACAAGGAGGTGCTCAGTGAATTGTCACTTTCTCTCATTGGAAAGCAGAGACATAAAGTCACACTGAGATCATCAGAGGCCCATGACTCTTGCTCCACTGTTCCCTGCTGGCATCCAGACAGTCAGACCCCACCAGGCCCACAGCAGAGCCTGAATCTCAGGAGCAGGTTTTCTAAATTGTTCAGCTGACGGCAAATCCTGTGCTTCTGACTCATGACTGTCCCCCAAGGGCTGGTTTGTCCTCCCTGGTGGGCCTGCCCTGCCCTACCCCAGAGGAGAATGCAGCTCAGATCTTCGAGATTGGAACCTTCACACCCAAAATTCCTCTCTGCTGGCCCTGAAATCAGTGAATCACCAACACCGAAGGCTCTGTCCGTGGATCTGTGATACGTTTCAAGGGGCCTCAGCATACAGTGGGCACTGCCTTTAGGAGTCCACTGCCCATGGAGTTGCTCCCCCTGGAGATACAACTCAGATACAAGTCAGCCAGGCCAGAGCCAGCTGCAGTGCAGGCCAGGAAGCCCCCAGTGTCAGCGGCCGAGGTGCCACCTTAGCTGGGGTGGAGGCCAGCCTTTGGTTGAGGTCCCTTGAAAGTGACCTGAGGCTGCGATGCTCATGTTAATTTCAGTTACTTATAAGTCTTAAGGACAAACATTGGTGGGGCGTTGCATTCTCCTGGCGCTGCTGTCACGACCCCCGTTTACAGGTGAGGACACTGAGCTCCCAGACTTTTCCAGGTCCCCAGGCTGGTGGGTGGAGGAGCCAGGGCCTGTGACTGTCACCTCCAGCAAGTCCTTCCTGGATGATACTTAGCGCCCAGAGCAGAGATAAGAGGGGGCCACGTTGTCATGAGGAACACCTCAGGAGCAGCCCAAGGAGTGGGGGTTTCCTTCTGCGGTGTCCCTGCCAATCAGGCAGAAAGGCTCTGGGACAGGTTCACCTCCTCCCTTCCCCGAATTCGTGTTAAAAGGAAATCACAGCTGGGCACAGTGGCTCACACCTGTAATCCCAGAACTCCAGGAGGCCAAGATGGGAGGATCACTTGAGCCCAGGAGTTTGAGACCAGCCTGGGCAACATGGCAAAAGCCATCTCTACCAAAAACATAAAAAATTAGGAGCAGTGACGCACACCTATAGTCCCAGCTACTTGGGAGGCTGAAGTGGGAGGATCACCTGAGCCCAGGAAGTCGAGGCTACAGTGAGCTATGATCGCACAATTGCACTCCAGCCTGGGCCACAGAGCAAGACCCTGTCTCTAAAATAAATAAATAATAATTAAAAAAAAAAAAAAAAAAGGAATCGCTGGCCTGCTGGTAAGAACCCAGGCCTCAGCCAGGTGCGGTGGCTCACGCCTGTAATTCCAACACTTTGGGAGGCTGAGGCGGGTGGATCACCTGAGGTCAGGGGTTCAAGACCAGCCTGGCCAACATGGTGAAACCCCATCTCTACTAAAAATACAAAAATTAGCAGGGCATGGTGGTGTGTGTCTGTAATGCCAGCTACCGGGGAGGCTGAGGCAGTAGAATTGCTTGAACCCAGGAGGTGGAGGTTGCAGTAAGCAGAGATCATGCCGCTGCACTCCAGCCTGGACAGCAGAAAAAAAAAACAAAACAGAAACCCCCGCCTCCAAGACAGGATGTGGGCTCTGAAGCTGGACACTGGAGTTCAAACCGGGCTGTGTGACCTTCATAAGTGATGTCTCCTCTCTGAGCCCAGGTTCCTCACCTAGAAAACAGGATGACTATGGCGCCTCCCCTGCCCTCAGGGCTGTGGCGGGGATCTCATGCTCAGCTCCGGGCCACATTCGGTCCTCTGGGAAGGATTCAATGAGTGAATGCAGCTGTTCTACTTGATGCCCGGATCCCATATCCCAGGACCAGCCAAGGCAGGGAGAAGTCAGAAGCTATCAGTGTGCTGTAGCCTCCGGGCATCCTATCACTTGGGCAGCTGCCCTGCCTTTAATCCTGCCTGTACCTGCAGCAGGGCCTGAGCCTGGCTTGTGGCCAAGATCCTCACTCCCCAGGATCCACCCGCATGCAGTGCCAGAGCCAGCCTTGCCTCACCTCGCCTTTGAACTGGACACAGGGGAAGACAGAGACAGTTTCAGGAAATGATTGCTTTATTAAAATACCTGGGGAGGAAGTAACAGGTGCCTGGGGTCTTTCTGCATTCTGCCGCCAGGACAGCCGACAAGCTCAGCCTATGACTTTGCAGACTCGCCAACCAGTGTGACGGACGCTACTGGAACTTGCCCCGGCCCAGCTCTGGGACTCGTTAATGTTGTTTTGGTTCAGGGGCTCGGATTAGTGGGGAAATTCCTCGCTGAGCACCCCGACGGTGCCCGGCTGGGAGCTGGCCTTTGGAGGCTACAGTGGGCTTGTTAGTGACATTTGCCAGGAGTTGGGAATTTCCACTTAAACGTTTCTCGGACTCCTGTTTTGCCGGTTCCCACTCCACCCAGATATCAGACCTCCCGTGCCGGGAAGCCACCAGGTTAGACAGAGGCTTTGTGCTGTCACGCTCCCACACTCCACCCTCCAGAACCTGCTTCTCTCACAGACACTCGCTGGCTCTCTCCATGCCAAGAACTCAGCCCGGTGGCACGGCAAGCGAGTAAGTGCTCTTAAGCCAGAGAGGAGAAGGTGCAGGCCTTGCTGACACGTGGGACTGGCAGGAAGCCCCCCGGCGGGGCTGGAAGAGGTGCTCACCTCCCAGCCCTGCACACACCTTGGCCATGTTTCCCTATCCCGGGGCTTTCCTGACAGGACGTGGAGAGAAGCAAGTATGACCCAGGCCGGGGACCCCCAGGGAGGCACATACCTTCTTCCGCAGCCTCACTTGGCCCGTGATGATGGCCACCACGTACATCTTGATGACCAGCAGCGTGCTGCAGAGCAGGAAGGCCGGGAGGGCCGGGCTGCTCATCACCAGGCTGTGGGCAGGCATCTCTGGCCAGCGCAGCTCAACTGTGGGTGTGATCAGCTCGACAGAGGAGCAGCCTGCAGGGAAAGCACAAAGTGGGAGGGGAGAGCCTTCCTGCAGCCAGCACCGCCCACGCCCCGCCCCACGGCAGCGGCAGCAGGGCCCCCTTCTCCTGTGAAGAGAAAGACAAGCAGTTGCCGGAGCTCCAAGAAGCAGAGAGTCTCCGGGTGTCCCGGACCCAGTCCCTGGCTCTGGAGCCCTCCTTCCAGGCAAATCCTCAAACACTTTCAAATCTGTTTCAAAGCTGTTTCCTTATCTACAGTGTGGGAGCATGTGGTGGTGCCTGCCTTCTAGGGAATGATGAGGCTGGGCACCTGGCAGGACCTCTGCACGTGGTGATTATCGCTGCCTCCTGCCCACCTCCGCAGGGTCAGGGTAGGTGGTGGGCATGAGAACCACGCCATGCGCCCCCACACTCAGCCTGGACAATGGAGCTGCAGCCACAATGGCATGACTTTGCCATCTGTGGCAGGCTGAAGGACGCCCTCCACCCCTAAAGACATCCATGTCCCAATCCCTAGAACCCGTGACTGTGACTATGTGGCAAAAGGGACTTTTCACATGGGATTTCGTAAGGATTTGAGATGGGAGAAATTATCCTAGTTTATCTGGGTGAGCCCAGAGTATACAGAGGGGCCCTTCCAAGAGGGAGGCAGTAAAATTAGAGAAAAGATATAAAAACAGAGGCAGCATTAAGAGAGGAGATGAAAGGACAGAATAGGGGTCAGACAGGAGAGACGCTAACCTGCTGGCCTTGAAGATGAAGGAGAGATCATGGCCCAAGGAATACCAGGGGCCTCTAGAAACTGGAAAAGGGGACGAAACAAACTCTCTGCGTTCAGACAGAACGCAGCCCTCCCGACACTTTGATTTTAGCCCTGTGAGACCCATTTCAGGCTTCATCCACCAGAACTGTCAGAGAATGAAGCTGTGTTGTTTTAAGCCACTAAGTCTGTGGTAATTTGCTATAGCAGGGATGGGGAACCAGCACGTGGCTCCACTGACTTCCTGAGCATCACTTGACTATCCTGGAACTCTTTCCCCAGTCAAATGCTTTGATTCTTCATCACAAGATCTCCCCGAAAGACCTATCAACTGACTCTTCAGTAGAAAGCATCACCAGGCCGGGCGCGGTGGCTCACACCTGTAATTCCAGCCCCTTGGGAGGCCAAGGGGGACAGATTACCTGAAGTCAGAAGTTCAAGACCAGCCTGGGCAACATAGGGAGACTCCGTCTCTACAAAAAAATGTTTTAATTAGCTGGGCATGGTGGTGCTCGCCTGTATTCCCAGCTACTCAGGAGGCTGAAGTGGGAGGATCACCTGAACCCAGGAGGCTGAGGCTGCAGTGAGCCATGTTCTCACCACTGCACTCTAGCCTGGGTGACAGAGCAAGACCCTGTCTCAAAAAAGAAAGAAAGCATCAACGTTTGTTTTCTAAGATTCTTTGAATCCCTCACCTCAAAATCCTCACCTTGGCCAGGTGGCTCACACATGTAATCCCAGCACTTTGGGAGGCCGAGGGGGGCAGATTATCTGAGGTCAGAAGTTCGAGACCAGCCTGGCCAACGTGGTGAAATCCCCTCTCTACTAAAAATACAAAAATTAGCCAGATGTGATGGCAGACACCTGTAATCCCAGCTACTTGGGAGGCTGAGGCGGGAGAATCGCTTCAACCTGGGAGGTGGAGGTGCAGTGAGCCAAGATTGCACCACTGTACTCCAGCCTGGGCGACAGACCGAGACTCTGTCTCAAAAAAAATCCTCACCTTGCTGCATCCTGCCCGCTTCCCCGGGTTCTGGCAGGACCTCCACAAGGTCAGGGATCTTTTTTTTTTTTTCTTGTGAGACAGACTCCTGCTCTATCACCCAGGCTGGAGTGCAATGGCGTGATCTCTGCTCACTGCAACCTCCACCTCCAGGTTCAAGCAATTCTCCTGCCTCCGCCTCCCAAGTAGCTAGGACTACAGGTGCCCACCACCACGCCCAGATAATTTTTGTATTTTTAGTAGAGACGGGGTTTCACCATGTTGGCCAGGATGGTCTCAATCTCTTGACCTTGTGATCCACCCACCTCGGCCTCCCAAAGTGCTGGGATTACAGGCATGAGCCACCGCACCTGGCCAAGGGCAGGGATCTTGTACACGGTTCTTGCTCATTTATTTTCGCCAACATATTTGGCTTTGCTGAGAGGTGCCCTGGGGAAGTGGGGCAAAGGGGAAAGGGAGAAACCAGTCTCCCATGCCTACTTCACTCTTGGGCTTGACCAGGTGCTTTGGGACAGCACCTGCCCAGAGAGACAGCTGTGTCAGTCCAACCTATGCCCCAAAGCAGCAGAGATCAAAGGGAAGATTGGCCAGAGCTAGATTTAGCCAGCCTCGAATCCCAAAGCCAGCCCTCAGCTGTAGCTGTGTGGCCTTAGGCAGGCAGGTTCCTCCTCTGAACCAGTTTCCTCAGCTGTAAAATGCAGCTGACCCTAAGTCACTCCCCAGCGCAGTTGTGGGAGCTAAATAATTATGAAGCCCCTGGAACAAGTAGGCACTCCGTTCAGTATCATCCTCTGAGCTTCCGTTTCCTCCTGCTCAAAGGGAATAATGATCCCTACCTAGTAGGGTTGTCAGGAGGGAGACTCATAGAAATCCCTGCCCTTGTTGCTGGGGGAGGTGGGTGTGAGCAAGGTGGGGGTGGTGCCTTGCCCATTTGCTGTGTGCCAAGCAGTCCTTTATCCGAACAAAAGATGTGCTTGATAAACTGACTCCCGTGGGGAACTGCCAGGCCAGGCTGTCCCGGCCCCACAAGATAAATGATAGGTCACCATACCATCAGGGACGGAACATGGAAAGTACAAGATGCCCTGAGACACGTTTTATCTCTGGTTGTCTGTTGGAGGAGCTGTGCAAGCTCGCTTCTGGCTGATATTTCTGTCGGAGAAGAGAGAATCCCTGCCTCTCTCGCCCCCAGCCCGTGGGAACCCCTGCAGGTAGCTACCTTCCTTGTCAAAAAGCTCAGCTATGAGGTTGGGGTCTGGTGGCTGTACCACCCCCAGAATCGTGGACCAGACACAGCCCAGGAGGGGCCCTTTGGTTGTCCTCCTTGGACTAGGGAGAGTGGCTCTTCCCTGACTGGTCTTCTGAAATAACAAGATAGAAAGCAGAGGCTGGGAAAACCAGCTTGGGGCAAAGAGCAGACGATCACCTCCCGCTACCCTGAGCCGAAAATAGGGGAGAGACTGTGTAGGGGAATTCGTATAACTGATGGACATGATCTCAAGATAGGAATCTTTTCGTCACTGTCTACTGAAATGAACCTGCTAAGCCAAGGCCTGCCAAGGAGGACAAAATCTCTGATCTTTGGCCAAGAATTTCCCTGAAGCTGCCCTTGGCCAATGGAAGCTGCCATTGTGGCTGTTGGGGGTGACGGTGATGGTGGTGTCACTTCTCTCTGAGCTTCCATTTCTTTGCCTGTAAGATGGGCTTGGTGTCCCCTGCCTTGCAGAGGGTGGGGGACAGGAGATGGTGTGTGCACAGTGTTGGGGGCTGGGGGACACTCACTGTGGCCTGGTCCTGAGGCCCACGGGAACTACAGCAGTGTGCCCACAACAATGAGGACAACAGAAGCCCCTGGAAATATTTTACATCTTGTCCTGGGTGGTGATTACCCAGGTGAATGCATATGTCAAAAGTCACTGAGATGGGCTGGGCCTTGTGGCTCATGCCTGTAATCCCAGCACTTTGCAAGGCCGAGGCAGGGGGATCACTTGAGGTCAGGAGTTCAAGAACAGCCTGGCCAACACAGTGAAACCCCGTCTCTACTAAAAATACAAAAATCAGCTGGGCGTGGTGGTGTGTGCCTGTAATTCCAGCTACTCAGGAGGCTGATGCAGGAAAATCACTTGAACCTGGGAGGCGGAGGTTGCAGTGAGCCAGGACTGCACCACTGTACTCCAGCCCGGGCGACAGAGCAAGACTCTGTCTCAAAAAGAGAAAAAAGTTACTGAGATGTATCTTCAAACCTTTTTACTTTACTATATTTTTTCGACCCATGAAAGTGAAAGTTCTTCCTATCCCCGTTCGAAACCCTGAGCAGAGGCTCTGCCCTGTTGAAAACCATCCCGTGGCTTAGACCAGCGCCCTCCCTGGCATTTCCTGAGGAGCAGAAACCAAGCTCTTCACGCTGGCTGATTGTCCCTAACATCAGAGGAGGCTTAGAGAGGAGGAAGTGGCCCCACCTCTGCTGCTGGTTCCTGACCTTTGGGAGTATTGCTAGGCTTTCTGTAGCCAGTGGTGGGGAAATAAATGCACAGTGATTTTTGTTTGTTTGTTTGTTTTTAAGACAGAGTTTCGCTCTTGTTGCCCAGGTTGGAGTGCAGTGGCGTGATCTCGGCTCACTGCAACCTCCGCCTCCCGGGTTCAAGCGAGTCTCCTGCCTCAGCCTCCAGAGTAGCTGGGATTACAGGCATGTGCCACCACGCCCAGCTAGTTTTTGTATCTTTAGTAGAGACAGGGTTTCACCATGTTGGCCAGGCTGGTGTTGAACTCCTGACCTCAGGTGTTCCACCTGCCTCTGACTCAGCCGAGCCTAGAAATTAGGATTTTTCATTTTTGCTTAAAAAAAAAAAAAAGTCAAATCACTTCCTTCCTTTTCAGCAAAGACCGCAGTGGCTCCCAATCTCACTCAGAGTAAAGCCGTCTGGGCCGGGCGCCGTGGCTCACTCCTGTAATCCCAGCACTTTGGGAGGCTGAGGCAGGAGGATCATGAGGTCAAGAGATTGAGACCATCCTAGCTAACATGGTGAAACTCCCTCTCTACTAAAAATACAAAAAATTAGCTGGGTGTGGTGGCACCGGCCTGTAATCCCAGCTACTCCGGAGGCTGAGGCAGGAGAATCTCTTGAACCCGGGAGGCGGAGGTTGCAGTGAGCTGAGATCGTACCACTGCACTCCAGCCTGGCAACAAAGTTGAGACTCCGCTGTCTTAAATAAATAAATAAATAAATAAATAAATAAATAAATAAATAATAGCCAACGTCTGGACAACACCTCATGGTCCTGTCCTGTCTGCTCCCCATTTCTCTCGGAACTCCTCTTTTCTTCCGCCCCCCTCACTCACTAAGCCCAGCCACACTGCCCTCCGTGCTGGAATCTGTCAGACACAGTCGTGCCTCTGGGCCCTTGCTATAACTGATCTCTCTGCCTAGAATTCTCCCCAAGGTTTCCACAAGGCTGACATCTCATCTCCTTCAAATCGTGGTTTGACTCTCACCTTCTCCATAAGACTCACCCTGGCAACCTTATCTATTCTGCAGTCTGCCCTGCCCTTCCCACTCCTGAGGCCACTTCCCTGCCTCCACTTTTCTTTCCATAGCGCATATCACCCAATAACACACCATCTAACTTTTTTTTTTTTGTGAGACGGAGTCTCGCTCTATCACTCAGGCTGGAGTACAGGGGCGCGATCATCTTGGCTCACTGCAACTTCCGCCTCTGGGGTCAAGAGATTCTCCTGCCTCAGCCTCCAGAGTAGCTGGGATTACAGGCGCCCGCCACCATGCCCTAATTTATTTATTTTCTTTCTCTTTCTTTCTTTCTTTCTTTCTTTCTTTCTTTCTTTCTTTCTTTCTTTCTTTCTTTCTTTCCCTCTTTCTTTTTCTTTCTTTCCTTCCTTCCTTCCCTCTTTCTTCTTTCTTTCTTTCCTTCTTTCTTTTCCTTCCTTCCCTCCCTTCCTTCCTTCCTCTCTCTCTTTCTTTCTTTCTTTGACAGAGTCTTGATCTGTCACCCAGGCTGGAGTGCAGTGGCCCGATCTCGGCTCACTGCAATCTTCGCCTTCCGGGTTTAAGCGATTCTCCTGCTTCAGCCTCCCAAGTAGCTGGGATTACAGGCATGTGCCACCACGCCCAGCTAATTTTTGTATTTTTAGTAGAAACAAAGTTTCACCATATTGGCCAGGCTGGTCTTGAATTCCTGACCTCAGGTGATCCTCCCACCTCGGCCTCCCAAAATGCTGGGATTACAGGTGTGAGCCACCGTGCCTGGCCATGCCCAGCTACTTTTTGTATTTTTTAGTAGAGACGGGGTTTTGCCATGTTGG
The DNA here is from genome assembly GCF_000001405.40 of Homo sapiens. Lineage (NCBI taxonomy): Eukaryota > Metazoa > Chordata > Mammalia > Primates > Hominidae > Homo > Homo sapiens. The sequence goes on from NC_000009.12 coordinate 129,759,134, forward strand.
CCAGGCTTGTCTTAAACTCCTGACCTCAGGTGATCTGCCTGCCTTGGCCTCACAAAGTGCTGAGATTACAGGCATGAGCCACCATGCCCAGCCTCACACCATCTAACTTATTATCCCTACTGCCTAACATCTGTCCTCCTGGGGCAGGGCTCTTGGTTCACCAGTGAACTACAGGCACCAGTATCGTGCCTGATATATAGCCACAACCCCAATTTGTTAAATTGAACTAAGCTAATTTGTTTTGGATTTCTCTCCCTTATAAAAAAGAGTCTACACTGACATAAGTGAAAACCTCCACTTCTCTTCCAGGAGCTTGGCTCTGCATCCTGAAGCTTGGCCCTGGGTCCTGACTCCTGCCTTCCCGGAACACCCCACGGGAGCCTGGCTGCCTGTCTTCTGATGAGGAGAGAGCCAGGAGAGAGGCTTGTGCGTCTCTGAGAGGGACTGGGTGCTGAGCAGGCTGGTCTCCGAGAGGGACTAGGTGCTGGGCAGGCTGGGACCAGAACAAGGCCACTGAGGCATTACCCCAACACACCCTCCTTTGAACCATTCCATTTGGACTGGAAAAGACTGTGCATTTTAAATTTAGTTTGCATGTTGATACCACAAACACCTATCCAGGAGTGAAGAACATAGAAGCTGACATTTATTGACAAGTGTGAGTGGTTAGGACTAGAAGCTCCCTGTTAGGGAACCACTCATTGTGAGCTGCCTGCCTGGCTCCCAGGCCAAGCCCAGCCCCTGGAGCTCATTCCTGAGATAGCCAAGAGGGCTTTCAGGGATGATGCCACCCTGCTTAAGGACAGCAGTCAGATGGGTGATGGCCGCGGGGTCACTGGGCATTGTCCTCTCACTCGACACTGGGCTAATCACAGAGGTCATCAGATTTCAGGGAGGTATGTCTAGGAGGCCCGTTTTAGAGATATGGAGCCCGAGTCCTGGGTTAGTGGTTGTCCTTATCCTGACCCCACAGCTGGCCTTTGGTAGTGGAGGACGTTCTCGTCACACAGGCAGCCCTGTTCTAGCTGTGGGGCTGTCGGCTCGTGCCCATAGCACCTGATACCTGGTAAGCTCTCAAGAGACAGCTGACTTTACTACTCAGCCTTCCACGTGCAATTTCAGGGTCCCTCCATTCCCTAACTTCATGCTTCCCTGAGTCAGGAAACTGAAAGTGAGCTCTTCCCCTCTTACAAATGTGGAAAAGCGGGACTGCTCCAGTGATAAGAAAGTTCCAGTGGTCAGAAAAGCCTGGAGGGCGGGCATGGTGGCTCACACCTGTCATTCCAACACTTTGGGAGGCCAGGGCGGGAGGGTCCCTTGACTGCAGAAGTGTGAGACCAGCCTGGGTAACACAGTGAGACCCTGTCTCTACCAAAAAAAAAAAAAAAAAAAATTAGCCGGCCATGATGGTGCGCACCTGTAGTCCCAGCTACACTTGACCCCAGGTGTTCAAGGCTGCAGTGAGCCATGCTGTGATCCCGCCACTGCCCGGGTAAAAGAGCGAGACCCTGTCTCAAAATAAATAAATAAATAAAAATAAACAGGCCGGAAGCAGTGGCTCATGCCTGAAATCCCAGCACTTTGGGAGGTTGAGGCGGGCAGATCACGAGGTCAGGAGTTCGAAACCAGCCTGGCCAACATGGTGAAACCCCATCTCTACTAAAAATACAAAAAAATTAGCCGGGCATGGTGGTGGGTGCCTGTAATTCCAGCTACTCGGGAGGCTGAGGCAGGAGAATCACTTGAACCCAGGAGGTGGAGGTTACAGTGAGCCGAGATCACACCATTGTACTCCAGCCTGAGTGACAAGAATGAAACGCCATCTCAAAAAAAAAAAAAAAAGAAAAGAAAGCAAAGACAGGGTATCCACGCAATGGAATATTACTCAGCCATAAAAAGAAATGAAATCCTGACCCATGCTGTGACGTGGATGAACCTGGAAAACATGATGTGAAGGGAGAGAAGCCAGACATAAAAGGTCACTTTTTTTTTTTTTGGTTTTTTTTTTTTTTTTGAGACGGAGAGTTGCCCAGGCTAGAGTGCAGTGGTGCCATCTCGGCTCACTGCAACCTCCACCTCCTGGGTTCAAGCGGTTCTTCTGCCTCAGCCTCTGGAGTAACTGGGACAACAGGTGTGCAGTCACATGTTTTATGATGATTCCACGCATATAAAATGTCCAGAATGGGCAAATCTATAGAGAGAGAAAGCAGATTTGTGGTTGCCAGCGGGTAGGCGGGGTGGGGAAATGGGAATGACTGCTTCATGCGTATAAAGTTTTCTTCTGGGATGATGAAAATGTTCTGGAAATGGATGGTAAAGATGGTTGCAAAATATTGTGACTGTACCAATGACATGGAATTGCACACTTGAAGATGGTTAGTTTTATGGTAAGAGAAAACTGAAACTGAGCTTCTGTCTTGTTTATGGCTGAATTTACAGTGCCTAGCATGGTGTGCGCCCAGAGCTGTGCTTGGTAAATATTTGTGGAAAGACAGACGGCCTGAACGTGTGCGTTAAATGCAGGGGAATTCCTGGAGCTGACTGTGATGCCGCCCTCTCCTTCTGTCTCTGGAGAGACAAACACACTTGTGACTGCCTGAGTTCTGACCACAGTCCAGCAGCCCCTGATGGAACCCATCTGCTGCTCCTTGGACTCTGGGCCTCTCATCCCACTGCTGATGTGCAGGGCTGTGGACACACAAGGAGCATTTCCTGGCTGAAGCTCCGGGACTGGACCCCACTCACAGGAGAGGCGGATGGGGGAGAAGGAAGAGGAGAAATGTTTGTCTCAGCACAAACCACTGCCATTTCCAGGGAAGCTGCTGTCACCCTGAGTGTGGCTCAAAGCAGAGGCTCTGGAGTCAGAGGGAGCCGAGACCCTCCCATGCCTGGCTGCCCATGCATTAACTAGGCACATACAGTCTCATGCTCACACGCACACGGCCCACAAATGCTGCTTCCCACGGGCTGCAGAGGAGATGGGCAATTCCTGTGTGCAGCTCTCAGACACATCAGGGACCCATTTCCTAGGAGCCCTGTGGGGAGCTCCACATTCCTCAGATTGGATTCAGCCAGTGATTAGCTACCGGGAAGTTGGCTGGAGTTTTCAAACCACTCCCACTTTCTCAGTAGCCTCCAAGCCCCAAAACAACCTCCATTCCACAAGAAGCACCACCCCTTTCCCTGAGGGCCTTTGTCACTCGGACAGCACTTTATGACTTGTTTGTGTTTTTTTTTTTTTGTTTTTTTTTTTGTTGTTGTTTTTTGAGTCTTGCTCTGTTGCCCAGGCTGCAGGCTGGAGTGCAGTGTCATGATCTTGGCTCAGGTTCAAGTAATTCTCCTGCCTCAGCCTCCTGAGTAGCTGGGATTACAGGTGTGCACCACCATGCCTGGCTAGTTGTTTTTTTGTATTTTTAGTAGGGACGGGGTTTCACCATGTTGGCCAGGCTGGTCTTGAACTCCTGACCTCAAGTGATCCGCCCCCCTTGGCCTCCCAAAGTGCTGGGATTACAGGCGTGAGTCATCACGCCTGACGGACTGGTTTTTGCTAATCATCCAAATATGCCAGATGCTGCAATTGTCAAGGAGGAAATGTGTGCATCTTATTTTACTTCTGATACAAGGGTCATCTCTGCAACTTCCTGAGTTCCATCTCAACTGCAACCTTCCCAGGCACGAGGAACTCATTATAGTAACAGTAATAACAGCAAACGGCTGGGCGTGGTGGCTCACGCCTGTAACCCCAGCACTTTGGGAGGCCGAGGCAGGCGGATCGCCTGAGGTCAGGAGTTCAAGACCAGCCTGGCTAACATGGCGAAACCCCATCTCTACTAAAAATACAAAAATTAGCTGGGCATGGTGGCGTGTGCCTATAATCCCAGCCACTTGGGAGTCTGAGGCGGAAGAATCGCTTGAACCTGGGAGGCGGAGGTTGCAGTGAGCCGAGATTTCGTCATAGCACTCCAGCCTGGGTAACAAGAGTGAAACTCTGTCAAAAAAAAAACAAAAAAAACAGCAAACAATGGTGTCATTTGTTAGGCACCTCCTAATGGCCAGACACCCTTTAGGTGCTTTATATTTTATACCAGCATCATCACCCTGTACTGTGGAGCATTATCAGGCCCATGTTACAGAGGGAGATAAAGGATCAAGCCAGTGAATGACCTTACCTAAGAATAACAGATCTGGACAGAGATGTAGTTGGCTCCAGCCAGAGCCCATGCTCTTGACCCCCAGGCAGAGCTGAGAGAGCTGAGGTTTGAGTTCAGGCCAGCTGTTCCCTTCTTGCACAACTTTCCTTGTTCAAAATTCTTCAAGATTCTTTCCTTATAGTGAGCTGGATCTGCCTTTTAGGGCCACAGAGAACACACACACGTACACACACACACACTCCCTCTCTCCCTTTTCCTCTCCACTGCCCTTCAGAAATTGGAGGACACCACCCAGTTCACCCAAAATCTTGTCTTCCAGGCGAAACAACCACTGCCCCGTGAGCTCATCCTTGGATGTCAGGTTTTCCAGCCCCTGTAACCACTGCTTCGTTGCAGTTTGTAAAGGTCCCTCTTAGAGGGGCCTTATCCCATGTGCTGCTGACTCAGCTCAGACTGCCGGGAGCCTCCATCCTTTGCTGGGACCCCCCTCACTGCTATTAGCACAGGAAGAATTGTGACTCCAAGCAGGTCTGGCCACATCATTTGTAAAGTCCAGTACAAAATGAAAATGCAAAGCCCCTTGTTCAAAAATTGTTAAGGCTCACGCCTGTAATCCCAGCACTTTGGGAGGCAGAGGCGGGCGGATCACGAGGTCAGGAGGTCGAGACCATCCTGGCTAACACGGTGAAACCCCGTCTCTACTAAAAAAAAAAAATACAAAAAATTAGCCGGGCGTGATAGCGGGGACCCGTAGTTCCAGCTACTCGGGAGGCTGAGGCAGGAGAATGGCGTGAACCTGGGAGGCGGAGCTTGCAGTGAGCCGAGATCGTGCCACTGCACTCCAGCCTGGGCGACAGAGCGAGACTCCGTCTCAAAAAAAAAAAAAAAAAAAAGAGAATTTCAAGACAGGGACAGAAAAAATTAAAGCAAGCCTAGGGGTTCCTTCTTCGTGCAGGGCCCTGTGTGACTGCAGGAAGCCGGCCCAGATTCCAAGCTCAGGACGACTCGACAAAGGGCGAGTAAGGAAGACACGTCCTAATCAAAACCCACACAAACATAACATCAGAGATAGCTGAAGACACAATCAGCTTGGTAGGGCCTCTCATGATATAGCAAATACCAACATGTTATTATGAATAATAACATGAGCAGTAAACAGCAGCTAGCATCCTTTTGTGCTTCCTCCCAGCCAAGCAACAAGCAATTTTTTTTTTCTTTTCTGAGACAAAATCTGGCTCTGTCACCCAGGCTGGAGTGCAGTAGTGAAATCTCAGCTCACTGCAGCCTCCGCCTCCCAAGTTCAAGCAATTCTCATGCCTCAGCCTCCCAAGTAGCTGGGATTACAGGCGCCCGCACCACACCCAGCTAATTTTTGTATTTTTAGTAGAGATGGGGTTTCGTCATGTTGGCCAGGCTGGTCTCGAACTCCTGGCCTCAAGTGATCTGCCTGCCTCGATCTCCCAAAGTGTTGGGATTACAGGCGTGAGCCACCAGGCCTGGACGCAATTTTTTTTTTATTTTTTTTTTTGGAGACAGAGTCTCACTCTCTCACCAGGCTGGAGTGCAATGGCGTGATCGCGGCTCTCTGCAAGCTCTGCCTCATGGGTTCAAGTGATTCTCCTGCCTCAGCCTCCCAAGTATCTGGGACTGCAGGTATGCGCCACCATGCCCAGCTAATTTTTGTATTTTTTTTAGAGACAGGTTTCACCATGTTGGCCAGGCTGGTCTCGAACTTCTGACCTCGTGATCCGCCTGCCTCGGCCTCCCAAAGTGCTGGGATTACAGGCGTGAGTCACCGGGCCTGGCCTGTTTTTTAATTTTTATACTTTTTTCTTAAAAATGAAGACACAAACACACACGTTAGCCTAGGCCTACGCAGGGGCAGAATCATCAATATCACTGTCTTCCACCTCCACATCTTGTCCCACTGGAAGGTCTTCAGGGGCAATAACAGGCATGGAGCTGTCATCTCCTATGATGACAATGTTTCTTCTGGAATCCTTCCTGAAGGACCTATCTGAGGCTGTTTTACAGTTATCTTTTTTTTTTTTTGAGACAACACTGTCATGCAGGCTGGAGTGCAGTGCTGGGATCGTGGCACACTGCAGCCTCAATTCCTGGGCTCAAGTGATCCTCTTGCCTTAGCCTCCCAAAGTGCTGGGACTATAAGTGTGAGCCATATGCCAAGTCTTTTTTTTTTTCTTTAATAAACCTTAGAGTGGTACAATGGCTAAGACATCACTAGGTGATAGGAATTCTTCAGGTCCATTATAATCTATGGGATCACCATCACGTATGCAGTCAGTTGTTAACCAAAATGTCATCATGAGGCACATGACCATAAATATATCCTTTTATATAAAAGTAGGAGCCAGGCATGGCAGCTCACACCTGTAATCCCAGCACTTTGGGAGGTTGAGGGAGGAGGATTGCTAAAGGCTGGGAGTTCAAGACCAGCCTGGGCAACATAATGAGACCTCATTTCTAAAATCAAATTTTTAAAAATTAGCCAGGCGTGGTGGCTCACACCTGTGTTCCCAGCTACTCAGGAAGCTGAGATGGGAGGATCACTTGAGCCCAGAAGGTTGAGGCTGCAGTGAGCAGTGATTGCACTGCTGCACTCCAGCTTCCTGGATGACAGAGTAAGACCCTGTGTCAAGGAAATGCAGATAGATAGAGAGATAGAGAGATAAATAGATAGATAGATAGATAGATAGATAGATAGATAGATAGATAGATAGATTTACTATGCCATATAATTGGCTCATGTGATTACGGCAGCTGAGAAGTACCATTAACTGCTGTCCGCCCGCTGGAGACCCAGGAGAGCTGGTGGGGCAGTTCAGAGTCCAGAGGCCTGAGAACCAGGAAGCCAATGGTATAAATTTCAGTGCAAGAGCAGAAGATGAGAGGAGATGTCTCAGCTCAAGCAGGCAGGCAAGGAAAAAGGTGCAAATTCCTCCTTCCTCTGCCTTATTATTATTATTATTCTTATTTTGAGACAGAATCTCACTCTATCTCCCAGGCTGGAGTGCCCTGGTGCAATCTCAGCTCACTGCAACCTCTACCTCCCAGGTTCAAGCGATTCTCCTGCCTCAGCCTCCTGAGTAGCTGGGATTACAGGCGCATTTCACCACGCCTGGCTAATTTTTGTATTTTATTTATGTATTGTATTTATTTATTTTTTAATTTATCTTTTTTGAGACGGAGTTTCACTCTGCAGCCCAAGCTGGAGTACAGTGGCGCGATCTCTGCTCACTGAAAGCTCTGCCTCCCCGGCTCAAGCAATTCTTGTGCCTCAGCCTCCTGAGTAGCTGGCACTACAAGCGTGCGCCGTCACATCTGGTTAATTTTTTGTATTTTAGTAGAGACACGGTTTTACCATGTTGCCCAGGATGGTCTCGAACTCCTGAGCTTAGGCTCTCTGCCCGCCTCAGCCTCCCAAAGTGCTGGGATTACAGACGTGAGCCACTGCACCCAGCCAAATTTTTGTATTTTTAGTAGAGGCGGGGTTTCACCATGTTGGCTAGGCTGGTCTTGAACTTCTGACCTCAAGTGATCCACCTGCCTCAGCTTCCCAAAGTGCTGGGGTTACAGGCGTGAGCCACTGTGCCCAACCTGCCTTTTGTTTTATTCAAGCCCATAACAGATTGGACGATGCCCACTGCCACTGGGGAGGGCACTGTATTGTGTCTGTGGATTCAAATGCCAATCACAGCCTCACAGACATACCCAGAGACAATGTGTAATCTGGGCACCTTTGGCCAATGAAACTGACCCAAAAGACTAACCACCACAAGTCCACCCCTTGTCAACTAGGTACCCTGTAGACATTTCCTAAACCGTACTTAATCTCCAAGTAAAGACAAAGCAAAGTCATAATTCCACCTAACACGATGCAACTCTCCTGCATACACCAGAAACACACTCATCCCTTCCCCGGAAGAGGAGGTAAGAAGAGGAGAGTGATGTTTACGCTTCTCCTTGATATCCCATAGCTTAAATACTATGATATAAAATCAATACATCTTATGTTACATGATAAGAGAGTAAGAGAGGAAAAGAAACAAAGATATATATATATATATATATATATATACACACACACACAGACACACATGCAGAGAAAAATAAAGAGGAAAAACTGATGACAATCACAGTCTCTGTTTCTGTGGCTGACCACATGGTTATAGCTGGTATTTAAAACCACCTTCTTCCACTACTGGTTCTGTACAACCTTTGCCTTCAGCAAGCACCTCAGCTGGTCATGTTTTTTTTTTTTTTTTTTTTTTTTTGTCACCCAGGCTGGAGTGCAGTGGTACGATTTTGGCTCAATGCAGCCTCGACCTCCCGGGCTCAAGCGATCCTCCCACCTCAGTCTCCCAAGTAGCTGGGACCACAGGCACGCAGTTTCTGTATTTTTGGTAGAGGTGGGGTCTCTCCATGTTGGCCAGGCTGGTCTCAAACTCCTGACCTCATGTGATGCTCCCGCCTCAGCCTCCCAAATTGCTGGGATTACAGGTGTGAGCCACCACACCCAGCCAGTCGTGATTCTTTATCTGGGTGGAGTGACACCCAAACCTTCATTCCTGAAGGGTCTGGGCCATTCATAGTCCGATCTAGATTGGGTTATTGTCATTTTCCACAGGCCATGGTGATACTAAGAGATGGCCTAAGGAGGCCGGGCGCTGTGGCTCACGCCTGTAATCTCAACACTTTGGGAGGCCAAGGTGGGCGGATCATGAGGTCAGGAGATCGAGACCATCCTGGCTAACACGGTGAAACCCTATCCCTACTAAAACTACAAAATATTAGCCGGGTGTGGTGGCGGGCTCCTGTAGTCCCAGCTACTCGGGAGGCTGAGGCAGGAGAATGGCGTGAACCCGGGAGGCGGAGCTTGCAGTGAGCCGAGATCGCACCACTGCACTCCAGCCTGGGCGACAGAGCCACACTCGTCTCAAAAAAAAAAAAAAAAAAAAAAGACATGGCCTAACGGGTCTCCTGCATTCCACACTCTTCCCTACCTCCATTGTGGAGCAGCAGCCCAATGTCCCCTTGGTGATCTGGATCAGTCACCCCAGCCCACACCATAGCTCCCTTCTTTCCCTGTTGACCCAGAGGCATGAGGAGCCCAAAGTGGCCGGGTGGCATCTTAACTTCCAGCTCAAAGGAATTGTTGTGTCTCCCGCTGGAAACACTCCTCCCTCTGGAACTAAGATCTTTAGGCCAACAGAGAATAAAGTCACAAGAATAAGAAGCACACATTTTTCCAGTAGGCCACTCAGAGTAATAGTGAGTGGTGCCACTCCCATTTTCACCTTTTGATTCCAGACCCATGAACCTTGGCTTTCAGAGAAACAGCACCATATATGGGCCGCTGGTTAAGAACATACACAGCGCGTGGCTGGGAGCGGTGGCTCATGCCTATAATCCCAACACTTTGAGAGGCTGAGGCTAGCGGATAATCTGAGATCAGGAGTTCAAGACCTGCCCAGGCAACATGGTGAAACCCCATCTCTACCAAAAAATACAAAAATTAGCCGGGTGTGATGGTACACACCTATAGTCCCAGCTACTTGGGAAGCTGAGGCTCAGGAACCTGGGAGTCTGAGGTTGCAGTGAGCCGAGATCGTGCCACTGCACTCCAGCTGGGGTGACAGAACAAAAGAAAAAAAAAAAGCAAGAATAAAGAAAAGATGGCTGTGTGCGGTGGCTCACACCTGTAATCCCAGCACTTTGGGAGGCTGAGGTGGGTGGATCACCTGAGGTCCAGACTTCAAGACCAGCCTGACCAACATGGTGAAACCTCATTTCTACTAAAAATACAAAAAATTAGCCAGGCATGGTGGCTCATACCCATATCCTAGCTACTTGGGAGGTTGAGGCAGGAGAATCGCTTGAACCCGGGAGATAGAGGTTGCAGTGAGCTGAAATCGTGCCACTGCACTCCAGCCTGGGCAACAGAGTGAAACTCCGTCTCAAAAAAAGAAAAAAGAAAAGTGCACAACTAGGTACACTGCTTAAGTTTCTGCCCGCTGGGAGGATGACCCTTCCCCACTGTCCCTCAGGGGTGTCCCAGAGGGGAGCTGTAGTGCTGCAGTTGGCCACCTTCAGAGGATGCCCACATATCCTGCAGAACCATCCATAAACCAGGCCTGAGTCTCCTCTTCCTCGGTCACCTGATAGCAGGGAACTCCCTGTGAGCCATGGGTGCTTGAAGAGAGAAGGCAGGGTTGCAGGAGTGGGGACCTTCAGCATTTGGGCCACTTCATGTCACTTACTTCTGCCTTCAGGGCCTGCTCTGGCCTGGCCATGTATCTACCACTTCTAGGTGATGATGGGGTGCTGCTGTGCACACCCAACTTTATGGCTTGGCGGTCAAATCGCACCCAGTTCATGATGAGAAGCTCAAGTCACATGGTAATTTGGTTGTCCACGGTTAGGTGTTCAGTCTCCACTAAGGCCCTGTTCTGAACCTTACCCAAAACTAGTAGCTTTTTAGGTCACTCGGTAAATGGGCTGGAGTAACTAACACACCCAGATAAGGCATATGTTGCCTCCACACTGGGCATTGTGCCTCTTTTTTGCTTGCAGGAGAGGCGTAGTGCAACAATTTATCTTTCACCTTCAAAGAGACATCTGGACAGGCCCCACACCACTGGACTCCCAGAAATTTCGCTGATAAAGAACTCTGAATTTTACTCATATTTATTTCTAACCTTGACATGCAAATGTCTTACCAACAAGTCTAGATTACTTTTTTTTTTTTTTTTTTGGGGAAGGAGTCTCACTCTGTCATCCAAGCAGGAGTGCAGCGATGCAATCTCGGCTCACTTCAACCTCCGCCTCCCAGGTTCAAGCAATTCTCCTGCCTCAGCCTCCTGAGTAGCTGGGACTACAGGAGCCCGCCACCACGCCCGGCTAATTTGTTTTGTTTTGTTTTTGTTTGTTGGTTTTTTTTTTTTTTGAGACAGAGTCTCGCTCTGTCACCAGGCTGGAGTGCAATGGCGTGATCTCGGCTCACTGCAACCTCCACCTCCCGGGTTCAAGAGATTCTCCTGCCTCAGCCTCCCAAGTAGCTGGGACTACAGGCACAAGCCACCATGCCCTGCTAATTTTTGTATTTTTAGTAGAGACAGGGTTTCACCATGTTGGCCAGGCTGGTCTCAAATTCCTGACCTCAGGCCTCGGCCTCCCAAAGTACTGGGATTATAGGTGTGAGCCACCATGCCCGACCTAGATTACTTATTGCTACCAATACTTCTTGCTCACGAGTTCCAATCAGAATAATGTCATCAGGTCGGGCTGGTACAGCAGCTACAATGGAGTTACCACCTGGTTAAATGTATCATAATCCACTGTCATTCTCCAAGATCCATCTGTTTTCTGCACAGGACAAATAGGAGGGTTGAAAGGGGATGTGGGGAGAATCTTCAACCCTGCATCTTTCCAGTCCTTAATGGTGGCACTCATCTCTGCAATCCATCCAGGAATAAAGTGCTGCTTTTGATTTCCTAGGTAGAGGCAGTTCTAATGGCTTCTGCTCGACTTTTCCCACCATCAGGAAATCAATGTGGGATTCTGTCAGCTGCTCATATGTCTGTTCCAATTATGCACCTGGAGCTGGGAAAATAGCCGCAGGATGGGCTCAAGGACCCACTGGACACACTGTGAGAAGGACCTGAGTGAAAACTCGTGGGTCACGTGACCTTCATAAGCCCCTGCTTTGACTAGAGGGCCACAGTGACAGGTGAGGTCTCCTGGTGTCAGTATCAGTTCAGAGCCAGTGTCCAGTAGTCCCTGGGATATCTGATTATTTCCTTTCCCAGCGCAGTTACCCTGGTAAAGGTCTCTTTAGGGGAAGGTTGGGAGAAAGATTGGGAGTATAAATTTTTAGTAGCATACCAAAGTCCTTCGCCAAGGGGACCTAGCCTCTTCTTCATTCAAGAGGTCCTGGGTCTATAAACTGTCTCAAGTGTGAGGATTCATGGAGGGGCCATGACTTTTTTTTTGAGGCGGAGTTTCGCTCTTGTTACCCAGGCTGGAGTGCAGTGGCCTGATCTTGGCTCACCGCAACCTCCGCCTCCTGGGTTCAAGCAATTCTCCTGCCTCAGCCTCCTGAGTAGCTGGGATTACAGGCATGTGCCATCACGCCAGGCTAATTTTTGTATTTTTAGTAGAGACAGGGTTTCTCCATGTTGGTCAGGCTGGTCTCGAACTCCTGACCTTAGGTGATCTGCCCACCTCGGCCTCCCAAAGTGCTGGGATTACAGGCGTGAGCCACCGCGCCCGGCTTTTTTTTCTTTTGAGATGGAGTCTCGTTCCCCTCACGCAGACTGGAGTGCAGTGGCGCGATCTTGGCTCACTGCAACTTCTGCCTCCTGGGTTCAAGCGATTCTCCTGCCTCAGCCTCCTGAGTAGCTGAAACTACAGGCACTCACCGCCATGCCTGGCTAATTTTTTGTACCGTAGTAGAGATGGGGTTTCACCGTGTTGCCCAGGCTGGTCTCAAACTCCTGAGCTCAGGCAATCCGCCCGCCTCGGCCTCCCAAAGTGCTGGGATTATAGGCATGAGACACCACGCCTTGCCAATATTGACAAATTATTAGTGAGATATTTTACTTTTTTTTCCATATTAGGTCTCAAGGCCCAGTGTTGATTTTACACTCACTGCACGTGTCAGTTGGACTCAATTTGGACTCACCACATTTTGGGCCCTCGGTGATCACACCTGGCTTGTAGCTGCCATATTGGGCAGCACAGTTCTATAAAAAGAGATGGGTGAGAGTTATTTACTTTTTACTACATAATAAAGTGTTCTAGGGCCAGGTGCAGTAGTGGCTCACACCTGTAATCCCAGCACTTTGGGAGGCCAAGGCAGAAAGACTGTTTGAGACCAGGAGTTCGAGACCCCATCTCTACAAAGAAACAAAAAGCTAGCCGGCCATGGTGGCACAGGCCTATAGTCCCAGCTACTCGGGAGGCTGAAGCAGGAGGATTGCTCCAACCCAGAAGCTCGAGGCTGCAGTGAGCTATGATCATGCCTGTGAATAGCCACTGCACTCCAGCCTGGGCAACATGGCAAGAGCCCATCTCAAAAACAAAACAAACAATACAAAGATGAAGCTGCCTTTGAGGGAGGTGCCCAAGTCGCGGGCTGATTTTGAGCAAGCTGGTCTTAAAGGTCACCTCTACAAACTCTAACTTAATGCAGAAAGAGCAGCAAAAATCACTCTTCCCTCCATCTGTGAAATGGGAAATGTTAAAAAAGAAACAAAAACAAAAACAAAAAAAACTCCCCTTTCCATCCAAGATAATAATCCCAAACTAGGGGCTGAGTTTCACTGTTTGAAAAGTGCTTATTTTCTGTAACCACTTCATGCATTAAGCTTTCTTTTTTCTTTTTTTTTTTTTCTGAGATGGAGTCTTGCTCTGTCACCCAGGCTGGATTACAGTGGTGTGATCTCAGCTCACTGAAACCTCCGCCTCCTGGGTTCAAGCGATTCTCCTGCCTCAGTCTCCGGAGTAGCTGGGATTACAGGTGCCTGCCACCACGCCCGGCTAATTTTTTGTATTTTTAGGAGAGACAGCGTTTCACTATGCTGGCCAGGCTAGTCTCGAACTCTCACCTCAAGTGATCCACCCACCTTGGCCTCCCAAAGTGCAGGGATTACAGGCGTGAATCAGCGTACCCTGCCACATTAAACCTTTTTTTTTTTTAGACAGAGTCTGGCTCTGTCACCATGCTGGAGTGCAGTGGTATGATGTTGGCTCACTGCAACCTCCGCCTCCCAGGTTCAAGTGATTCTCTTCCCTCAGCCTCCTAAGCAGCTGGGACTACAGGCGTGCGCCACCACACCTGGCTAATTTTTGTATTTTTAGTAGAGACAGGGTTTCACCATGTTGGCCAGGATGGTCTCGATCTCTTGATCTCATGATCCACCCACCTCGGCCTCCCAAAGTGCTGGGATTACAGGTGTGAGCCACCGCACCCAGCCACATTAAACTTTCTTGACCCATTTGCAGACAAGGGGAATCCGAGTCCTGGAGAGGCCAAGTAACCTGCCCACGATGGCCCATCAGCTAAGGAGCAGGAAGGAGAGAAGCTCTGAGCCCCTGCCTGGTTACCACCAGGCTCTACTGCTTCCTAGCTGAGCACCATACTGAGCCTCACTTCTTCCTTCTCTAAAATGGACATGATAATAGACCTTCCTCCTAGGATTACTGAGATAGTCCAGGTAGGAAATCATACCTGGTGTTACATGTAAGCTATCACTGCTATTGGTATTGCTGTTGTTATTTCAACAACTGAGACTCAACCAGGCCAGGCTAATCCCAGAGGCAAAGCTTTTATGCAGAGGACAAGCTTTTAACCAGTCCCACCAGCTAAAAGGGGTAGAAAGTGAGTAAACCAACCACATTTACTCTGAGACAGTCAACAAATACACAGCAGCCGCTTAGGACACACAAGGAAGTTAACTCATCCCCCTCATGACCTTGGGTCGCCAGGGTTAGATGTGCTTCTGCCAACATAGCCCGAGGAGGAGGGAGTGTTTTGTGGGAGCCGCTTAACACCCTGTCCTCCGCACCCGGTGAGGTCAGCACCCACTTTCCCACAACTATTGGGTAAACATACACCCAGCAAACCCTGCCTGAGGCCCAGGGCCAGGGACTCACGTGTGAAGGTCTGCAGCCTTCCACTGACTATTAGTGCAATGGGGTAGAGACTGGTAGAGAAAGCATTGTCTCAGGCTGGGTGCAGTGGCTCATGCCTGTAATCTCAGCACTTTGGGAGATCGAGGCAGGAGGATCACTTGAGCCTTAGGAGTCTGAGACCAGCCTGGGCAATACAGGGAGATCTTGTCTCTACAAAAAGTTAAAAAAAAAAAAAATAGCCAGGCATGGTGGTGTATGTCTGTGGTCCTAGCTACTTAGGAGGCTGAGGAGGGAGGATCACTTGAGGCTGGGAGGTCGAGGCTGCAGTGAGCCATGATCATGCCACTGCACTCCAACCTAGGTGCAAGAAAGAAAGAAAAGAAAGAGAGAAAGAGAGACAGAGAGAAAGAAAGAAAGGAAGAAAAAAGAAAGAAAGAAAGAAACAAAGAAACAAACAAACAAAGAAGGAAGGAAAGAAACAAAGAAAGAAAGAAACCAACAAAGAAAGAAAGAAAGAAGGAAGGAAGGAAAGAAAGAAAGAAACAAAGAAAGAAAGAAAGAAAGAAAGAAAGAAAGAAAGAAAGAAAGGAAGGAAGGAAGGGGAGAGAGAAGGAAGGGAGGGAGGGAGGGAGGGAGGGAGGAAGGAAGAAAGGGAGGGAAGGATGGGTTTGTCTCTCAACGTAAGAACCAAAATGAAGACATGTGTGTCTACCAGGTGAGGAGAGAAGTACGGAGAAGAAAGGGGAGGGTTGGTGGGTCCCCCAGGAGCCTGGTTGGCTGGTTGGAAACCAGAGGGTGTACTGGACAAGGCCCAGAATGCGGACCTGCCTGGGCCCCAATAAGGGGTCCCTCCCCATCCACAGGTAGACGCATCGCCCCGAGGTAGACACATGTCCCCTAGGGAAGAAGCCTTCGGCTACTCCTCACGTGCAAGTCACATGCTCCTCTCCCTGCTGGCACCACCATGGCCACAGCTGATGGGCAGGGGTGAGCACCTGGCTGCAAGCAGCCAATGGCGAGGCCAGCCAGCAGCCAATGAAATCAACAGCCCGATGTGGGCCTGGGCTGAGACCCACCCCCCAGAGGAGGCTGGGCTCGTGGCCAAGGACTCGGCTGCCAGCAGCAGGAGCGGCCACAAGAATGTGTACCCCTGGGGATGACAAGAAGCCCCTACAGTGAAATCCACTTCGGCTCTTCACGGGCCCTGGGGTCTTCACCTGGGTCCTGTGCCCACGAGGTCTTGGGCCCCAGCATCCTCACAGTAAACCCCTTTATCCCGGGGTCCTCAGTGCACGTCTGGCCCAGCAACGGCAATGAAACCAACAAACTGCCACACACTAGAGCTGGGTCCTGCGGCTCTGCCACCTGCTCTGTCAAACGCTGGGGTCCCCAGAAGCCACGGCCCCTGCCAAAGGTCATTTTGGGTCTCATTTGTCATCTGGGTACTTAGGGTAAAACGATATTTTCTGTGCAAGCCCCTCATTGCTTCCCTGTCTCTCCCATCCCCTAACTCCACCACCATGAAGGCCTCCCTGCTCTCACCCACTCCAAGAGCTGGATTTTCCCTGGCACAGAGAGCATAGCACCGACCCAGACAAGCCCTTTGCCACATGCGTCCTGCCAGGCATGATTCTGGCCACAAGGATGCATCAACTGCCACTGGAGCTGTGGGTGTGTTGTCACTGTGAAGCACATTGCAGCAGCAGCTGAGAGGAGAGACCAACCAGCACCCTGGGGAGGGGGCTGCATGCAGAGGTTGGGAAGTCACACTTTGGCTTCAAGCCAAGCAGAAGATCTGGCCCAAGAAAACAGGCTCATACCTCCTGGACAGGGTGGCCAAGAGACAGAGCTTCAGCTCAGGCTGGGACGCCAGTTGGGCAATAAAATTAATGACAATAATTATTATTATATAACAATGTTGATGACATTACTGGCCAACTTTACCTGCCAGACACTATGCTTGGTGCTTTATGTAGATCAGTTCATTGCCCTCATGTAGCAATCCTAGGAGGTGGGTCTATTATTATCTCTATTTTATTTTATTTTATTTTATATTTTTTAGAGGCAGAGTCTTGCTCTGTCACCCAGGCTGGAGTGCAATGGTGTGATCTTGGCTCACTGCAACCTCTGGCTCCCAGTCTCAAGCAATTCTCCTGCCTCAGCCTCCCGAGTAGCTGGGACTTCAGGTGCGTGCCACCACACCTGGCTAATTTTTTTTGTATTTTTTAGTAGAGACAGGGTTTCACCATGTTTGCCAGGCTGGTTTTGAACTCCTGACCTCAGGTGATCCACCTGCCTTGGCCTCCCAAAGTGCTGGGATTACAGGCATGAGCTACCTCGCCCGGCCTAATATCCCCATTTTAGAGATGAGAAAATTGAGGTTCAGAGGAGTGACATGACTTAACCAATGTCTGTGCTAAACTACAGTAAGATAGATAGATAGATAGATAGATAGATAGATAGATAGATAGATAGATAGATAGATAGATACCTATGTCTAACTACCTACCTACCTACCTATTGACCTATCTACCTACCTACCAACCTGCCTATCTCTCTATCTATGTGATATATATGAAAAAGACTCTTCAGAGAACTGACTCTGCTGATGCCCAGAATAGGGTGCGGGAGACTCATCAAGCTGATCTCCCATGCTGGGCCCAGCTGGATGTTCTGACTTTACCCAGAGTATCCAGATTTCAATTAACTATCTCGGAACCACAGTAAAGGAGCGTGTGCGCTATAGTTGATTGCTCAGCCCGAGCACAGGGCTGGGTAATCTTACTCCCAGAGGGTTCTGAGGTTGGAGCCTGGAATGGACCAGCTCTCTCCCTTGCCATTCAGCCCCACCCCCACCCCTGGAGCCAGGGACTCAAGCAGCCCAGCTTGACAGTCCTGGGAGGCCTGACCCCCGGCTGGGATCTCGTCATCAGCAATGCACCCAGGCTCTGGGGACAGCATGGTCTAGGGCCTCTGAATTGGCCATTATCCTAGCGGGAAGAAATGCTTCTCCCTCCAGGCTGAAAGCTGTCTTTGCTCCCAGTGATCACTTGCTCCCCAGCTCTGCACAGATTGACCCGCACACCTAGGCAGGCAAACACAGCAGTCCTAAGACCAAGAGCCAGGGTGAGGCCCTGGCAGAACAGCCATTGGAATGGGATGCCGGAGTGTCCCCAGATGGCGCCCGGGGGTGGGGTGGACCTCTTGCCACAGCAGAGTCTCCAACTGGAGCCTGGGGTTCACCCAAGACAGCCGTGGCCCTCCCTCTCACCACTTACCCCGTCCCCAGGCGCCTCTGCCTGAGCTCATCAGGCAATGACCGCAGTGACGTCACCCGGGAGGCCACGGCCAGCTTGAAATCCAGGGAGCTCCAGGATCCTGCCTGCTCCTCCCTCTCTCTCTAGCATGACTCAGGCAGGGACTGGCCCTGGGCTGCGGAAAGGCTCTCCACTTTTACACAATTGCTTTCCTCACTCAAACCACAGGCCCTGTGGGGGCCCCCTCCTCTGTCTCTCAACCCTCTGCGGTTAGGGTTCAGATGCTGGGCAGATGAAGACCCTGTTTGCTGCGAGAAGCCAAGACCAAGCCTCAGGAAATTGCCACAGTGAAGGGAAGCTTCCTCCGGAGACACCCTCTGCCTTGCACTACTGGGTCCCGTCAGAGCTTCTTCATCCTCCCTCCTCCCTCCTCCTCTTCCCATCTCCTCCTCCCCTTTCCTCTTCTCTAACCAAGAAAGTGACTTGATAACTAAATTCAACTTGTTAGTGACAGGACCTATGATTTTTCCAAAGGGTTGCTATATTTCTGAAAAACAAAGTCTGGTAGTAGAACATGTGTTCATTCATTCATTCATTCACGGAGGCGTGGAAGAGCAGTTAAAATCACGGTCAGACACCCTGTGGGTGTGTCCCAGCTCCTCTGCCATTCGCCACCTTTGCAACCATGGCCCAGTGACTTCCAGTCACTCCCCCATCCCCTCATGTGGGCTATGTTCTGGCTTGTTAAGATGAGGCTTGCTGGGGGCTCCCGGCAGTTAGGACCCGCCCAGGGCAAGGTGATGATTAGGAGAAAGGCTGAGGCTGGGCGAGGTGGCTCACGCCTGTAATCCCAGCACTTTCGGAGGCCTAGGCGGGAGGATCACATGAGGTCAGAGGTTCGAGACCAGCTTGGCCAACATGGTGAAACCCCATCTGTACTAAAAATACAAAAAATTAGCTGGGCGTGGTGGCCGGCACCTGCAATCCCAGCTACTCGGGAGGCTGAGGCAGGAGAATCGCTTGAACCTGGGAGGCGGAGGTTGCAGTGAGCTGAGATCGTGCCACTGCCCTCCAGCCTGGGTGACAGAGCAAGAATCTGTCTCAAAAAAAAAAAAAAGAAAAGAAAAGAAAAAAGAAAGAGGATGTCTCCAAAGGAGATGGGAGGGTTCTAGAAACCCAAATAGTAGAGTAGTAGAGACAGGCCCCAGGGGTGGAGAGGCCCAGGAAGGCAGATTTCTCCTTAATCACAAGGAAAGAAAGAACATTTTCTAGCAACAGAGAGGCTCTGGGGACATGGGATGCACAGCCTCAGGCCCACCTATCACTGAACATGTTCCAGCGTCCTGCAGAGGAGGGAGGCAGGCCTTGGAAAGTTCAGATTCCCCAAAGAGGAATGCATGGAAGCTTCTTTCCCTGCTGTCTACCTTAGTCAGCTCAGGCTGCCATAATAAAATGCCATTGCCAGGTGTGATGACTCACACCTGTAATCTCAGCACTTTGGAAGCCTGAGGCAGAAGGATCACTTGAACCCAGGAGTTCAGGACCAGCCTGGACAACATAGCAAGACCCCATCTCTAAAAAAAAAAAAAAAATAGCTAAGCGTGGTGGCATGCACCTGTAGTCCCAGCCACTTGGGATGCTGAAGCAGGAGGATGCCCTGAGCCCAGCCGTTTGAGGCTGCAGGGAGCCATGATGGTACCACTGCACTCCAGCCCAGGTGACAAAACAAGACCTTGGCTCTAAAATAAATAAATAAATAAATAAAATGCCACAGATTGGGTGCTTAAACAACAGGAATTTATTTCTTATGTTTGTGGAGACTGGGAAGTCCAAGATCCAGGTGCCTTCTCACTGTGTCCTTACATGGTGAGAGAGAGTAGAAGGAAGTTCCCTGGTGTCTCTTTTTATAAGGGTACTGATCCAATCTTGAGGGCCCCACCCTCATGACCTTATCAAACCCTAATCACCTCCGAAAGGCCCCAATCTCCAACGCCATCACATTGGGGATTTGGAGTTTGACGCACAAATTCTAGGGGGACACAATTCGGTCCTTAGCAAAAGGCCCCAATGGGTGTCTGCCCTGCCTCTCAGAACTGCACCCCACACCAGCAAAAGGGGGTGGCAACCTCCATGCTAGATTCCAATAGTATGTATGTATACATGTATGTATGTATGTATGTATGTATGTATGTATGTATGTATGTATTTATTTATTGAGATGGAGTTTTGCTCTTGTCGCCCGGCTGGAGTGCAGTGGTGCGATCTCAGCTCACTGCAACCTCCACCTCCTGGGTTCAAGCAGTTCGCCTGCTTCAGCCTCCCAAGTAGCTGGGATTACAGGCGCCTGCCACCAGGCGCCAGGGAAAAGACAAAGAAAGAAAAAGAAAGAAGAAAGAAAGAAAAAAGAGAGAGAGAGGGAGAGAGGAAGGAAAGAAGGAAGGAAGAAAGAAAGGAAGGAAGGAAAGAAGGGAAGGAGAGAGGGAAGGAAAAGAGACAGACAGAAAGAAAGAAAGAAAGAAAGAAAGAAAGGAAAAAGAGAGAGAAGGAGGGAGGGAGGGAAGGAAAAGACAGAGAAAGAAGAAAGAAAGAAAGAGGGAGAGAGGAAGGAAAGAAGGGAAGGAGGAGGGAGGGAAGGAGGGAGGGAGGGAAGGAAAAGACAGAAAGAAAGAGAAAGAAAGAAGAAAGAAAGAGGAAAGAAAGAAAGAAAAGAGAAAGAAAGAAAGAGAAAGAAAGGAAGGAAGAAAGAAAGAAAGGAAAGAAGGAAGGCAGGGGAGGGAGGAAGGAGGAAGGAAGGATTGATTGATTTTAAAAATGATTATTTAGGATCAGGCGCGGTGGCCTGTAATCCCAGCACTTTGGGATGCTGAGGCGGGCGGATCACCTGAGGTCAGGAATTCGAGACCAGCCTGGACAATATGGCGAAATCCCATCTCTACTAAAAACACAAAAATTGGCTGAGCGTGGTGGCCCATGCCTGTAATCCCAGCTGCTCAGGAGGCTGAGGAGTGAGAATCTCGAACCCAGGAGGCAGAAGTTGCAGTGAGCTGAGATTGCACCATTGCACTCCAGCCTGGAGGACACCACCTCTCTCCATAAAATGTGGGCAGTGGCACCTAGCAGAACGTTCTGAGGATTAAATGAGATTCAGGGTGCACTGCACTTTCCCCAGGCGCCTGGCCTGTGCAAGTTTTCACATGGGCTAGCAATGTTCATTAACCTGGATTCAATTCAGTCTGGGTTCTGGCTTCCCAAGACAACGAAATGCAAGGTTTAATCCTTGATTAGATCTTGAATTTAAAAAACAAAACAGGTTGGGCGTGGTGGCTCACGCCTGTAATCCCAGCACTTTGGGAGGCCTAGGCACGTGGATTACCTGAAGTCAGGAGTTGGAGACCAGCCTGGCCAACATGGCGAAACCCTGTCTCTACTAAAAATACAAAAATTAGCTAGGCATGGTGGCAGGTGCCTGTAATCCCAGCTACTCGAGAGGCTGAGGCAGGAGAATTGTTTGAACCTGGGAGGCGGAGGTTGCAGTGAGCTGAGATTGCGCCACTGCACTCCAGTCTGGGTGACAGAATGAGATCCCATCTCGAAAAAGAAATGAAAAGCAAAGCAAGACGGTATGGGTATTGTGGTTTTGGAAGAGCTCTCCTTAATCTTAGGAGATACATGATGAAGGGTGTAGGGGTGACATTTAAAAATGTCTGCAAAGTGCTTTGAAATAGGTCAGTTAAAAAAAACAAAAAAGAGAGGCCAGGTGTGGTGTGGCTCACACCTGTAATACGAGCACTTTGGGAGGCCAAGGTGGGAGGATCACTTGAGCCCAAGAGTTTAAGACCAGCCTGGTCAACATAATGAGACCAAACTCTAGAAAAAATGCAAAAATTAGTTGGGTGTGGTGTTGCATGCCTGTAGTCTCAGCTACTTGGGAGGCTGAGGTGGGAGGAACGCTTGAGCCTAGGAGGTTGAGGCTGCAGTGTACAAAGATTCCGCCACTGTACCCCAGCCTAGACAACAGAGCAGGACGCTGTCTCAGAAAGAGAGATCATATTGGGATGATGAAAATATTTTAAAACTGACTTATGTTGGTGGTTACACCATAGTAGGTTGGTAAATTGACTATGATGATGTGGTAAAATCCCTAAATTGCACACTTAAAAGGGTAAATTATGATATGGAAAATATGCCTCAATAATGCTACTTGAGACATTCACTGGATTAGACCAAATTGACCGATTTATTTATTTATTTAAGACGGAGTCTCTGTCACTCAGGCTGGAGTGCAACGGTGTGATCTCAGCTCGCTGCAACCTTCGCCTTCTGGGTTCAAGAGATTCTCCTGCCTCAGCCTCTCGAGTAGCTGGATTACAGGCTCATGCTACTATGACCACTTAATTTTTGTATTTTTAGTAGAGATGGGGTTTCATCGTGTTGGCCAGGCTGGTCCTGAACTCCTGACCTCAAGTGATCTGCCCACCTTGGCCTCTCAAAGTGCTGGGATTATAGGTGTAAGCAACCATGCCCCGCCTATTCTTTTTTCTTTTTTTCTTTTTTCTTTTTCTTTTTTTTTTTTTTTTTTGAGACAAAGTCTCACTCTGTCACCCAGGTTGTAGAGCAGTGGCATGATCTCAGCTCACTGCAGCCTTGGTCTCCCAGGCTCAAGTAATCCTCCCATCTCAGCCTCCTGAGTAGCCTGGGACTACATCCTGAGTAGCTGGGACTACGGACACACCACCATGCCCAGCTACTTTTTAAATTTTTCATAGAGACAGGGTCTCACTATGTTGTCCTGGGTAGTCTCAAACTCCTGGACTCAAGTGATACTCCCACCTCGGCCTCCCAAAGTGCTGGGATTACAAGAATGAGCCACCACGCCCAGCCCTGATTTTTTTGTTGTTGTTCATTCCAAACAATTTTAAGTTTATCCCTGTGCTGGCCCTGGGATATGAGCGAGATAACCACCACCCCTTCCCAGAGGAATGCACAGCCCAGTCTAGGCAGAGCAAATACATGGTGAGGATTCTAGGGCCAAGAAGAGGGCAGGGATAAGATCACATGAGCTTAAGTTATGGGGCCCTGCGTGCCTGCTGGAGATAGGATAGTGTTCTCACTCTGTTGCCCAGGGTGGGTGCAGTAGTGCGGTCACAGCTCACTGCACCCTTGAACTCCTGGGCTCAAAGGATCCTCCCACCTTAGCCTCCCAAATAGCTGGGACTACAGGCTAGGTAATGTTATTATCATCCCTACTTTACAGATCAGAAAACCGAAGCCTAGAAAGGCTAAGACCATCACCCAGGGTCACAGAGCTGATCAGGAGCAGAGCCAGAAGATGGACTCAGGGCCTTTATGCCAAAGCCCAGGCATTCAGACTAACACGAATCATTCCAGCCTCCAGAAGGTGCACACGCCTCTGGTTGGTTCAGTGAACAGGGGTGGAATGATATCAATCAGACAAAGGGAAAGGGTCTGGGCATGGCGGTTCACATCTGTAATCCCAGCACTTCGGGAGGCCGAGGTGGGTGGATCACCTGACCTCAGAAGTTTGAGACCAGCCTGGTCAACATGGTGAAACCCCGTCTCTACTAAAAAATACAAAAATTAGCTGGGCGTGGTGTCATGCGCCTGTAATTCCAGCTACTTGAGAGGCTGAGGCAGGAGAATCGTTTGAACCCTGGAGGCTGAGGTTGCAGTGAGCCGAGATCACGCCACTGCACTCCAGCCTGGGCGACAGAGCGAGACTCCATCTCAAAAACAAAACAAAACAAAACAAAAAACCCAAAGGGATAGAAACTGGAATTTCCCTGAACCCCTGTTGGCATCTGTTTTAATGCTTAACAACTGCATCTCGGGTAACTTAGGAGACTAGAAAATAGGTATTTTGGCCGGGTGCGGTGGCTCACGCCTGTAATCCCAGCACTTTGGGAGGCCGAGGCGGGCGGATCACGAGGTCAGGAGATCGAGACCATCCTGGCTAACACGGTGAAACCCCGTCTCTACTAAAAATACAAAAAATTAGCCAGGCATGGTGGTGGGTGCCTGTAGTTCCAGCTACTCGGGAGGCTGAGGCAGGAGAATGGCGAGAACCCGGGAGGTGGAGCTTACAGTGAGCCAAGATTGCGCCACTGCACTCCAGCCTGGGCAGCAGAGCGAGACTCTGTCTCAAAAAAAAAAAAAAAAAAGGAAAAAAAAAAGAAAATAGGTACTTTACCAATACCTGTGAATGGTATTGAATGATATTGCTACTTTAACTAGGGGTTCTTTTGTTACCTGACTCCTGTTTTTCTTTTTCATTTTCTTTTTTTCAAGACAGTTTCACTCTGTTGTCCAGGCTGGAGTGGCACGATTGTGGATCACTGCAGCCTCAAACTCCTGGGTTCAAATGAATCTTCTGCCTCAGCCTCCAGAGTAGCTGGGACTACAGGCACCATGCCACCAGGCCCAGGTAATATTTTATTTTTTGTAGAGACAGGGGTCTTGCTATGTTGCCCAGGCTGGTCTCGAACTCCTGGACTCAAGCAATATGCCCTCCTCAGCCCCACAAAGTGCTGGGATTACCGGCGTGAGCCACCGCACCCAGCTGTGACTGCTGTTTTTCTACCTTTACCTGTCTCTCATGTTCTCAAGTAAATTATCATCCTCTGTTTCTTGCAAAAACTGATTCTTCCTTGTGTCAAGTTGCTAGAAGGATCCCACAGCCCTCCCTCGGGTCTCCCCATTTCTAACCCGTAGTACTGGCCCCATCTAGTGGTTAGATTAGGGAAGTACCCCAGGCTCCCTCGGCCAAGCCCCTGGCGAGGCACGGTTGGGGAGAAATGGATGCTTTCTAGCCCTTCTCTCACCGGCAAAAATAGCAACACTCTTCAGGTTACCAAAGGCCAGATTCTCCTGATGTGTGTAAGCTATCCCTCTAGAGACCATCTTAACTTTTTCATTTAATTATCAACTATTTCATCAAAGATAGAGGAGAGAACATACTCTCCACCCAGATTTAGCAGAGATTACATTTTGCATTTTACTATATTTGCTTCAAATCTCTTTTTTTTTTTTTTTTTTGAGAGAGGGTCTCGCTTTATTGCCCAGGATGGAGTGCAGTGGTGCCATCACAGCTCACTGCAACCTCAACCTCCCGGGCTCAAGCAGTCCTCCCACCTCAACTTCCCGAGTAGCTGGGACTATAGGCGCGCAACACCATACCCAGCTAATTTTTGTATTTTTTGTAGAGACAGGGTCTTGTTACGTTGCCCAGGCTGGGCTTGAACTCCTGGACTCAAGTGATCCTCCTGCCTCAGCCTCCCAAAGTGCTGGGATTACAGGCATGAGCCACCGTGCCTGGCCTAGATCTCTATATCTTTAATAAAACTAAAACTTCAAGCCCCATCACTTTGGGATTCCTCTCCAAAAGTTATCTCCATGTCTAAGTTGAAGTATATCAATTCCTTTTTTTAAAAAATTTTGTCACTCTCAGGATATGCTTAAATATCAGTTCCTTTTTGTGTTTAGTTTTTACTTCAGCTACACATGTATTATGTGTCCATAAAAATGGATAGGGTGCTGTGTTGTTTTTTGTTTTTGTTTTTTTTTTTGGAGATGGAGTCTCGCTCTGTCACCCAGGCTGGAGTGCAATAGTGCAATCTTGGCTCACTGCAACCTCTGCCTCCTGAGTTCAAGCGACTCTCCTGCCTTGGCCTCCCGAGTACCTGGGATTACAGGCACCCGCCACCAGGCCCGGCTACTTTTTAGTATTTTTAGTAGAGACAGGGTTTCACCATCTTGGCCAGGCTGGTTTTGAATTCCTGACCTCGTGATCCACCCACCTTGGCCTCCCAAAGTGCTGGGATAACAGGCGTGAGCCACCGCACCCGGCATGCTGCATTTTTAATATGTAAATAGGCCAGGCATTGTGGCTTATGCCTGTAATTCCAGCAATTTGGGAGGCCAAGGCAGGCAGATCACTTGAGGCTAGGAGTTTAAGAACAGCCTGGCCAACATGATGAAACCCTGTCTTTACTAAAAATACAAAAATTAGCTGGGCGTGGTGGCTCATGCCTGTAATTCCAGCTACCCGAGAGGCTGAGGCATGACAATCGTTTTTTCCCGGGAGGCGGAGGTAGCAGTGAGCCGAGATCACACCACTGCACTTTAGCGTGGGCAATAGAGGAAGGAAGGAAGGAAAGAAGGAAGGAAAGGAAGAAAGGAAGGAAGGAGGGAGGGAGGGAGAGAGAAGAGTGTATATCATCTTGCTACTTTTGCTTTTTCCTCAACTCTGACTCCTGAGATTTACTGATATGGACACACAATAGTTCAAGTGTATCCATTTTTAACTGCTATATAATATTTCATTGTAGAACTGAACAATGGTTCATCCATTCTCTTAGTGATGGAAAATTAGGTGTGATTCCAATGTCTAATGTCATAAATCATGTTGCCATGAGCATCCTTGAATGTGTCTCCACATGCAAATGTGTGGGTTCCTACAGGGCAGGGCTCTGCACCCTCCTTGCCATGAAGGTCACAGATGAGCAGCAGGAAGGTCTGCAGTAGCCAGAGCTGTGGCCCAGGTAGCTCCTCTGCCAGCTCCTCCCCTAGCCTCACTGGCTGTACAAATACCTACACTGTCCACATGAGCCATAATGTGATAAAGACTCAAAGAGTGGAATTTCTGGGTTGCAGGGTACACACATCTTCAGCTTCACTGGACATTGCCAAACTGGCCTTGTCTTCCTCCTTTGCTCTTTAACTGACTTCAGAGACTCTTGTTGTCCCCAAGAAATCTGGGAGCTGCCATTTCCTGGGTATGTAGCTTAGGACTGAAGATCATCCAACCATCTATTCATTTCACAAATATTTGTTGACATCTGCTGTGCCATGAGTAATAAAGTTGTTTGTCTCTGACCCAGGAGACTCATGTCTTTGCCAGCCACCATGTAACTGGCAGGCTAACTTGTGGGCTTGCAAGCAGGGCAAAATATCAGACCCTTCCCAGTTCTTGACAAGATGCTCTCCTTTTCCCGCCATGTGTGAAGCACTGGTCCAAGCCCTGGAGGGTGCAAAAGAGCCAAATCCCTATCTCTACAAAAAAAAAAAAATTAATTAGCTGGGTGTGGTGATATGTGCCTAGTTCTAGCTACTCTTGAGGCTAAGGAGGGAGGACTGCTTGAGCCCAGGAGATTGAGGCTGCAGTGAGCCATGATCATACCACTGTACTCCAGCCTGGGCAAGAGAGTGAGACCTGTTTCTTAAAAAAAAAAAAAAAAAGTCCCTATGGATACAACCCATTAACCTCCTTCTGCAACCTCGGATTGGTACCTTGGTGGTTGTCGGGCCTCTGAGCCCAAGCTAACCCATCATATCCCCTGTGACCGGCACGTATACATCCAGATGGCCTGAAGCAACTGAAGATCCACAAAAGACGACATTCCACCATTGTGATCTGTTCCTGCCCCACCCTCAACTGATCAACTGACCTTATGACAATACACGCTCCCCGCCCTTGTGATAATGCACTTTGTGATATTCCCCCGCCCACCGCCCTTAAGAAGGTACTTTGTAATATTCTCCCCGCCCTTGAGAATGTACTTCCTAAGATCCACCCCCTGCCCACAAAAAAATTGCTCCTAACTCCACTGCCTATCCCAAACCCATAAGAACTAATGATAACCCCACCACCCTTTGCTGACTCTCTTTTCGGACTAGCCCGCCTGCACCCAGTTGAAATAAACAGCCTTGTTGCTCACACAAAGCCTGTTAGTGGACTCTTCACACAGAAGCGCGTGACAGTGGTGTGTGATCCCTTTGGACAGCAGCTTTCCTTTCCCCACTATGTTTTGCTTTCTAAGTGGGTTGACAGCCTTTGAGTCCACAACCACCGGGAGGTCAACGGGCGTGAGCAAGTCTCAGGGTAAGAAGAAGCCAGCTCAGGGATAACCATATCCTGCAGAGAACTCACAGGTGAACAACTGAGCCTTGATTGAAAATAAATGACGGCCAAGGTCACACAGTCTATAGCGGCGTGGCTGAGCTTCAGACCGGTTATTCCCACGCCCAGTGCTTGGCCATCCCGTTTGTGATCGGTTTGGGGCTGGAGGTGGCACTTGGTTAGGGAACAATAGTGGGAGACCAGAGTACTGTGTATTCACAAACCCAAAGAACAGGAAGCTTTTCAACAGCAGCAGTAGCAATGTCCTTGGGGTGTATTTCAACAATACTGCACTTATAAAGAATTCTCCATGGGACAGCAGGAGTATCTCAGGTAAGGTTGGGAGAGCTTGGAGGAACGAAGCCTGGAGGGATTATGAAAGCAAAATGGACAATATGTGCCTGTATTTCCCCCAGCACAGCACTGATCCCACTGGACTGTAATTGCTGGGGACTTGCCCCTCTGCCCCCACCTCCCGACCAGGTGGGAGTCCTGGTGGGTGGTGCCAAGTCTTTCTTATTGACTGTTGAGTCCCAACACCTGACAAAGAGGAAGCCCCCGGCCACAAGTAGATAGGGGATGCATTTCCAACGTGAGTAGAATGGATGATAGTGGCCCAGAGTTCAAGGAGAGAACTTCCTGGAAGACTTGGCTCCCACAACAGCCACCCCCTTATTTATTTATTTATCTATTTTTTTTTTTGAGACGGAGTCTCACTCTGTCACCTGGGCTGGAGTGCAGTGGTGAAATCTCAGCTCACTGCAACCTCCACCTCCCAGGTTCAAGAGATTCTCCTCCCTCAGCCTCCCAAGTAGCTGGGATGACAGGCACCTGCCACTACACCCGGCTAATTTTGTGTATTTTTAGTAGAGACAGGGTTTCACCATGTTGGCCAGGCTGGTCTCAAACTCCTGACTTCATGATTCGCCTGCCTCAGCCTCCCAAAGTGCTGGGATTACAGGCGTGAGCCACCGCGCCTGGCCGCTAGCCATCCCCTTATTATCTCAGATTCCTGCACGTCCGTCTCACCGTACTTGCATCCCACACCATGGTCACTTGTTTACTGGTCTGTCCTGAAAGCTCTCTGCTGAGAGGCCTCCACACTCATCATCTTAAGTGACCCTCAGGCAACCCTATAAGGTAAGGACAACCATGCCACCAACGAGGAAACTGAGACCTAGAGGGGTTGGGCAACCAGCCCAGGGTCATGTTCATGATCATGGCAGAGGTGGAATTGGAACCCAGGCATTGTGCTCCTCCCTGTTGGACTGTTGGGGGAAAGAGTCAGGACACTGGGGTGGAGCCCCCACATGAGCCCAGCGTCTGTCCTGGCTCCAGCACTTTCTTTTTTTCTTTTCTTTCTTTTTTTTTTTTTTTGAGACGGAGTCTCACTCTGTCGCCCAGGCTGGAGTGCAGTGGCGCTATCTCGGCTCACTGCAATGTCTGCCTCCTGGGTTCAAGCAATTCTCCTGCCTCAGCCTCCTAAGCAGCTGGGATTACAGGCGCGCACCACCATGCCCGGCTAATTTTTTGTATTTTTAGTAGAGATGGGGTTTCACCATGTTGGTCAGGCTGGTCTCAAACACCTGACCGCGTGATCCCCCGCCTCGGCCTCCCAACAGCACTTTCTAGATGTTTAGGAACTCCCTTGGGCAAGTGACTTCATTTCTCTGCAAGTCACCTTCTTTGCCTGCAAAATGCAGATTTCCAATCCGCTACCTCACAGGGTTGCTCTGGATTTAAATGAGATAATGACTGTAACGCTCCCAGAGCCTGGCACTGAGCAAGCATTTCATAAATAAAACACTATCTATCTAATAATAATATTTGTAACCATCTATAACAAATATACTAATCTATAGTGACAGAACGAGATCGGTGGTTGACAGGGAGAGAACGTGAGGGGAGAGACAAGAGAAAGGGATGACAAGGTGGCACAAGGAATCTTCTGGGCATGGTGGGTATGTTCACGACCTTGTTTGTGGCGATGGTTGCATGGGTGCGTACAAATGTCAAAACTTAGCAAATTGCACTTTTTTTTTTTGAGATGGAATTTCACTCTTGTCGCCCAGGCTGGAGTGCAGTGGCACGATCTGGGCTCACTGCCAAGTCCACGTCCCGGGTTCAGGTGATTCTCCTGCCTCAGCCTCCCAAGTAGCTGGGATTACAGGTGCTCGCCGCCACACCCAGCTAATTTTTCTATTTTTAGTAGAGCTGGGCGCTGCAAATTGCACACTTTAAATATGTGCAGTTTGTTCTGTGTCAATGATACCTCAATAAAGCAGTGTGAAAGCACATGCGATATTCTATGATCTTAAGATTTCATAGGAATAGGGCTGGGCTCAGTGGTTCATGCCTGTAATCCCAGCACTTTGAGAGGCCAAGGCAGGGGGATTGCCTGAGCTCAGGAGTTCGAGACCATCATCCTGGGCAACATGGCAAAACCCTGTCTCTACTACAAATACAAAAATTAGCCAGGCATGATGGCACATGCCTATAATCCCTGCTACTCCGGAGGCTGAGGTGGG